>NC_000007.14:71294657-71597688 GCF_000001405.40 Homo sapiens
ACCCACCTTGGCCTCCCAAACTGCTGGGATTACAGGTGTGAGACACCACGCCTGGCCATATCTCATAAATCCTGTATGCTTTATACAGACATCTATTAGTTCTATTTTGTATATTCAAATGCTTTATGTTATTATCTATAGGTTTTAAACCTGACCAGTTTAAAGATGTAAAACTGGAAAAGAGTTGTTTTGTTCATTTGCCCCCCTTTTCCAAGAATTTTGCATTATATATTTTGAAGTAATGTCATTTAATCCCCTCTCTCCTGATGCTGCGATAGTCTGCATTAATGTTGAAGCTTATCTTTTATCAATATATAATGTCTCTGTTTTCCTATGTAATGCTTTTTCTCTTTAGTGATGCTTTGAGTCAAATGAATATTTCCACCTGTACACCCTTAACTCAGTGTTCTTAACCTCCCATCCCCTCTGAGTCCCTTACAATGGGCCGAGGATACACTTTCTATATGGTAATTCTTCTAAGTTCTACGAGAACGCTGCTGGCTTCATTTCTCTTCAACCTTTCCAATCCTGATTTTCTCCTCAATATTTTTGTCTAGTGGATATCCTAGACTTGCTTCCTGTGTGAGCTCCTTTGCTTCTAGGTTCTTCCTTTGGACATGTCTAGAACATTTTCCCTGTACTTCACTAGGCAGCTATCTATTCCATTGCTTGCCCACCTTGAGGACCCTCAGCTTGCCTCTTACCTAACAGTTGTCTAGGAGGGTGAGGCAGAGTTTGAAGCCTGCCTTTCTCCCTTCTCTTCCCCTTCCCTCCTTCCTTCCTTTCTGTGTATTTTGTTTCTCTCTGTCTCTCTTTGTTTCTTCCATCCTTTCTCTCTTTCTTTTTTCCTTTCTTCCTTTCTCTCTCCCTTCCTTCCTTTCCCTTCCCCTCTCCCTCCTTCCTTTTTCCTTTCCTTTTCCTACCTTCCTTCCTACCTTCCTTCCTTCCTTCCCCCACCTCCACTTTCTTTTCTTTGCTCCCTGTCTGGTAGAGTTCCATAGAATGGTCATAGCTCACTGCAGCCTCAAATTCCTGGGCTTAAGCAATCCTCCTGCCTCAGCCTCCCGAGTAGCTGGAACTACAGGTGCACACCATCATGCCTGGCCAATTAAAAAAAATTAGAGATGGGGTCTCATTATGTTGCCCAGGCTGGTGTCAAACACCTGGCCTCAAGCAATCTTCCTGCCTCAGCCTCTCAAGTAGCTGGAATTACAGGTGCAAGCCACTGTGCCAAGCAGGAGTCTGCCTTTCTTTCTTGGGTTTTTTTTTTTTTTCCCAGCCTGTCATCTGATTCACATATTTTCCTTGGTCACATAATACAATTTTGCTTTTTAGTCCTGGGAGCTCTTATCTTTTATTAAAGACATTTTTATATGAGTTGTTTTAAGTAAGTAGTCCTCTGCCATTTTTGTTTTTAGCCTTTTCCTCATAGTTGGGGCTATTCCTCTTGTTATCTGTCTTTGAAGTTATGGGCAATGTTTTGTTTGTCTTTATCATCACCATTAGTAATTATCTTTCACATTTAAAAAGCAGTTCTTGATCCTATCTATCTCTATTTATCAGAGGCAAGAATGAAGTAGTTTCTTTTGATTCCTTATTATGTAGGAGATATTTTAGGATTTCTTACACCTGCCCCACACAGAAACATAGATATACTCTTGATTAATGTATTATTGGCCTTTGCAGTGACTCACGCCTGTAATCCCAGCACTTTGGGAGGCTGAGGCAGGTGGAACACTTGAGGTCAGTAGTTCAAGACCAGCTTGGCCAACATGGGGCCAACCCCGTCTCTACTAAAAATACAAAAATTAGCCGGGCATGGTGGCAGGTGCCTGTAATCCCAGCTACTCGGGAGGTTGAGGCAGGGAGAATCACTTGAACCCAGGAGGCGGAGGTTGCAGTGAGCCGAGATCATTCCGCTGCACTCCAGCCTGGGCAACAGAGCGAGACTCCATCTAAAAAAAAAAACAACTATATATATATATGTATATTTACACACATACATGCATACATATATATGTATATAAATTTGGCCTTAAGAACCAAGAAAAAAAAAACGTGTTTTTTTTTAGACAGGGTATATGTATGTAAATAAAATATATCCTGTAAGTAAAGTATGATATTTAATATAGCATGTGTAATATATAGTGTTATAAGATGGTAGAAATACACACACCACACATACACTTAAATTTATATATATAATTTTTTCGCTGCTGTGTCATTGATCTTGGCCTCCATCATGGTGCGTGAACACGCCATGCCAGGAGCTTTATCCTCTTCAGGCTATAGAAGTTGAAGGATAGGAAACTAATTCCTAGTCCAGTTCCCTCCTGCATGCTGGCATTCTTCCACTATTGCTCTGGTGGGATAAGGAGAAGGCTTTTCTTATTGCTTAAGCCTTTTCTTAAGCACACCTCATTGCCTGCTCTTCCATCACTTTCGCCAGATGGAATAAGCAAGAAAACAACTCTCCAGGTTCTTCTTTTCCACATGGGAGCTCTCACTCTTGGCACATGGTACTGCTGCAGCCTCTATTCTCATTCATGCTCTCACCTAGGGCACAGTCTCAAAGCTGATCTCATACACCAAAAGACGCCTGGGGCCGGGCACAGTGGCTCATGCCTGTAATCCCAGCACTTTGGGAGGCTGAGGCGGGTGGATCACCTGAGGTCTAGGAGTTTGAGACCAGCCTGACCAACATGATGAAACCCTGTCTCTACCAAAAATACAAAAATTAGCCAGTTGTGATGGTGCCTGCCTGTAATCCCAGCTACTCAGGAGGCTGAGGTAGGAGAATCACTTGAACCCGGGAGGTGGAGGTTGCAGTGAGTGGTGGTGCATGCCTGTAGCCCCAGCTACTTAGAAGGCTGAAGGTGGAGGATTGCTTGGGCCCAGGAGGCAGAGGTTGCAGTGAGCTGAGAGCATGGGCAACACAGTGAGACCTTGTCTCAAAAAAATAGGACACTTGGATTAGAATGTTCATAGCAGCCTTTCTCATAATAGCTCCAAAGTGGAAACAACCCAGATTTCAACCAACAGGTGAATGAATAAACAAACTGACATATTCATTCTATAGAGTACCATTCAGCAGTAAAAAGGAATGAACTACTGGTATATGCAGCAGAATGAATGAATTTGAACAAGTATCTTGTAGAATAAAATAAGCCAGACAGAAGGAGTACCTACTGCATGATTCCACTTATGTCAAGTTCTGGAACAGGCAAACATCATCTCTGGGGTGGGGAGAATTGCCTGGAAAGAGTCAGGAAGGCACTTTTGTTGGGGATGGGTCTTCTTTTGGATGGTAGCTACACAACAGATGTTTATGGTTGTCAAACCTCGTTGAACTCAAGAGTTGTGTATTTTCTTTTATTTTTTGAGATGGAGACTCACTCTGTTACTCAGGCTGGGGTGCAGAGGCACAATCTTGGCTTACTGCAACCTCCGCCTCCCAAGCTTAAGTGATTCTCCTGCCTCAGCCTCCTGAGTAGCTGGGATTACAGGCGTGCGCCACCATGCCTGGCCAATTTTTGTATTTTTAGTAGAGATGGGGTTCATCATGTTGGCCAAGCTGGTCTCGAACTCCTGACTTCAGGTGATCCACCTGCCTGGGCCTCCCAAAGTGCTGGGATTACAGGCGTGAGCCACCACACCTGTCCTGTGTATTTTCTTTATGTAAATTATATATCAATAAACTAATGGCTGTACTTTTTGCAAAAACAATCAGAACAGAAAATAAGGATATATAGTATATATAAATGTATATATAAACAGAAATAAAATATGAGTATGATTTTTAAAACGCAGGACTGAAGTTGGTCCTAGCTCGGGCATGGACGCGAGTCTTACACTGTGGCATCTGCTCCTTTTTCTTTCTGGTTCAGAAAGAAGCCAGACCTGAGCTGACACTTGCGGGCAGCTGGAGCCAGACTGTCCTGCCTTATTTCCAGGTGGCTGGGCTTTTCTATTTCTAAGGGTAAAGGTGTGTTCAGGTCACTGTAATTTTTCATCTAGTGCCATCAGATTTGTGCACGACTTTTATTCCAGTGGGGTGTGTGTGTGTGTGTGTGTGTGTGTGTATGTATGTGTGTGAATGTGTACACAGGCTAGTGCCTTCTTTGGGATATTTACCCAAATTCATTTTGGATGTGAGGAGATCTATTTCAGAGTTTGGTAGCCCAATTCAACCCTAAGATATAAAATATGATTTTAAAAAGTCATAGCTGCCCGGGACATTGGGCCAGAAAGTAGCACTGGTGGTGTGGCTGTGGAATGTCATATCTCCATTGATGGGCACACGAGGGTTTTTGCACTAGTGACTGACAGGTGTTAAGTCACCACCCTTGCAACTGACTATCGGAGTTCCAAATGTGAGAGGTCGGAACATTTTAGTCACTCACCTGCGGAGAGAGGGAGACTATAGGGCCTTAGACCAGTAAGGCTTTTAGACCACCTGGGCCCGCCCCTCATTCTACAGGTGAGATCTGAGCCTGCGGGGAGGCAGCTGGAGAAGGGTATGTGTGGGACCAGCTGGTGGCCCGCCTTGACCCCCGGTGCAATCAGTTTTAAGGCCAGTGCTCTTGCATGTTAATAACTTTTCTCTTGGATGGTGTTTTAATCCGCTGGGACTAAATGATTCTGTCATAAATCCTTGCAGACGAGAGGATGGGAACTGCCGTTTATGAAGTCACCTGCAATGTGCCAAGTACTCAACACATGCTACCTCATGAATTCCTAGGTAGTGGACCTAGGAGGTGGCAATTATTTGTTCCATTGTACAGATAAGGAAACCGAGGCTGATGCAGAATTGGGGTTTGTTACACCATGATTTTTCCCAGGCTCCACGCATTCCACAGATTTACAGTCTCAGTTTTCAGTTTTCATTCTGGAGGTATCGGACAGGTGTCTGCTGTGTGCACGTCCTGAGAACACAGTCCTGGCCCTCGTGGGATGTATAGACATTGCCACTGTAGCGCTGGAATCAATGGGATTTACTGCAGAGATGACCGTGGGGGCGAGGTTAATGCCAAGGGTCAGACTGAACCCTATGTCCTTCCTGTGTGTCTGCTTGTAGATTTCTGGAGGGAATGTTTCTTTTTATTATTACAATTTTTTTTTTAATTGAGATGGAGTCTTGCTCTGTTGCCCAGGCTGGTGTGCACTGGTGTGATCTTGACTCACTGCAACCTCCGCCTCCCGGGTTCAAGTGATTCTCCTGCCTCAGCCTCTGGAGTAGCTGGAATTACAGGTGCCTGCCACCATGCCTGGCTAATTTTTGTATTTTTAGTAGAGAAGAGGTTTCACCAAATTGATAATCAGGTTGGCCAGGCTGGTCTCGAAATCCTGACCTCAGGTGATCCACCCACCTTGGCCTCCCAAAGTGCTGGGATCAGAGTCGTAAGCCACTGCACCCTGCCCTGGAGGGAATGTTTCAACCTCATAATCCCGGCCTCTCAAAGCCTGCCTCTCCTTCATGCCTGACACCGGAGGGGGAACAATGACTGCCATGTTCAATAAAACTTTTGTGGGAGATGATTTAAATTGCTTTGATGACACCCTTGGGAGTTGGGACTCCTTTTAGTAATTTAGGTTGAAGGAATGTGTGCTTTCATGAAAGAGAGGAAATGTATCTGGACTCTGGGCTTGAAGCTCTTCTTTCTAAGAGGAGGCTTGTTGGATTTCAAAACCAAGACGACACCACCTCTTGGTGTGCTGGCAGACACAGAGAGAGGACTGTCTGTCTTCCCTCCTGTGTCCCTCTCTGCCACAGCTGAAATGGCTGATCTTTTCAGAATCACTGACTGGGGGATGTTCATGAGCTTGGACAGGATAACAAATGGAGGTGGGTTATTTTCTCATCCTAATAAGTGAGAAACAGCTGTTCTTCCTAGCTTGGAAAGCAAGTCATTTGTTTTCTACACACACACATGCATGCGCGTGCACATACACACAACCACACACACAAACACACATGGTTATCAACATGCTGCTAGGAAAAATTAAAAATTGCGCATCATATTTCTAAAAGAGGAAGCAGAGAAAAGGGATTTCCAGAATTCTAAACACGCCTCCCATCACTGCGTCTCCTCTCAGCTAGGACTTTCTGTTTGCACAGCCGAGGCCTGCAGGGTACATTCCAGAGGTGGACTTGGGGCTGGCCTTGAACTTCCAGACCCTCTCTCCCCTCTCTGGCCGGGGCTGGGGAAATGTCAGCTATTCTGAGGGCCTTGGAAGCTGGACTCAGTTATTTTCGGTAATGTATCATCAACCACTTATTCCACTTTTACAGAAGCTATTTGTAAAATGAACAGTGTTTAATGTATTTATATTTAAAGTAATTATTGAGGTCAGGCATGGTGGTTCACATCTATAATTCCAGTACTTTGGGAGGCAGAGGTGGGAGGATCCCTTGAGCCCTGGAGTTCAAGAGCAGTCTGGGCAACATAACAAGACCTTATCTCTACAAAAATTAAGAAAATCAGCCACACGTGATGGTGCCGCCTGTAGTCCCAGCTACTCGGGAGGCTGAGGTGGGAGGATCCCTTCAGCCGAGGAGTTCGAGGCTGCAGTGAGCTAAGATCGCTCCACTACACTCCAGCCTGGATGACAGAGTGAGACCCTGCCTGATTACTTTTTTTTTAAAGTAATAATACTTTTTAAAAAATATTTTTTAATTATTATATTAAAATATATATTTAATATATACTAATAATTATATATAATAATATATAATAAAATATATATTTAAATATGTATATAATAAAATATATAACATATATTTTAAATATTGTTTAATTATTATAAAAAATAATTACTTTTTTAAAAGTAATTATTGATAGAGAGGGATTTACTTTTGCCATTGTGTTGCTGTTAGTCTTGTAGTCCTTTTTTCTGTCTTTCAACTGATGTATAATTTCAGTTAAGTAAGATGAATAAGTTCTAGTTACCCAATATGCAGCATTGTACTTATAGTTGAGGCATAAACTCATTTAGTACTTTAATTTGGCCCAAATACACAAGTGTGCGCAGTATTGGACACTTAAAAATTTGTTAAGAGGATAGATCTTGTGTGAAAGGTTCTTACCACAAAAAAAACTAAACGAAAATGAAATAAAAATGAATAATGTAAAGGATAGGTAAATTACAAAGTACACAAAGGCAAAAAAGAATTTCACTGTCTTTTGAATGAACCCTTTATAGGCGGTTTCTGCTTTATATGCAGGGGTGGAAGGTGAAGAACCTGCTATTGACAGTGACTTTGAAAGACTTTGAGAAAATAGTGTAAGTAGGTACAAAATGTCATCACAAACCATGTGTCTTATAATACATGTAGCAAGAATGGAATACTGTGTAGCCATAAAAAGGAATGAGATCATGTCCTTTGCAGGGACATGGATGAAGCTGGGAGCCATTATCCTCACCATACTAATGCAGGAACAGAAAACCAAACACCGCGTGTTGTCACTTATAAGTAGGGGCTTAACGATGAGAATACATGGACACAGGGAGGGGAGCAACACACACTGGGGCCTGTTGGGAGAGGGCAGGGGTGGGGAGAGCATCAGGGAAAATAGCTAATGCATGCGGGGCTGAATACCTAGGTGATGGGTTGATAGTTGCAGCAAACCACCATGGCACATGTTTATGTATGTAACAAACCTGCACATCCTGTGCGTGTATCCCAGAACCTAAAATAAAATATTTTTAAAAATTAGGTAACAGAGTCTCAGTATGCTGTCCAGGCTCAAGTGCACTGGCATGGGGCTTCAGCTGTGTCATATTTCAAAATGAGAGTTCTCTACATGGCGGCCTTCGAATAATGTGTGCTAATTTCAGGACCTGAAAGATACTAGCGTACATGTGCAGGGCCATGTGCACACACTCTCCTTGTTGTCCCAGGGACCTAGGTCTCCTTGTCTGTTGCCTCTGAGCTCAGGCACTGTAATCTCATAGAACGTCACTGTAATGGGGAGACAAAGCTAGGCTGAATTGATGAAAGCTGGAAAGACTACTTTACTGGGTCTTATTCATTATTTTCAGCAGCATAGCATAACCGTGCTCTTTAAAAAATGGACTAAATTGAGAGTCTGTTGAACTTCCCCCTTTCAACATGGGGTATTCATTTGTTATTAGGAACGGCAATTTTTATGCATGTAATTAACATACTATGATAGCTTCAGTGGATTAGGCGAGTCATATATGTATATATTTACTTTTTTGAGACAGAGTCTCGTTCTGTCGCCCAGGCTGGAGTGGTGTGTTGGCTCAATCTTGACTCACTGCAGCCTCCACCTCCTGGGTTCAAGCAATTCTCCTGCCTCAGCCTCCCAAGTAGCTGGGACTATAGGCACGTGCTGCCATGCCCGGCTAATTTTTGTATTTTTAGTAGAGACAGGGTTTCACCACGTTGGCCAGGGTGGTCTTGATCTCCTGACCTCATGATCCACCCACCTCAGCCTCCCAAATTGCTGAGATTACAGGCATGAGCCACTGCACCCAGCCTTTTTTTTTTTTGAGACAGGTTCTCGCTGTGTTGCCCAGGCTGGAGCGCAGTGGTGAAATCATGGCTCACTGTAGCCTTGACCTGGGCTCAAGAGATTTTCCCACCTCACTCTCCTGAGGAGCAGAGACTATAGGTGAACACCACTACACCCAGCTAATTTATATTTTTTTTTGTAGAGATGGGATCTCGCCATGTTGTCCAGGCTGGTATTTATATCTTATATATACCACTTAATTGCTTTATTTTCATTTCCTTCGTAAATGATATCTAGGTGAAATTAACCAGCCTTTTTTGAATGAATGATCCCTAAGTTTGAATTGGTGGGGTCTGTGTAAATGGATGAGGGCCATTTGAATAGACATTGGGACACTTGAAGATGAAAAATTCATGGTCAAATACAACATTTTTCTGACTTGTGCTAGAAAGATGTCAGATTCTCTTTTTTGTTTAATACAGTGATTACTAATACTCAGCACGTCGACCTGTTGCTTGGAAGTGATTTACGCATTCTCTGGTCTGGGAGAATTACTGCCTTTTTTTTTCTTCATGACTCAGAGTGGGCTGGACTCCCCTCTAAAGAAGCCATTAAATTTGATGAAGAGCCACATTCCTTGCAAGGCTTGACCTCAAACATTTGAGATTAGCCCTTTGAATTTCTCTTTCTGGAAGTCTGACAGCAAAACTTGGTGCATTTTTCTCTGCAGGATCCAAATAATAGCTAAACGCCTCCGGGGCAGCTGTAAGGCAAGTATTTTAAAAACAACCATGTTAAAATGATCTGGAGACTGCAAACAATCGGCTTTTCTTTCGCCCCAGGAGTCTCAAGGTGCACACTTGCATATTTGAGCCAATTAAAATACTAAATAAGCTTGTCCCTCAAGAATGTAGACAGAGCTTTTCACTCTAATTTCTGCTCAATACCCTTGAGCACACCTTGTTGGTTGAATAAAGCCACACCTAGTTTCTGCAATTAGGGGAACCACGTAGTTGATTTTTGCAAGCTTTCCTTCATCAGAGAATGAGCAGTCTTCATTCATTCAATGCAGTGATGCATTTGTTCTTTTACCCAACAGATACTTTTTGAACATTTACAACGTGCCAGCATAGTTTAATCTGTATATATTCGACAGACGCTAAGTTAACTGAAACGGCGTTCAGAGGTGGATTAAGTATTCATCAGTGCGTATATAGAAACTGAAGGCATGGAGTGGGTGACAAAGTGGGTACAGATGTTGTCTCTTCCCCTTTGCCCCTTTGGGTAAATTACCGTATGATCTTAAATACATTGTCAAGGAATAAGCCACTGAAAACGGAGAAGGTTTTGATGACAGCGCTGCATGCATGTTTTTGTTAAGAAACACTCCAAGGGCATCATTCTTGGGCTATGTCAAGGTCTATCAACTGGGAACCACTCAATTTACCAGGCTCCCAAGATGCAAGTGGCCTGTGTTTGCTTATTTGTGTCAAGGGGATCCCTACAGTTCAGATAAGTTAGTTTTGCACTTCCCACTACAGTGTTTTTGTTGGAAAGTGGTCTGCTAAGTGAGAACCCATTGCCAGTTTTACCTACAAGTCCTGTATTTCTTTTTTCTTTTTTTTTTTTGAGATGGAGTTTTGCTCTTGTTGCCCAGGCTGGAGTGCAATGGCACGATCTCGGTTCACCTCCGCCTCTTGGGTTCAAGGGATTCTCCTGCCTCAGCCTCCCAAGTAGCTGGGATTACAGGTGCCCGCCACCATGCCTGACTAATTTTTTGTATTTTTAGTAGACATAGGGTTTCACCATGTTGGCCATGGCTGGCCTCCGTGATTCACCTGCCTTGGCCTCCCAAAGTGCTGGGATTACAGGCGTGAGCCACACAAGTCCAATATTTTACCTAGAAGCCTAGCAATTCTTTCTGTGTAAGGAGATGCATAGAACACGTTTGGGGTAGAGGTAGATGTAGCTATAGATACAATTACAGATATAGTTATGGATATATAAAATTAAATACCTTAATCCTTGACTTTATTATTTTTCTTCTATCACATATAATCCTATTTGGAGCAAAAATACTTTGAGCACATGTTAATTTTGCTAGTTTTTTGGGATAGTTTTTCCCGCCAGTACTCCCATTTGCAGAACTAGTGGTAAATGCTAATGGAAAACTTCTTCAGTTAGCAGATTTTTATTTTACTTTATTCCTGGGGCAATTCTCCTTAAATTGTAGATCAAATCCAGCTGCAGGCTAAAGCACCAAAATTTTCTTGTTTTCAACTAACCCACGGCAAGGATAAATTTTTCTACCCCCTGGGATGGCAGATTCAGTCCCGGAAATTCAGAGTAGTGAAATTGTTAGCAGTTGTTCTTAAAATCTGGGCTCTCATTTCATGGCGATGTCTTTGGTCTTTGTGTTGAAAGCAGGACCTCTGTAAGCCCCTTCTCCTCCCCAGACTGTGAGTTTGGTGGGTGTTATGACAACGGTGAGGGGACGGGGGAGGGCCCCTCCAGGAAGTTGTCATCTCAGTCCAGTGCGGGGTCAGCAGTAAAGGACTTACTAGGTTGGCGACCTGATGTCACCCAGAGCCAGAGAAGTTTCCATATCTCAATGAACCTTTTGGATTCGAAGAGAGATAATTACTAACTCCACGGACTGGCCTTAGAAGACTCTTCCTCTGACATCATCCAATTCATTCTGCCACTTAAAAAAAGAAAAAAAATCCAGGTACCGTGGAAAGCCACTGGAAGCTTTAAGCAAGAGAGTGTCCTGATTTACAATTAAAAAATTTCTAATTAGGCCGGGCATGGTGGCCCACGCCTGTAATCCCAGCACTTTGGGAGGCTGAGGCAGGCGGATCACTTGAGGTCAGGGGCTCGAGACCAGCCTGGCCAACATGGCTAAACTCCATCTTTACTTAAAAATACTAAAATTAGGCGGGTGTGGTGGTGCGTGGCTGTAATCCCAGCTACTTGGGAGGCTGAGGCAGGAGAATCACTTGAACCTAGGCGGCAGAAATAGCAGTGAGCCAAGATCGCATCATTGCACTCCAGCATGGGTGACAGAGTGAGATTTGTCTCAAAATAAAATAAAATAAATTCTAATTTTGGTAAAACATACATAACATGAAATTTACCATCTTAACAATTTATATGTGCATATATCAGTAGCGTTAAGTATATACACATTTTTGGGCAACAGAACTGTTTTCATCATGCAGATCTGAAGCTCTGTACCCATTAAACAATAACTCCCCCTACCTGCTGTCAACGCCCCCCACTATTCTTCTTTCTCTGTCTCTAGAATTTGACTACTCTACATACCTCATTTAAGTGAAATCATACAGTAATTGTCCTTTTGTGACTGGTTTATTTCACTTAGAATATCGTCCTCAAAGTTCATTCAAGTTGTAGCATGTGTTAGGATTTCCTTCCTTTTGAAGGCTGAATAATAATCCATTGTATGTTTACATCTTAGGCTGGTGCAAAAATAATTGCTGTTTTTGCCATTGAAAGTAATGGCAAAAAACAGAAATTACTTTTGCACCAACTTAATGTATCCTCTTTTGTTTATTCATCTGTTGATGGGTACTTGGGTTGCTTCTACCTACTGACTATTGCAAATAGTGCTACTATGAGCATGAGTGTGCAAATATCTGTTCAAGTCCCTGTTTTCATTTCTGTTTTGTTTTGTTTTGTTTTTTGAGACAGAGTCTCGCTCTGTTGCCCAGGCTGGAGTGCAGTGGCACAGTCTCAGCTCACTGCAGCCTCTGCCTCCTGGGTTCATGCCATTCTCCTGCCTCAGCCTCCCGAGTACCTGGGATTACAGGTGCCCACCACCACACCTGGCTAATTTTTGTATTTTTAGTGGAGATGGGGTTTCACTATGTTGGGCAGGCTGGTCTTGAACTCCTGACCTCAAGTGATCTGCCCACCTTGGCCTCCCAAAGTGCTGGGATGACAAGCGTGAGCCACCACCCCTGGTCCCTGCTTTCATTTCTTTGGGGTTTATGCCCAGAAGTAAAATTCCTGGATCCTGTGGTAATTCTATGTTTAACTTTTTGCAGAACCGCCATACTGTTTTCCATAGGGGTTGCAGCATTTTGCATTCCCATCAGCCGTGCACAAGGTACCACTTTCTCCACATCCTCGCCAACACTTGTTATTTTGTTTTCTTGACAGTAGCCATTTTAATGGGTGTGAGGTGGTATCTCATTGTGGTTTATGTCACATTTTTGAGTATACGTTTTACCCTGCTGGGTATATGTTATTACACTAGGTGCTGGCTTACAGAGGCAATAAGACCCACTTTCTGCCATGAGAGAGGAAACTCACAATCTGTTGGAGGAGACGGGCATCTAAACGGAAAATTATAATACAGCTTATCAAGTGCTATGATAGAGACAGGTCTTAAGAGAGCAGAGAGTGGATGCAATCGAGGAAGACTTCCTGGTCTTCATAGCCCCACCTCTAGGAAGTCTTCCTTGGTTGCACCCACTCTGTGCTCCGTTAAGACCTGTCTCTGGAGTAGCAGTAGAGTTCCTACTCAACTTCTCATTTTCTGGTTCCTTCTACCAAGTTAAGCATACTCATTAGAAGGAACCAGAAAATGAGAAGTTAAATCTGAAGTCCAAGTGGTTGGTGAGTATTGGTTAGAGCACTATTTTTAGAATAGAACAATGCTTATGAGTGAAGCATTTTTTTTTTCTTTTCATTTGTGCATTTCTCTGGCTCTGGGAGATTGTAAAGGTTACTTCATTGGGATGCTTAGATCACAGTTTCTGGTTATTAGAAAGAGGCCACACTGAGACCTTTGGGAGAAAAGGGGCACAGCAGGTGGGTAGGTGGGACGTGCCTCATTGAGCCTGATTCAGGGGTCTTGTGTGTTTTCCATTTCATCCAATTCTGGGAAGTCTGAAGGCTCCGGGTCAGAGGGGAGTTTGTTGCATGGGGGCAGTTGTCTGGAAAGCTTAGTGACAAAGTAGCAAATAGGAGCAAGGAAACAAAGTATATAAAGACCTGCTATTTAGGAATGGCACTATTCTTGTCGTGGTGACTCACATTTGTCAAGCCTTGAAGGATATTTGCAGAGGAAGAAAGAAGCATTGGATTGCAGCTCGGTGGGAGCAGATCCTGGCTGCCAGTGCCGGGACCAAGGCAGGGTGTGATCTCACCCGTGTTGCCAAGGGTCATCCCACACCCAGACTGTTCGGTTTCCATTCTCATTCCTTGGCATTGCCTTTTATAGAACTGCTTTCAAAAGAGGCATTGGGGCTGATGTCACAGGATCACTATGTGTTTCTCAGGAGTAGGGAGGGAATGAATAGGATTTTTCGAACATTCTATACCAAATTCACTGCCCTCCCTCCATTTGATTTAGGACTTACATCTTCAGCATCCTCTCTTTGTTAGGCTCCTCTGGAATTGTCTGTCCCCCTGGCTAGATCAAGAGCCCCTCTGTATCCCCAGAACCTTGCAGCTTCAGGCACTTTGCACGAGATAAATAAACATGGATGCAATGAGAAAAGGGATGTGACAGGTATTGGGGAAGACAAGCCAGCAACTGCTCTGGGCTCTGCTTTGGAAGTGCCTTTCATTTCTCTTTAGTTTTTTTTTTTTTTTTTGAAACAGAGTCAAGCTCTGTTGCCCAGGCTGGAGTGCAGTGGCACGATCTCAGCTCACTGCAACCTCTGCCTTTTGGGTTCAACGGATTTCTTATGGCTCAGCCTCCCAAGTAGCTGCATTACAGGCAAGCACCATTACGCCTGGGTAATTTTTGTATGTTTAGTAGAGACGGGGTTTCACCATGTTGGCCATACTGGTCTCGAACTCCTGACCTCAGGTGATCTGCCCACCTCGGCCTCCCAAAGTGTTGGGATTACAGATGTGAGCCACTGCGCCCAGCTCATTTCTTTTTACTCTCTATCCACCACTTGTCCTAGCTCAAATCCTTTTGAGTCTGACTTGGACAGCTGATGTCACCCTCTACCTAGTCTTTTTTCCCTTCAGTGCCATTTTTCCAACTCTTGTCAGTCATTTTTATGCTGTCATTGCATCCAGACCTGATCATTTCTTTTCTCTTTCCTACTCAAAACCTTTCTTGGTTCACTGTGACTCAGTGAATAAATCCATGACCCTTGGCAGTCTAATTCCTGTTTGTCTTTCCAGCCTTGCCATCCTGCCCAGCTACCTGCCTCCCATCTCATTCCCTGCTAAATTTGCTTCTTCCTTATGTGAGTTGAGGCACACGCTTTCCCTTCTGCTGGGAAGGAGTTTCCACCCCTCTGAGACCACATCCAAATGTTATCTCCTTGAGGAAGCCATGCATGCTCCCTGCCGAGACCAAGGAGAGAAAACCATGCCTTCGTCTGGGTTCGCATAACTTTTGTCTACACTTTTGTCGTGTCATTTACTGCAAAAGTTGTCCCCCAAGCTATCCTTTTATTTACATTTGCTTATTAATTTCAAGAATTATTTGAGATAGTATTCAAGTTACATACTAGAGGAATATTCCTATGAATATAGGATATTATAATGATAATAAGAGTTATGTTAAGGAATTCCCATAATAAAGGGTGGAGGGAGAGTGGGGATGAATTTGGGGTCATGTAAATACAAACTGCATATGCTGTGATGTTTAGCGCATTTGCCAGAAATGTTTAGAATACTTATTTCTAAACTTGGACCTCTACTTTCTACCAGCCAACACTAAGAGAGAAATATATTGATATGATTTGGCTATGTCCCCACCCAGATCTCATCTTGAATTCCCACGTGTTGTGGGAGGGACTTGGTGGGAGGTAATTGAATCATGGGGGCAGGCCTTTCCCATGCTGTTCTCGTGATAGCGAATAAGTCTCACAAGATCTGATGGTTTTATAAGGGGGAGTTTCCCTGCACAAGCTCTCTCTTTGCCTGCCGCCATCTGTGTAAGACGTGACTTGCTCCTCCTTGCCTTCTGTCATGATTGTGAGGCCTCCCTAGCCATGTGGAACTGTAAGTCCATCAAACCTCTTGCTTTTGTAAATTGCCCAGTCTCAGATATGTCTTTATCAGCAGCATGAAAACAGAAGAATACATATATCATCCATATGGTTCACGATGTCTCCAGGATGAAATGAATCAGAAGCAGAATGACTCTGCCAGGGGCTGAGACGCTAAAGAAATTTCCCTTACTTTGTCACAAAGGATTCCCTAAATCATATCACTATGTGTTCAATGGCATCGTCTTTGTAAATGTAACTTCACATTCCGTGTGCCTATTTGCATCTGTTTGCAAATAGAAGAACACGTAGCACTGTCTGAGATCATGAGGACATTTAGTATTAGGTTTGTGCAAAAGTAATTGTTTTTTGCATTTAAAGTAATGGCAAAAACTGCAGTTACTTTTGCACCAACCTAATATTTACCTAAGGATTCTAGTGGCCTGGGGTCCCAGATGCCTTCAAGCAGTTCAGCAGTGCAACATATATGTTTCCCTTTCCTTCATGGCTAATCCAAACATTGTATCCTAACCCCAGCATCTCAAGCAGGGTGGATAGAAAAGGGCAGTCCTTTTTATTAGCAAAGATGAATCCTTCCAGAATCTTTTCAGAAGACTTTCCTTTCTATTGGCCCTACCAGAGTCACCCAGGTACACCTAGTAACAAAAGGGCTAGAGAAGTGGCTCTGTCCTTCATTCTGGGCTGGATGGAATGCCACGCGATGTTCTGCTGGTGTAGAAGAGAATGGGAGAAGTGGAGGAAGGGATCTCAGGAAGACAGCTGGGAGTGACTACCACGGTAGTTCTCTATCACGACACTAGTCCAGTAAATCCTGCTTTGCAGGAGGTAACACCAGTGAGCAGCTCGCCGCTGATGAGATTTATTCCCAAAATAACTTTCAAATCTGAAGAGGAATGGCTGCTCTGTATTTCATTTCAGCAAGTCTCCATGGATATTATTTTTCTTTCCACTGACTTTATTTATAACCTGAGCTGCAGGAAGCTGGAAGGAGAAGCTCCTTGACAATATCTGGAGCCTGGGCTTGCTATTTGACCAGTTAACCCTACGTTTTCTCCCTTGGCGAGGTTGGGGATGAGGAAACACCTTCTCTCCTAAAGATGGGCCTGATGAGGATGCATGGTTCCCAAGGTGTGTGGTGTTGGTCAGGGAGGAATAGCATGCTCTAGGTTTGGCAGGCCGACTCATTTGGCTTAGGCCCTCTGGCTAAGCCATACCGGAATGGGGCTCAGTGGTGAGTCAATCAATTGGGGAAGCATCTTATGTTTGGAGATAGCTTAACAGTAAGAAGTGAGCTAAGGGTGCTGTTATTGCAAGACCCCCATCTCTACAAAAAATAAAAAATAAATTAATGGGGCATTGTGGTGCCCAAATTCAGGAAGAATTTTTTTTAAAAAAACCTAAGGCCTGAGTCACATTTTTTAAAAATTGAAAAAGCTGTGGGGGATCCCAGTTCATGCTTCTCTCTTCTCAATCCAGGATGAGATGAGCAGCGCAGCATCTCAGTGAAGAGTGATGTCATGGACACAGTTGGGAGAGCCTTCCCTTGATTTGTTATTCTTGAGATAGGCTGAAGAAGGAACATGAGTATTCAGTCATTAGGGATGTGGATGGGTACACCATGCAGTTGCTCACCAGTCCCTGTGTGGGAGAGGCAAAAGATGCTACAGCTAAGAAGGATTTTGGTGATTGCTGAGATGCAAGGAACATTAGCCTAGCATATTGCTCATCTTTCCACACTAGCTGTCCCTCCATCTGCTTCTGAGGTAGGAGGTAGAACTTGACTCTGGACCGGATTGAAGACTGGTTGAAACAGGGAAGAGGCACTGAAAGCACTTCTCCATGAGACATGTCCATGAGTGCCGTGACAGTTTACCATTGCCATAGCAACACCAGGCAGTTACTGCCCCTGGCTGTGGCAACACCCTAAAGTTACCTCCTGTTTTCTAGAAATTTCTGAATAATCCATGCCTTAATTTGCATGGTATTAAAAAGTGGTTATAAGTATTACTGTAAAATTGCCTCTGAGCTGCACTTCTGGGCAAACTGCCTGGGGTTAGCCCTGCTCTGCAAGGAGCAGGACCTTCGTGCTACTGTGCACTGATGCCTCAATAAAAGTTGCAACACCACCAGCTCATCCTTGAATTTCTTCCTGGGCAAAGCCAACAACCCTCCCAGGCCAAGTCCCAACTTTGGGGCTCACCTGCCCTGCATTACTTCTACCAGCTCTTATCATCCTATTTACCTGCATCAAAACCTTAATGTTAACTCCTGCCGTGATGTCATCACTACTGAAAACTCTTGAAAATTGAGTACAATTATCTGTGATTGTGGATTAGTGTATTCTGAGTACCATAACAAAAGACTGTCTGGTTTAAACAACAGAAATTTTTCTCGCAGATCTGGAGACTGGAAATCCAAGATGAAGGTGCTGGCAGGGTTGGTTTCTCCTAAGGCCATGCTCCTGGGTTTGCAGGTAGTGACCTTCTCACTCCCTCTTCACACAGTCTTTGCTCTGTGTGCATATCTCCCTGGTGTCTCTTCCTCTTCTTAGGGTCCACTTAATGAGCCTCATTTTAACATAGTCACCTGTTTAAAGAGCTCATCTCCAATATGTTTACATTTTGAAGCACAGGGAGTTAGGAATTCAACATAGGTATTTTGATGGGACAAAATTCAGCCCATAACAGCTTGTAAGTGCTATTAAGAAGACTCAGGGCTAGCATTTTGGGAGGTTGAAGCAGGAGGATCAATTGAAGCCAGGAGTTCAAGGCCAGCCTGGGCAGCATAGCAAGACCCCATCACTAAAATAGTAAGAATATTAGCTGGGCATTGTGGTGTGTACCTGTAGTTCCAGCTACTTGGAAGGCTGAGGCAGGAGGATCACTTGAGCCCAGGAGTTTGAGGCTGTAGTGAGCTATGATTCTGCCACTGCACTCCAGTCTGGGGCAACAGAGCGAGACCCCGTATCTTTAAAAATATATATCCCATCCCAGAGTCCACCCTATAGAGAAACCCAAGTATTTTTCCACTTGTTGAACTAGGAACATCTGTGGATATTATGAACATAAATATTTTATTCTAAGCCTCTATTGACCTTTCAATTCTCTGAATCATTGCAAAAATTATTCTCAGCAGTCTTTATTTTTACCACCTCAGCAAAATGATTCTATCTCAGCTCCCTGTCTAGACTTTAAATTCCAGGAAGGCAAGGCTGCATCTTCATACCTTTTTCCTCCAGGTTTCTGAGTGTTGGCAATGACACTCTTTCGGTAAATGGAAATTTGAAAGAGCCAATGAAAAAGAATAATAGTTGAGGAGCAAAGGTTTCTCCTGCAGTGGGCCAACTGTCCGTAGCAACAAAGACACATGGGCAAACAAACAGTGCTTGCTTCTCTTTAGGAAAGAATAATTATTTACCGTGAAAGAAGCTCTGTGAAAAAAAATAACTTCAATGTGTGTCAGGTGAATATCCTGTAAAGGAGACTTTTTGACCTTAAAAAATGGTGAGCCATAGCTCAGTAAAAGCTCATTAGGGAAGAGAGGGAGCTAGTCTGGGGACAGAATGTGTATTGATTGACTCAGAGGTTCTCTGAGTTTCTCTCTATAAAGGCAATTTGCATAACAATGATTACATATTGGGTTTGAGGCAGTTACTGCTCACTGGAGTCCTTCCAGAGTAACTATTTCGGTGGTTGCAGAGCCCCCTCAGAAACCTGGCTTTAAAAGGAAATTAAATGTGAAGGGTTGAGTTGCTGCAGTTGTTAGCCTTGGGAAGGGATTAAAGGGGACGTTTTTGTCATGTGAGATGTCAGGAAAATTCATGAGGAGCTCACTAGGTTGTCTACTTGGAAAAAAACGAACTTCTTCCTAATGGATTTTGAAAAAGATTATTTAATTTGGGTTCACCATTAGCCATTCTGGGCAAGGGATGGAGGCGAATGTTACCCTTCATTCTTGTAGAGAACAGTGAATTGTTCTGTCTTTACAAAACCAAACGCAATTGAAATATTTTTTTATGTGTAATTTATTGCTCTGCAGACAATGGAGTGGAAAAGTTATAGTGGTTAATTACTCCCCAAAACCAGAATATTGAGTGTGTGTGTGAGTGTGTGTCTGTGTGTGTGTGTGTGTCCGTGTCCATGACACAAAACTGCTTCTAATTTATTAGGCAATAGTCATTGGATTAGGCAATGTAAGTATGACATTTGGAGAACAGTGCAGCCCCCCAAAAAAGTAGAATGAACTTTTAGATAAATGAGAGAGAAAGAGAGGGTGTTAGAACTGGATAATGACTCAACAGAGCAAGAGGTCAAGGCCTTTCAGTGCTAGTCAAAGGACCCAAAAAGGCCACTCCAAGCGTGATGGTCATATAACTTGAAGTGGAAACCAGAAAGTCTGGAAAGAAGGACAAAGAGCCCTTCCGATATTTTTGCTCCATGTTCTATTTTTGTTTTGTTTTTTTCTTTTCCATTGTTTTGTTGAGATTAATTTACATCCCATGAAATTCACTCTACTTTGGGAGGCCACAGGAGAAGGATCACTTGAAGCCAGGAGTTTGCAACCAGCCTGGGCAACATAGTGAGACCCCTATCTCTACAAGAAATTAAAAACAAATATTAGCGTGGTGTGGTGGTACATGCCTGTAGTCCCATTACTCTGGAGGCTGAGGTGGGAGGATCGCTTGAGCCCAGGAGTTAAGGACTGCACTGAGCCATGATTGCACAGACACTGCACTCCAGCATTCATTGAGAGCAACAGAGTGATGAGACCCTGTCTGCAACAAAAACAACATCAAAATTCACCTTAAAAAAGTCTACAGTTCACCACTGTCTAATTCTGGAATATTTTTATCACTCTGAAAACAAACATTGTACCCATTGGCAGTCACTCCTCAATCCACCCCTGACTTTGGCAATCACTAATCTATTATTTGTCTCTGGAGTTACCTATTCTGGACACTTCATATATATGGAAGCATACATCTATTTGTTTTTTTGTCGGCCTTTATTCACTTAGCAAAACGACTTCACAGTTTATCCATGTTGTAGCATCTATCGGTACTTCCTTTCTTTTTATAGTCAAATCATATTCCATTGTATGGATACACCACATTTTGTTTATCTATCCAACAGCTGATGGACGTGTGGGTTGTTTTGACTTTTTGGCTGTGATGGATAAGGCTGCTGTGAATCACTTGTGTACAGGTTTTTGTGTGGACATGTTTTCATTGCTGTTGGGTACATACCTAGGAGCGGAATTGTTGGATCATATGGTAATTCCATGTTTCACCTTTGGAGGAAGTACCAGACTGTTTTCTGAAACAGCTGCACCATTTTACATTCCCATCAACAATGTACAAGAGAGCACTTAAAATTGGATCCCCTACCATTTGCCAAGTACCATGCTGTCCTCTTGGTGTGCCTTCCATTATATGGGCTTGTGTTCATTATTCCTCCTTTATAGGATAAGAAATGGAGACTCTGAGAGTTTAACATATATGGGAAGAGAGAAAAAACATGCAATCACTGAGGTTAAGGCTATATGATCAAGTGTGAGACTGGAACCCTGAGGTTCTTCCGCAAGAGTTGGTGGGGAAAATGTTGAGTGCGGCCTCAAGGGCAGGTGCAGAGTGCTGTGAAACATAGAGTCTGTGTTCTTCATAGACTGTTTCCACAGACTCTGACCATCAAGGGCACTTTCTCAGAGGTGGAGGATAACTGGGACATGGAAGGGTGTGTGTCCATGTCCATCACCCTTGAGTGAAATATCCCAACTGTTTTGTTCACCTGCACGTACCTGCAGCCTCCAGATTGAGCTGGGTAGGTCTGTCAACTACGGTGAGAGGGCCATATGATTCTCCTTGGAATGTGAACACAGGGAAACCAACTTATGTAAGGTAATGCAACAAGCAAGCATTGGGCAGAGAGATTGTGTCCAGTGCAACAGCTGGGGCCTCTGCAGGGCCACCAGACTTCCCTCTGTGCTTGCAACTGGAAATGGAGCAGGAGCAAAGGGAGGAAGGCAGGAGCCTCGCAGGCCGCCTGGGGTCCTGATCTGTGGGTCTGATCAGGATCCTGATCTGTGGGTCTGATCAGGATCCTGATCTGTGGGTCTGATCAGGATCCTGATCTGTGGATCTGTGGATCTGATCAGAGGGAGAATGGAACAGGGTGGGCTGGGTCTTGGCTCTGGTCACTCAAGCTGAACAAGGTGGGGTGCGACTGGGAAGTCCTCAAGACCATCTGTACATAGTATCTTCTCACGCCTGCCTCAGATCATTAACCAGCATAGTATTGATCCATAATTTGGTTGTGTTGCTTCTCAATTATTTGTTGGTCTTGCAATTTCTGATTTTGGCTTTGATTATTGTGAGGTTTGCAGCAGAGAAGGATATAAACAAATAGATCCCAAAGTAAAGGGCTCCTCCAGGACTTCTAAATAAGCACCATGTAGCTTGGGCAGCTCCAGCTGACCTGCTGGAGGGAGGAAAGGCTGATGGTACCACCCATACCCGCATACCTAGGGAGGCCTGCTTACTTCACACCTGAAGGGCTTGGCTTTGGCCTGGGCTAAGAGGTGCACACCTGGGAGAGTGACCCTGATACCAGAAAGAAGAGTGATACAGGGATTGTTTCCACGTCCATTCCCTGAAGCTCCTTAGAGATGGAAACTGGCATTTCAATGTTGGGGCCTCTTAGGATGTACATGTTCTGTAGGTCATGAAACCCCTAAAGGGTTCCAGAGCTTTTCCCACCAAAAACAATACATTCAGGATGTTTTTCAAAGACTTTCCACAAACTCTGGCCATTGAGGTTATTTTTTTCAGAGGTGGAGGATAACTGGGGCATGGAAGGTGTGTGTTCACATCCATCTCCCTTGAGTGAAATATCCCAACTGTTTGTCTTGTTCACCTGCACACACCTGCGGCCTCCGGCTTGAGCTGGGCAAGTCTGTTAACCATGATGAGAGACAGGGCCGTATGTTTCTTTATGGAATATTTACCCCCAACGTGCCTGCTGTTTCTTTTTCTCATCTGGGAACTCTAGCAAGGGAAGGAGCTGAAGTCACCTGGAACAGCTAGAGGCAGACCAGGTGAGTGATGGAATAGTGAAGATTGAGGAATCTGCCTGGTCAGATGATGCCTCGTGCTCTGAGAATCACCGTGACACTGAGCTCTTAGGAAATCAGCTTTGTTGGCATGTTCACAGGCAGAATTAGGACCAATATCTAGAAGGTATAAGATGTTGCAGACGTTGATTCTACTTAAAGAGCAATGCCTGATTAGAAACTCAAAGGCTGGGCGTGGTGGCTCTTGCCTGTAATCCCAGCACTTTGGGAGGCCAAGGTGGAAGGATCGTTTGAGGCTGGGACCCAGATAGAACAGCATAAAGATGCTAGCTTAGGATGTGAGCCCAATGGGGCAGGCTGCTCTGGGGGGATCATGGCTGAGTGTGGACCTCTGCAGGTGTTTATTCTAAAGCTGGATTCTGAACTGGCCACAACGTGGAGGGCTGGAGTGGCCTTGGATGATCCTGACAGTCTGGGTTTCTGTGTATTTGGTCATTTCTTATTTATTCAGGGAGTTATTTTTGGTCTGTTGAATTTATCAATTCTCCAAGACGTTGGATTTTACCACTTGTACATCTGGCGGATACACCCTAAGCTAGTGTCTTTATATTACTATATCTGGGTCTGTTTAGATAAAGAAGAATTTGGCTTCTTCCTTTCTTTTTTCTGGTTTCTGTGATGCTGTAGTGCTTTGAGTTTTTATTATTCATAATTTTTGGGGTGGGAGAGGGGGACAGGTTCTCACCCTGTGGCCCAGGCTGGAGTGCAATGGTGTGATTGCAGCTCACTGAAGCGTTGATCTCCTGGGCTCAAGTGATCCTCCTACCTCAGCCTCCCGAATAGCTGGGACCACGCCCGACTAGTTTTTTGTATTCTTTGTTGAGATGGTGTCTCAACATGTTGCCAGACTGGTCTCAAACTCCTGGCCTCAAGTGATCTTCCCACCTTGGCCTCCCAAGTACTGGGATTATAGGCATAAGCCACTGTTCCCAGCCTTTGAGTTTTCAATCAGGCAGTGGGACCTCACATTTTTTCATCTGCATGGGTCACAGGGAATCACAGAACTTAGATAATGCAGGCTTTGGAAATCTGCTGATGTTGGAGACACAGTCATGTCATTCCACATTCTTGCTTATAGCCTCATCTGTCACCAGAAAGAAGAGCAGCTGAGGCATTCTTCCTACGACCATTCCCTGAAGCTCTTTTTTTTTTGTGTGTGTGTGGGGGGTGGGATATAGTCTTGCTTTGTCACCAGGCTGGAGTGCAGTGGTGCAATCTCGGCTCACTGCCACCACTGCCTCCTGGGTTCAAGCGACTCTCCTGCCTCAGCCTCCCGAGTAGCTGGGACTACAGGCATGCACCACCACGCCCAGCTAAGTTTTTTTTTCTTTTGTATTTTTAGTAGAGACAGGGTTTCACCATGTTGGCCAGGATGGTCTCAATCTCTTGACCTTGTGATCCACCCACCTCAGCCTCCCAAAGTGCTGGAATTACAGATGTGAGCCACCTCTTGCGGCCCCCTGCAGCTCTTTGGAGATGGAAACTGGCATTTCAACCTTAGGACCTCTTAGGATGCAGGATGCACATGTTCTGTAATTCATGAAACCCCTAAAGGCTTCCAGATCTTCTCCTCCCAAGAACAATAAATTCAGTACGGAGTTGCAGAGAGGAGCATAGAATCCAAGCGCTCCAGCGGTCTTAGACCTTCTTGAATCCACATCCCCATTGTACGCATGTGAGTTTCTTGTGGAAGGGATCTGTCCAAGGTCATTGGGCTGACCAGGGCTGACCAGGGTGAAGTAGGCCCAGGGATCTAGGTTTCTGGGTTCCTTGGTGTTATCCTAATGTCTGAACCACATCCTCAGCTTGCTGAGCTATTTTTGTTTATCTTTCTTTCTTTCTTTCTTTCTTTCTTTTTTTTGTTCTGTCATGGTAATTGTTTTTCTAGCATGATCACTAGAATAGCAGTAGTTCCACATTTATCTGCCCTCTTACAGCAGACTTTTTGGAAAAATTGCCTCTTTCTGCTGCCTTCTGTTCTTTGCCTCTTGTTCTCTCTTGAATCTACCCAGGTTTTGGTTTTCTGAAATTGGTGCTGTGAACATCACCAATGCATTGGCTTTACCAAATGCAAAGGTCCATTCTTGGAATCTACCATTTCCAGGGTTTCCTTC
Organism: Homo sapiens; assembly: GCF_000001405.40. NCBI lineage: Eukaryota > Metazoa > Chordata > Mammalia > Primates > Hominidae > Homo > Homo sapiens. Next base: position 71,319,384 of record NC_000007.14, read on the forward strand.
TACGTTCTTCTGTTTTCTTTGCTTGGCCTTTCTTTTTCTGATTCTATCAGTTGGTGTGTCCAGGGCTCAGTATTCAAACCCCTTTCTCTTTGTGTGTTTCTACTGCCCAGGTCTTCTCCTCAAGGAACTTGTCTTTAAACTCCATTTAGACTGTGGTGAATCCCAATTTTCTATCTCCAATTCTGACTTCTTTCCTGAACTCCCATGTACTTGACAGCTTCATTTGGATGTCTACTAGGCACCTCCAATGTTGTATGTCCCAACCAAACTCTTGATTCCATGTTACATCCCTTCATAACCCAAGTCCCTTTTCTCCCCCTTCTCCATCTCAATCAATAACACCAACATTCAACATCCTTTGTTGCTCAAGCCGTACATGTATAAGTGAGTTGTTCTTGAATCATTTCTTACTCTCACATATCTTTGGGTAAGCTGAGGTTTGGCTGATCTGGGTTTTCAGCTGGGCTTGGTTCTAAGCCACAGATTGGATCTTACTGTTTCATGTGTCTCATGCTTCTTGGATCAGTGGGCATCCCAAAGCATGTTGTCATGGTGATGTCAGGATGAAGAGGCTAGAAGCAGCAATGCAAGCTCATTTCAAGTCTCTGCTCATGACACATCCCTAGTATTTTGTTGGCTAAAGCAAGTCTCGTGGCCAAGCTCAAAGGCTGTGGGTGGGGAAGTACACTCAGCTCAGCAAATGATCAAGTCCAACATTAGTGGCGTGAAGATGTTTTTGTTGAGCAGATACATACTCTCTGCCCTCTTCACATGCATACTCTTCCCCTGAATTGTGTGCATGAGAAGAGGGCAGTCTGCATTTGCTGAACAAAAATGTAATGTGCCACCTCAGATAATTTTTTTTTAAATTGAGATAGTGTCTTGCTCCATCACCCAGGCTAGAGTGCAGTGGCACAATCACAGTTCACTTCAACCTCGACCTCTTGGGCTCAAGCAATCCTCCTCCCTCAGCCTCCCAAGTAGGTGGGACTACAGGTGCATGTTGCTGTGCCCAGCTAATTTTGAAAAAAAAAAAAAAATTTTTTTTTTAGAGATGGAGTCTTGCTATGTTGCCCAGGCTGGTCTTGAACTCCTAGGCTCAGGCAGTCCTCCTGCCTTGACCTCCCAAAGCACTGGGATTACAGATGTGAGCCACCATGCCTGGCATCAGATAAGTTCTTAAAGGAAGAAATCTACATCTAAGTAAATGGGATCTTGCCAAGAGGGTCTTTTTATGAAGAATTGGATGTGTATTTAAAATTGATAGTGCTTCTGAATACCTCTTTAGAACAGATGCTTTATTGTTTCAGATTCTATAAATTAATTAGAGATGATGGTGGTGGTGGTGGGATGTGTGATACTGATGATTTTGAAGAGGGGAGGAAGGTAGCAACATTTTATTAGGGTGATCCGTTTTTGTTCTGCCTTACTCTTCCTTATCCTTCTGATTTCATAATTTACCTTCTATGATATGACCAGAATTGTTGTCACTCAAAATCTCTAATCACTGGGGATGTACCCACGTGATAGCAGAAATTTACATGCTTTTGGGAGAATTGGTGAAGGTTCGTGTCCCACTCTGTCCCTCCTCTTTAGCCCCTCCGATTAGGAATAAAAATGCTAGAAGGAGTGCTTGGAGCATAGTGGAGGAGAGAGAATTTTCTCCAAAAGTTGTTGAGACTGAGAGGGGCTGAGCAAATGCAGCATGTGACCTGGTGTACAGTGTCAAGCACACATTTGATGCTGACAAATTTCTTAGGTCTTGGCAGGGAGAGTGCTTATTCAATTCAGCATATTTCTTACCTGCTCCTAGATCAGCCTTTTTCCCCCTTGTGCAGCTTTATAAATGCTAGGAGGCTAAGTAACACAATTAACCTTTCATCCATCTGCTCTGAGAAAATTCTGAAGGTTCCCAAACTCTTCTTTATTTGGTTAGAAATATTCTTTGCACAGACACTCTTGGGCATATCAGCAGCCAGAGACTGTCCAAGACAGACATACGTGTTTATCTTCTCCTCACACAGGGGGATATTTGTGGCAATGTTTGTTCGGTGCTGAGAGTGAGGTTCGGGCCTTTGAGATCCTCGCCATCACAGTGGCATGAAATCTGAGAGAGCATTGCCTTAAGGCATGCCTGGTGGCCTGAAATACAGAGACCCTGTTCTAGATCTAACACTTCAGAACATTCTTCATTGTCTTCGTGCTTCAATTTTCTCCCCTCCCTCCCTCCCTCCCTTTTTTTGAGACTGAGTCTTGCTCTGTCACGCAGGCTGGAGTGCAGTGGTGCAATCTCAGCTCACTGCAACCTCCGCCTCCCAGGCTCAAGCAGTTCTCTTGCCTCAGCCTCTATATTGGCTAGGCTGGTCTTGAACTCCTGACCTCAAGTGATCTGCCCACCTTGGCCCCCCAAAATGCTCAGATTACAGGCACGAGCCACCACACCCAGCTCCCTCCCTCCTTCCTTCCTTTCCTTCCTTCCTTCCTTTCCTTCCTTCCTTCCTTCCTTCCTTCCTTCCTTCCTTCCTTCCTTCCTTCCTTCCCCTCCCTCCCTCCCTCCCTCCCTTCCTTCCTTCCTTCCTTTTTTTTGAGACAGAGTTTTGCTCTGACACCCAGGCTGGAGTACAGTGGCACAATCATGGCTCACTGCAGCCTCAACCTCCTGAGCTTAAGCAGCTCTCTCACATCAGTCTTCTAAGCAGCTGGGACTACAGGTGTGTGCCATCATGCCTGGCTAATTTTCTTTCATTTTTTTGTAGAGACAGGTCTCATTATGTTGCCCAGGCTGGTCTCTAACTTCTAGCCTCAAGCAGTCCTCCTGCCTCAGCCTCCCAAAGTGCTGGGATTACAGGTGTGAACCATCATGCCTGGCCTCAATTTTCTTATCTGCTGACTGTGGATAAAGCTATTCGGAGGATCAAATTAAATAACCTTTGTAGAGCAATTCCAGGAAGTATAAAGTTCATAATACATGTAAGACATGTCATTTTGAATAAAACCGCAGTTTGAAAATTTATGGAACGTTTGCTCCAAAGGCACTTCAAGCGTCTAACAATGATTCATATCTCTTGGAACTACAAATGCTACATGAGCAGTTCAGTTAATGGGCGAAAATGTACCTCCAGTATTCGTGGCTCTGAGGGAAGCACAAATCTAGAGACCTCTTAGTCCTTGTTTTGTCTTCTAGGACAGAATTTAACAGTGGATCACCATGTGTTATAAACCAAGTTTTGTCCCCCGCTGAAATTCATATTTTGAAGCCCCAAGCCTCATTGTGATGCTATTTGGAGATGAGGCCTTTCGGAGGTAATCAGGTTTATTTGAGGTAATGAAGGTGAAACTCTTATAATGGGATCAGGGTCCTTATAGGAGAGGAAGAGACACAAGCTCTCCCTCTCTCTGTCATGTGAGGATATAGCAAGAATGAGGCCATCTGCAAGCCAGGAAGAGAGCCCTCACCAAGAACCAAATCTGCGTTTACCTTAATCTTGGACTTCCCAGCCTCTAGAACTATGAGACATAAAGGTCTGTTGTTTAAGCCTCTCCATCTATGGCATTTTGATATAGCACCCCTAGCTGGCTGAGATACTGTGGAAAGTATGAAAACATGGTCATATTAAGATGGCTGAAGGAGTGGGTGTGTTTAGCCTGGAAAAAAAAAGAAGATAAAAGGACGGTTAATGATATGTCTTGATAATGTCTTGTAATATTTGAAAATTACATGATAATGATATGTCTTGATAATGTCTTGTAATATTTGAAAATTACATGAAAGTGTAATCTGCATGATTGATGTAGAAGAAAAAAATAAGATCATTGGGTAGAAGAAACAAAGGTACCCATTTTTGAAATTTTATTTATTTGAACTATAAACCAGGAATGCAGTGTACCACAAGGTGGTGGACTCTTTGTCCCTGGGAGAATACAGTATAAGCTGGGTCGCCATCACTCTGGAATTTCTGCACCAAATGGGGTTGTGGGGCTAGCTGACCTCTCCTTTCTTCCAACCCAAGATTCTAAGTTGGACTGCAGGTGTACTAATTGTCCTAATACTTAGGGAACATTTTACTCCATTCTCTTCCACCAAGCAGCAGCTGATACAATTGAACTCTTAAAATTTCATTCAAGATATTAATAACCTTTGGACATCATGTCAGGGAAGCACTGAAAATGCAGGAGGGAAAATGTCAAAATCATCATCATAATTCAGTTGTCAACAAATATCAAGATCATCGTACTGATATATGAACTAGGGAATCAATGATGATTTGACATGAGTTAATGAAACGGCGCTTACCCATTTCTGACATGTCACCAGGAGATTTCTGTATGCACAGTAGAATATGATGCTAAATTTGGCCAGTGCAGTTTATAATGCACTCATTCATTCATTGACTCACTTTGGTCATTCAGCCGTCCAATCGTATCTATGATATTTACGAGGTGTTTGCTATGTGCAAGACACAAAGATGCCTTCCTGTTCACAAGAGACCAGTGCTCACGCAAGTGAGCAGTCAAGGGCACATAGACTATGATATCAGAAATGTTGTGGTTGAGATTTTCACCAGCCTCTGACTTTCTGGGTTGGATAGTGTCCAGAAAGGATTTCCGGGGCTCTGTTGAGTAGCAGGGAAGACTGGCAGTGGTCCTGAAGGGCAGCAGCTTTTTAGAACCATCAGAGGAAGGTTTGGGTACCTTAAACAAAGGAAACAGCAGAGGACGAGGCTGGGCAAGGACTCCACTAATAAGCAGCTTTGCATATTACGTGAAAACTTTGGGATTATTTTCCATAGGCAGCAGGAAGGCACTAATGAATTTCAAGCAAGCAGTGTTCAGATTTGCATGTTGGAAAGCTCACTCCGAAGATGGTGTTAGGAGTTGCCTGCAATAACTCAAGTAAGCGGTGGCTTGAGCTTGCATCTGGGTGGTGGCAGAAGAGATGGAGAGGTGAGAATAGGGTCAGGAGATATTCAGAGTTCACACCAAGAGGCCCAGCACAGTGGCTCACACCTGTAATCCTAACACTTTGGGAGGCTGAGGTGGGCAGATCACCTGAGCTCAGGAGTTCAACACTAGCCTGAGCAACATGTCTTAACTTGGTCTCTACTAAAAACACACACACACAAAATAAGCTGGGCATGGTGGCATATGCCTGTAATCCCAGCTACTTGGGAGGTTGAGGCAGGAGAATCGTTTGAACCCAGGAGGTGGAGATTGCAGTGAACCGATATCATGCCACTGCACTGCAGCCTGGGTGACAGAGTGAGACCTTGTCTCAAAAAAAGGAGTTAGCACCAAGAGTCATTTGAGTAACAATTTAAAAAATATTATATTTATTAATTTAATGTATATATGAATTTAAAAATATATGCGTGCGTGTATATATATATACACATACGCATGTGAATTTAAAAATATACATATAGCACACATATTTAGCATAAATTTTGTGTACATGTAATAATTGAAGTGCTTATTATAGTGCTTTGTGTCTAATAGACATTTGTCATTTGAACTAATTATCACTAATAATTGTATCCAAAATGGGGCTATCTTTTCTTTTGGCAATATTTCCTGACAAGCTCTTGTGTTCCATTGATCTTGCCTATCCTTTCCTAGTCCATTATTTCACCTTCTTAATTATTGGAGTTTTTCAGTGTGTGTTAATAGCTGGAAGGATAAACTGTATTTTTCAGATACTTACCTTTATTACCATACTGGATTCTAAGAGGTGGCTCCTCAAACCCCCAGGAGTACATTGAAATTGGCCAGGAGTAAACCTGGAATGTTGCTCACTGTTAAGCTTATGGCTGCAATGGCTGCAATTTGTGCATTGTCTATAAGTTTTATTGACTTCCAGATGATCTAGCATAAGGTAGGATCTCCCTGAGACGCGGACCGGCAGGAGGGCTCTGGCCTCTCTGCAGAAACTTCCAAACAAATGCCTGCCCAGTGGAAGACGGGCTGCATGACATGCTGGCTCTTTGGCTTAGAGAGAGAGAGATTTACTGCATGCTGGGCTGGGGCTGCTGAGATGATGAGGAGCTTTATGAGTTGACAAGGCACCAGATTGCATTTTGCTGTGGTCACCATCTATCCTGGAGTTTGTGCCTCCATCGTGTGTACCATCTCTATTTCTAAAAGAATAATGCTGGTTATCTGTAAACCCATAAGTTTCCGCTGTAACCCTGGAGAAAATCATGTCCTCATTTGTATGAAGGAAGGTGGGAAGGCAGCTCAGAGTCAATTTACAACCTTGACTCTTTTGTTTTGCCACCACCATCGAGCCTTCATAGCTTGGGCTGAACTTAACCACAGACATCGGCAGAGTGATGTGCTCTTGCTGAGCGGTGATCAACCGTGTGGCCCTCAGAGGATTTCTGGGTTCTGTGTGAGATGGAGCTGCTCCATCATTCACACAAGATGTCGTGCAAAAATGAGTCGTTGGCTTGCCTGCACTAGAAGGGAATTTCTAAAATTTCAAAAGTGGAGGTTATTTTTATTTATGTTTCAAAAACTGGATGACTACCTGAGAAAACATATATTTTACAGCCTCACCTGCCAACGTATATTTAAAATTTCCTCCCAGTCTTCATACCACTTTAGTGATTATTGCTTTATTTTCTAGCTTAATATCAGAGAAGGCTACCCCTTTTCTGTCTTTTGTTTTTTTAAAACAATTCTAAATTTTCTAACGTCTGTGTTCTTCTAGGTTAATTTTAGAACGTTTTATTGTGTTGCAGAAAAAAAAATCCCCTTTGAAATTATGTGAAACCTATGTATTAAAAAGGCAGTGGATGGGTACAGTGGCTCATGCCTGTAATCCCAGTACTTTGGGAAGCTGAGGCGGGGGGATCGCTTGAGTCCAGGAGTTTGGGACCTGCTTGGGCAACATAGGGAGACCTCATCTCTACAAAAGTTAAGAAAATTAGCCATGCAGGATGGTGCATGACTGTATTCCTAGCTTCGCAGGAGGCTGAAAAAAGGAAGATCCCTCGAGCCCAGTAGCTCAAGGCTGCAGTGAGGTAAGATCACCCCCACTACACTCCAGCCTGGGTGACAGAGTGAGACCCCAACTCGAAAGAAAGAAAGCAAGAAAGAGAGAGAGAGAGGATCTCCTAACAATCTCCCAACATTCCAACTTCCAACTCAAAGACGTGTTCTTCTCTGCCACTTATATATGTCTTATTTTATTGCATTTAGTAAAATTTTCAAATATTCTTCTTACTGGTTAAAGTTATTCCTAGGTATACTGTAATATTTGTTACTTTTAGAAATAGATTTACTTACATTGTATATTCTAGTTGGTTTTTGCTGAATTAAAAAACACTATTAATATGAGATGTCTACTTGCCCCAGCCTGGGCATCCTTTTCTAGTGACAGCTGTATCTCGTGACTCATTTCCTTATCACCCTAGAAACACTTACTTCACTGACACTGTCTCAGAGGTCACCAGTGCCTTTCATTGCCACACCAAAGGGCTCTTTTCAGGCTTAATTCTCTGTGACATTCATCAGTAGAGATTCTCTTCTTTGTGACCATAAATATACTACAATATTTAATATATTCAACACCTCTTTTCCTATTAGATGCTTTCCTTATGGATATTTAATTTGCTTTCTTAAAGTGAAATACTCAGTTTGTAATAGATGGCCTGAAGCTGGTTCTCCAGATCTAATCTCTATTCATCCATCTACCTAACAGTTTTTAAGAACTCTTTGTGTGTCAGGCACTGGAGGTGACCACATGTATGCCATTAAGGAGAGCACCTAAACATGGGACCACAGGAGAAGTCTTCCAGTTGTGATTGGTAGTACATCAGTCCCTTTTCACGCTGCTGATAAAGACATACCCAAGACTGGGTAATTTATAAAGAAAAAGAGGTATAATGGACTCACAGTTTCACATGGTTGGGGAAGCCTCACAATCATGGTGGAAGGGGAAAGGCATGTCTTACATGGCAGCAGACAAGAGAGAATGAGAGCCAATTGAAAGGGGAACCCCTTACAAAACCATCAGCTCTCATGAGGCTTATTTACTACCACGAGAACAGTATGGGGAAAACTGCCCCCGTGATTCAGTTATCTCCCACTGGGTCCCTCCCACAACATGTGGGAATTATGGGAGCTACAATTAAAAATGAGATTTGGGTGAGGACATAGCCAAACCATATCAGGTAGGATGCTGTATCTGTGAGGATACAGATACAGCATCAAGACTTTCCTTTCTGGCAGGAGACAGGTAGCACACTCAGAAGGGGCAATTAAAGAGAGGTTACCAAAATATTTACAAAGATTGTGAAGGGTTAAGGGAAACCAATAAGGAATGACAAGGGTTAGTGAATGACCCCAGGGCTAGCAACAGAGAGGGAAGAAATTGCCACCCTAAGGTCTGCAGAGGCAAGAGGAGGGAGTGGTTAACAGAATGCAAGGATAGCTGTAAACCTAAGAGAGGCATGCCTGATAACAACTGGATTATAGAAGATTTAGTACCTTCTACTAAACCCCAGCCCAGTAGGGAAAGAGATGGGAGAATAAGTACACCTCTCTCTCTTTCCATCCATCTGTCAAGAAGTGTCCTTATGTTGCCTCCTATTGGTTCATCTCAACCCAAAGCCAGGGGGGCAGGTGAACCTATAGCTGTCCCTATAGGTCTTTCTCCTAGAGTATGCAACTGGGAGAAAAAGGATGGAGAATAGATCTGGAGTGAAGCATGAAGGATATTTGATATGGTTGCAGTAGGATGACTGACCTTAATCTGTCCTTCCTCTCTTTATCTTCGAGTTCTTACCTAATAGTGCCACTTGGCTTTAACTGTCGTCAGCTGTTAGGTGCAAAAGTTATTGCTGTCTTTGCCATTACTTTTAGTGGCAAAAACGACAATTAGTTTTGCACCAACTTAATAAAATAACTCAGGCGGAAAAGAAGGGAACAATGAATTCTCGCAGGCCTGGTGCCAAGAAGCCACCCCATTCTCTTCCTGCTTTCTCTCTTTGCTGCTGCTTCTCCCCCTTTGACTTTGTGACTACTCTGCCTACAAGTTCAGTTTCATTCCTCAAAGATTGCGGCTGCCTCTGACGACTGAGCAAGGGGCACTTGCAGAAAAGAAGGTTTCTTGGGTACACGAAATCATCCCAACTTGCTCCAACGGCAACCTTTCCTGGCTAAGTTAAGACCAACTTGAGTTCGGCTGGTGGACTTGAACTCTTATTTATCTTTGCCAACAGTTTCTGGGGCCTGCAAAATAAGCACGTTAAAATACCAGTGATTTTTTTTTTTTTTTTTGCTGCTTTGTTGAACCTTTGTGGCAGATTAAGTGGGGGTGAAAATGGAAGCACATGGACCAAAAAATATGTAATTCACAGGTGTCACATCGCACTGTGAGGAATGATCTTTTTGGAGGCTGTTAAGTGAATGCCTTTCATAATGGAAGCAATAATGCCACATAAGGAGAAAAAAATCTCATTGGGACCATCATTCCCTGTGTCTCCTTGGTGGGATATGCATGCATGCTTAGTCTTAATTTCTATACTGTTTTATAAAAAAAATTCTCCTTCTGGCCCCTCTGACTGCATTGGAAAGGCTGCCCAGGGGGTTGTGCTAGGCAAACACATCTGAAATGCATTTTAGCTCTAAGGTGGAATTTAATGACTTGGGATTGGAAGCTCTCTATTTAGATGGAACAAAAGATATGCTGTATCGTCAAGTGAAGAAAAAGACAAGCCAACCCAACCACACAGATTAAGTTAGAGGAAGAATCAGAGGTTTTTCTGTGGAAGCTGCCCAGTTAAGTCAAAGGTCAGGAATTCTGTCCCATTCTGATAGTGTCTCTTGCCTTGACCCTTGGGAGTGTGTGGCTTGTGAGGGGAAGTTAGCAAGTACTGGGGAAGGGAAAGGGAAAATCCAGGGCGAATGAGTAAGAGCACACAGAATAAAGAGGAAAAAAGCATGCTTGGTAGTCTTTTAGCTGTCTTTTTCATCATGCAGTATTGGACACATTATATGTATGACCTATATATGTCAGGCTGTAATCGTACACTGAGGAACAGCTGTGCCCATCTCGCAGCTTTACAGTGGAGCGTGTCTGTATTAGTCCGTTCTCCTACTGCTATTAAAAACTACCCGAGACTGTGTAATTTATGACGAAAAGAGGTTTAATTCCCTCACTTCCGCAGGCTGTACAGGAAGCATGGTTTGGAGGCCTCAGGAAACTTAGAATCATGGCAGAAGGCGAAAGGGAAGCAGGCACAATCTTCACATGGACAGAGCCAGGAGAGAGAGAGAGAGAGAAGGGGGAAGTGCTACACACTTTTAAACAACCAGGTCTCATGAGAACTCACTCTATCACAAGAACAGCAAGAGGGAAATTCGACCCCATGATGTAGTCACCTCCCATCAGGTCCCTACCCCAACACTGGGGATTATAATTCAATATGAGATTTGGGTAAGGAGACAGAGCCAAGCCATATCAATGGCCATATACCTTGGAGGTCCTTTGGGTGTCCTCCAAGAATATATATATGTATATATATATGTATGTGTGTGTGTGTGTATATATATACACACATATGTGTGTGTGTATATATATACGTATATGTGTGTGTGTATATATATACATATATGTGTGTATATATACATGTATATATATTTGAGATAGAGTCTTGCTCTGTTGCCCAGGCTGGAGTGCAGTGGTGTGGTCTGAGCTCACTGCAGCCTCCATCTCCCAGGTTCAAATGATTCTCCTGCCTCAACCTCACAAGTAGCTGGGACTACAGGTGCACACCACCACACCCGGTTAATTTTTGTATTTTTAGTAGAGACAAGGTTTCACCATGTTGACCAGGCTGGTCTTGAACTCCTGACTTCAAGTGATCCGCCCGCCTTGGCCTCCCAAAGTGCTGGGATTACAGGCATGAGCCACCGTGCCCGGCTGGACAAGTGGGATTTCTGAAGTCAAACAGGAAACTTGAACACTTAGTTATTTTTTTTCCAGAGATAAGGTCTTCTTATTTTTTATTTTATTTATTTATTTTCAAAGACAGGGTCTCACTCTGTCATCCAGGCTGGAGTGCAGTGGTGTAATCATAGCTCATTGCAGGCTTGAACTCCTGAGCTCAAGCAATCCTACCTCCTCAGCCTCTCAAGGAGCTGGGACTATAGGCACAGGCCACCACACTGGCTAATTTGTTTATTTTTTGTAGAGATGGTGTGGGGTCTCATTATGATGCCCAGGCTCCTCTCCAACTCCTGGGCTCAAGCAGTTCCTCTGCCTCGGCCTCCCAAAGCACTGGGATTACAGGCATGAGCCTCTGCACTTGGCCTGCTTGCTTCTTATTAAGACATTTCTCTCTTCCTTAAGTCTCAGTCTCTTGAAGTCTTGGGGTTCAAATATAGCATAACTGAGAGGCCGTGCATATAGAGCAGAAAAGAAAAAAGTTTCGCCGGATGCAATTCCTCCTGTTTGGTGGAAATAGACAAGGGATAGGGTAGTCAGTGAGCACTTGCTGAACATTGCCTATCCTTCCCCTTCTTGCTCCTGGGCTCTCCTCTCTGCACCCTCTGCCACGGCTCTAGCCTGCTTGTCCTGATGGCAGTGAGGTTTGTATCTCAGGCCACCTCTGCTGTCTGAACCTCCATTCTCATGTGCTTCAATTTTCCACTGGACTCTGACGCCATCTGGATGTCCCACGGATGCCTCGTGTACCACATGTGAAGAATGGAACTCATTGTCTTCTCACACTCTCTTCTGTATGCCCTGTCTTTTTGGGCAGTGTTATCACTCACCTGGAAACTCAGTTTTGCTCAGTTCCTCCTTCTCTTTCAGCCTTATCTCTTGTTTATCTCCTACCCTGGGATGGTATCTCTTAAACAACCCTCAAATCTCTCCATTCCTTTTGATCACTGACCGCTGCCTTAAAATAAGCTTCCTGCCATCTCTCGCACAGGCTGCTGCAAGAATTCTGCAACAGGTCTCATAATCTGCCTCAGAGCCCGGCCTTTATCCTCCTTTAATTGCCATGGAACCTTTAAAAAGTTCCTATATTTGGCCAGGTGTGGTGGCTCACGCCTGTAATCCCAGCATTTTGGGAGGCCAAGGTGGGAGAATCATTTGAGGCCAGGAGTCTGAGACCAGCCTGGGGCACCATAGCAAGACCCCATCTATACAAAATTGTTTTAAAAAATTAGCTAGGTTAGTGTCACGCACCTGTAATTTCAGGTACTTGGGAGGCCGAGGCAGGAGGATTGCTTGAGCCCGGGAGTTCAAAGCTGCAGTGAATGCGCTGTGATTATACCACTGCACTCCAGCCTGGGTGACAGAGTGAGACCATCCCTTAAAAAAAAAGTTCCTACGTTCCTACATTCTCAGACCCAGTGTCCTCGTTTGTGAAACAGAGATTGTAATAATACCTTCCCCCTGAGCTTGTCACGGGATTAGATGAGACAATGGTAGAATAAAAGTGAAAAATTGCTAAATTGCCCACCACATAGTGAGTACTGAATAAATGGTTGCTGTCACTACTGTTAGTGCCTGGGGTCAGTCCTTGTGCTGTTATTGGCCACACTTCAGATCTTGTTACTTTCCTTCTTTATTTGTCACTTATAGATAAAAAGCTAAAGTCAAGGGACCTAGGGCTGCAGAATGACTTTTGTGGGCCCAGAGACTTTAGCCTAGATGGGCTCCTTCCTCCATATAAAATACTAAAAATTAGATTTTATGACCCTGTTTCTATGATTGTCTTGAGTACTCTCTGAAGAGCTTGTAATCTTAAATGGCAATTCTCTGATCTCTGGAGACTGTGTAAATTCAGACAAACATATGTGTAGTCTCAAGTCCTGGATTGCAATTTTTGCCCCTAGTTCTGAGCATATCCATCTTCTTGTTTGTCTCATTACGCTGTTCCTTGGATTTGGGGAAAAAAAAAAATCCAGTCTTTCAGGGACCTAAATTTTTGCAGATATTTCAGTTTCAATGATATTTCTCAAGAGAACCCAAAATCTCATATCCTGTGCACGCTTGAGCTCTGAAACTGCAGCTTTTAGTTAATGAGCAACTCATCCTCTCCCTCTCTGAGAGCAGACATAGACTCAACTCCGATTTTAACTTACCTTGAGGAGTTTCCCTTTCTTTCTTGCAAGGTCACCTATATATTTTAAATATTTTAAAATCGTTTTATTGAGTGTTTTTAGGTATCTTGCTGGAAAATTCTCATGTTGGATAGCCTTTCATCTTGCTGTGAATAGAATTGTCTATCATAAGTGTTCTTTTCTTAACAACTGGTTTGAGTTTTTGTTTGTTTTTGTTTGTTTGTTTGTTTTGTTTTTGTTTTTGAGATGAGGTCTTGCTTTGTTGCCCAGGCTGGAGTGCAGTGGCGCAGTCTTGGCTCACTGCAACCTCTGCCTCCTGGGTTCAAATGATTCTCCTGCCTCAGCCTCCCGAGTAGCTGGGATTACAGGCATGCACCACCACACCCAGCTAATTGTATTTTTAGTAGAGACGGGATTCATCATGTTGGCCAGGCTGGTCCCGAACTCCTGACCTCAAGTGATCCGCCCACCTCAGCCTCCCAAATTGCTGGGATTACAGGCGTGAGCCATGGCCCCCAGCCATACTGAGATATACAGCTCATATCACTCATCTATTTAAAAGCGTACAGTTTAGTGGCTTGTAGTATCTTCACAAATTTGTGCACCCATCACCATGAGCTAATGCTGTCACATTCCCATTACTCCAGGAAAAAGTGCTATACATATTAACAGTCACTGTCCATTTTCTCCCCAAGTTCCCCCTTCCCTACTGAAAGCAACCATGGATCTACTTTCAGGTTATACAGATTTACCTATTCTGTACATTTCACATAAATAGAATCACTATATGGTCTTCCGTGACTAGCTTCATTTACTTGTCATAACATTTTCAAAGTTCACTCATGCCATAGCTTGTATCACAACTTCATTCTTTTATATTGCCCAATATTCCATTGGTCTGGAGATACTATATTTTGTTTCTCCAGTCATCAGTTGATGGACATTTAGCTAATAAGAATAATGCAACTGTGAGCATTTGTGCACAAGTTTTTTTGGGGACGAATGTTTCCATTTTTCTTGGGTGGAAATTTCTTAGGAGTGGAATTGCTGGGTCATATGGTAACTATATTTAGCATTTTTTGTTTTTGTTTTTGAGACAGAGTCTTGCTCGGTCACCCAGGCTGGAGTGCAGCTGTGGGATTTTTGCTCATTGCCTCCTAAGTAGCTGGGACTACAGGTGCACATCACCACACTCGGCTAATTTTTGTATTTTTAGTAGAGACTGGGTTTCACCATGTTGGCCAGGCTGGTCTCGAACTCCTCAGGTGATCACCTCAGCCTCCCAAAGTGCTGGGATTACAGGCGTGAGCCACTGTGCCCAGCCTATATTAAGCATTTTGAAGAACAGCCCAACTGTTTTCCAAAGTGGCGGGACAACTGTACATTCCCACTAGTAATGTTGCATCACAAGTGATTTTAAAACCAAGCACAGGTGTTTGTACTCAACATGGGAAGAATCTTTGTGGAGTTTTGAGCAGAGTTCAGGGGTTGTCATTTGAAGATGTGTTACACATCAGTGTGGAAGCAGATTCAGCATGAGGGAGCAGGTAGAAAGTGCTGGAGTACTCTAATTCTCCGCCGATAGGGTCTCTATGGAGATGGTGGCAGCAAGAAAAGATACCAGGATTCCTGAAGAGCATATTGGACGGTGGAAATGATTCTCAAGCAGAGAAATGATGCTCGTCTGACGGTGCTCGTTCAACCTTTGCTTTTGATCTTGGTATTACAGAAAATAAATTTCTGTTTTCAGAGAAGCAGGAGAGGGAATACAAGCTTTGCCACTAGGTGATGGGGAACCGTCTCACTACCGGAGCAGGTTTCCTGGCTCTTGACTTGCTTAGGGGATGTCTTCGTGGGAGATTTGGATCCTTCTGGGCGCTTCCGGCTGCCCAGGCTGTGAAAGCCAAGGAGGCTGGTCCTTCTTTCTGTCAGTGGCAGCAATGAAACACTGGATATTGGATCTCCATCATTTAAATGGATAAAGTGGTGTGTGTGTGTGTGATTGTGTGTGTATGTGTGTATGTGTGCTGAGTAGCTGGAACATTTGAAATGGCAGAAGGCAATGAGAACCCTTAACAACAAAAGTTTTCTAGTTAAGTAATAAAACCTCCCATAACTCCAGGATTTAAAAATTGCCCATCAAGCTGTTTATCCTCTAATGGAATAATAGGTTTAAGGTGTCACCATCCTGGGAGCTTGCAATTGCTCAGTGAGGCTTGTTACAGAGGCCTCCAAGTCTACTTGGCACTGTTATCACCCGTGTGGGTTTTTTCCTCTCCTCTGTGATTTATTCTCAAACATTTTGTATTTCCTCTTGCCATTTAGATAAAATTTAAATAAAACCATTAGGGAAAGAGCTGTGTCAGAATGTTGGACCCTTTAAACTCAAGATAAAAATCAATCTGTATGTCACTTTCTGTTCAAATGAAGCAAAAGCATCTGCAGTTTGGCAGTTATCTGTGACTTGCTGTTTTTATTCTGTGCTATTTCTTCTTGCTGTAGTTCCTCCTAGCAAAAGGGAAACAGGCGTGAATAATGGCCCCAGTTCTGTCTCATTTCCTATGTCCTCTTTCGTCCTCATTTCTCCCAGTTTAGATGGTCTCTCCCTTTTACAGACCCCCATCTCATCCCAGTCCCCAAAAGGAGAGAGAGGATTCTTTTATATTTATTTATTTATTTTTTTGAGACAGAGTCTTGCTCTATTGCCCAGGCTGGAGTGCAGTGGTGTGATCTTGGCTCACTGCAACTTCTGTCTCCTGGGCTCAAGAGATTCTCCTGCCTCAGCCTCTCGAGTAGCTGGGACTACAGGTGTGCACCACGACGCCCAGCTAATTTTTGTATTTTTTGGTAGAGACAGAGGGAGAGGATTCTAACCAGACTTTAACCCCAGAACTCTCTGTGACCTTGACCTTCCTCTCAATGGAAATGTTTTCAGGGCCTATACCTGAGTTGGATAAATTGAGGACATCATTTTTTCTGTGACAAGTAATGTTAAAATGTCTGTTGAAGCTGCAGCGGAGATTGAGTAATACATCCTGGTATGGTGGTTTTCTAATAATTCTTTTTTCTCCCACTTTTTCTAGGCTTATCCAAATCCCTTGGGCTCATTGAAGGTTATGGTGGGCGGGGTAAAGGGGGCCTTCCGGCTACTCTTTCCCCGGCTGAAGAAGAAAAGGCTAAGGGACCCCATGAGAAGTATGGCTACAATTCATACCTCAGTGAAAAAATTTCACTGGACCGTTCCATTCCGGATTATCGTCCCACCAAGTAAGTTCTGGTTCAGTCATTTGCGGAGCTTGATGGGTCGTCAGAGTGGGTGTAGACCCCTACGTTTGTGATATTTTCCACTGTTATTTGTAACTCTTGGGGGAGTTTTTATTTTAGTTTCCTCTTTAATAAATAAACTTAGTACTCCTGTTGCATATGAAAGATTAGCTAAACAAAAAAGTTCAGTTGTTATCAAAGTGTTCCAGAAACATATAGAAAGAGCCTCAATACAAAAAGCTTTGTATTTTAATTCTTCTTCTTCTTCTTCTTCTTCCTTCTTCTTCCTTCTTCTTTCTTCCTTTTTTTTTTTTTTTTTTTTTTTTTTTTTGAGACAGAGTGTCGCTCTTGTTGCCCAGGCTGGAGCGCAATGGTGCGATCTCAGCTCACCGCAACCTCCGCCTTTTGGGGTTTAGGTGATTCTCCTGCCTCAGCCTCCCGAGTAGCTGGGATTGCAGGCATGCACCACCACACCTGGCTAATTTTGTATTTTTAGTAGAGATGGGATTTTATGCCTTTGGTCAGGCTGATCTCGAACTCCTGACCTCAGGTGATCTGCCCGCCTTGGCCTCCCAAAGTGCTGGGATTACAGGTGTGAGCCACCACACCCAGCCATTATTATTCTTTTAATGTTTATTTTATGTTCAGGGGAACATGTGTAGGTTTGTTATATAGGTTAATTGCATGTCACAGGGGTTCAGCGTACAGATCATTTCATCTCCCAGATAACACCATAGATAGTTTCTTGATTCTTACCCTTCTCCCTCCCTCCACTTTCAAGTAGGCCTCATGTCTATTGTTCCCCTCTTTATGTCCATGTGTACTCGTCGTTTAGCCCCGACTTATAAGTGAGAACTGGTGGTATTTGGTTTTCTGTTCTGAGTTAGTTTGCTTAGGACAATGGCCTCCAACTCCAGGTTGCCGCAAAGGACATGATGTCATTCTTGTTTATGGCTGCGTAGTATTCCATGGTGTATATGTGCCACATTTTCTTTATCCAGTCTACTATTGATGGGCATTTAGGTTGATTCCATTTCTTTGCTACAGTGAATAGTGCTATAATGAACATACCTGTGCATGTGTCTTTATGATAGAACAATTTATATTCCTTTGGGTATATACCCAGTAATGGGATTGCTGGGTCAAATGGGTCTGCTTTGAGTTCTTTGCGGCTTCACCAAATTGCTTTCTACAATGGCGGAACTAATTTACATTCTCACCAGCAGTGTATAACCATTACCTTTTCTTCACAACCTCTCCAGCATCTGTTATTTTTTTTACTTTTTAATGATAATCATTATGACTGGTTGAAATGGTATCTCATTATGGTTTTGATTTTCCTTTTTCTAAAAAAAAATCACCATGATCTCATCCCTTGGGGACAGCATCTATTGAAGTTTTAGTGTATTGTCTTTGAGTCTATTTTCTATACAGATTATGAGCCTATGATATCTCACTTTTTCCCTTTTTCATTTAACATTAAATCGTGAGTATTTTCTGATGTTATTGATGATCTGTTTCCATTGTTGGAAATTTAGGTTATTTTCAATTTTTCATTATTATATATAACATTCTATTGAATATTTTTTCACTCATATCTTTATATGTTTTGATTTGATATTTATTTTCTGAATCCACACTTCTAAAGGTATATAGTAGAGGGATATTTTTGGAGATTCTTGATACGTATTATAATATTTTCCTCCAGAAAATCTATAGTAATTCTACTCTTGTTAGAATTTTACTAGACCCTTCCAATACTGGGTACTAGCATGTAAAAAATGCCAAACTGATAGGTTATTGTTTCAACTTACACTTTTTTGCATGAGATTCTTGCCTTTTAAAAAGCGTGAGGCTGGCAGGGCACGGTGGCTCACGCCTGTAATCCCAACACTTTGGGAGGCTGAGGAGGGTGGATCACGAGGTCAGGAGTTTGAGACCAGCCTGGCCAAGATAGCAAAACCCCGTCTCTACTAAAAATACAAAAATTGGCTGGGCGCGGTGGCAGGCTCCTATAATCCCAGCTACTCGGGAGGCTGAGGCAGGAAAATCACTTGAACCAGGGAGGCAGAGGTTGCAGTGAGCCGAGATCACACCATTGCACTCCAGCCTGGGTGACAGAGCGAAACTCCATCTCAGAACAAACAAACAAACAAACAAACAACAACAACAAAAAAACTTGGGGCTGAGTATGGTGGCTCACATCTATAATCCTAGCCCTTTGGGAAGCCAATCGCTTTGGGCAGATCGCTTGAGCCCAGGAGTTCGAGATCAGCCTGGGCAACATGGCAAAGCATTGTCTCTACAAAAAACCTAAAAATTGCGAGGTGCGGTGGCCTGTAATCCCAGCACTTTGGGAGGCCGAGGCGGGCGGATCACGAGATCAGGAGATCGAGACCATTCTGGCTAAGATGGTAAAACCCCGTATCTACTAAAAATACAAAAAATTAGCCGGGCGTGGTGGCGGGCGCCTGTAGTCCCAGCTACTCAGGAGGCTGAGGCAGGAGAATGGCGTGAACCCGGGAGGCGGAGGTTACAGTGAGCCAAGATAGTGCCACTGCACTCCTGCCTGGGCGAAAGAGCGAGACTCCGTCTCAAAAAAAAAATAAATAAATAAAAAATAAATAAATATATATATATATAAATTAGCCAGGTGTGGTGGTGGTGCATGCCTATATAGTCCCAGCTACTCCTGAGGCTGAGGGTCACCTGAGTCTGGGAGGTCAAGTCTGCAGTAAGCCATCGTGGCACCACTGCATTCCAGCCTGAGGAAGAGAGTGAGACACTGTCTAAAAACTATTTGTGTGCATCTTGGTTGGATTATGAGAGGTCTTTATTTTGTGCTCTCAGATTTAAGAATTACTTATTTTCTGCTTGTAAAATAGACAAAAGAGGATGGACATAGTGTCAAGATGCTGGAGAGAAAACCCCTGTGTTCCAGGCAGAACTCCACCTCCGCTTCTCAAACAGATTCTCCATTTTCTATTAGATTTGTAGTGTCTCTCTTTTTCTATTTAGAGTGTGTCCTTGCTTGAAGTAGATTATTTCTTTCTCAAATGAATTTTGTACAAATCAGTTAAGTGTCTTGGTTACTGAGAAAAATAGATTCAAAATAAAGAAAATTATCTTAAATGGATTTAAATTTGCAGCATTAGCTGAGAAACCTGTTAAATCTCTCTCTCTACCAAATAAGCATGTATTCATTTAGAATCACTAGGAAAATATACATCACCCCTGCTGGAAGCTATTTTGTGTCCCTGGACTTTTGCTCTCCAAAACATCTGTCTGTTTTTATTTCCTGATGCTCTCTCATTAGCCTTTCTTATTAGGACATTGGCAAATAAACATGGCCCTATTTTTTTGTACTTCTATAAGAATGAAAATGCCTTCAAAACGAGGTTACTGGAAAAGAGCCGGTTGAACAAGTATTATTGAGCACTTATTATGAGCCAGATAGTTTTCTCCCCACTGGAGATAGACACTTGGATGAAGCACAGTCCTTGCCTACTTACTTCTTGTCTAGGGAGGAAGACAGATATACCAGCAGATCAGGTCAGCACAAGGGTATGTGCCGGCTAGAGATTCACACAGCATGTGCAGTGAGGATCTGAGAAAGTTTCTTGTTTGAGATAATGCTTGAAGGACCATTAAGGGATAGAAAGTTGAAGATGGGGGGCCAGGCGTGGTGGCTCACGCCTGTAATCCTGGCACTTTGGGAGGCTAAGGCGGGCGGATCACCTGAGGTCGGGAGTTCGAGACTAGCCTGGCCAACGTGATGACACCCTGTCTGTACTAAAATATACAAAAAAAGAAGCGGGGCATGGTGGTGCACGCCTGTGGTCCCAGCTACTTGGGAGACTGAGGCAGGAGAATGGCTTGAAACTGTTAGGTGGAGGTTGCAGTGAGCTGAGATCATGCCACTGCACTCCAGCCTGGGTGACAGAGTGAGACTCTGTCTCAAAAAAAAAAAAGGAAAATTGAAATTGGGAGAGGGATAAGGGTGGACCAGGCGGGAGAACAAACAGAAGGAGCACACTTGGTTGGGTATGACGTGGCATACTCAGGGAGGAACCCATGGCCCAATATTGCCGTGTGATGTAACATGATGGCTTGAACATACCATTTACATGTGAACCTTCCTGAAACCCTATTAAAATGATAGCAAAGGAATAGAGAGAATGGCAACTTACAAGGAAAAAAAACCACAACAGGTTGGGTGATGATCACAGGGAAGAGAGACATGTACAAAATTTTGGAAGATGGAAAGAGGATGGTAATGGCAACTGACAGAGCAAGCTGGGTGAAGCTGAGACCCAACCTCCCACATGAGGTGGGTGGGGGTTTGTAAGAGCAGAAGAATGCAGTCTAGCCAGAAGCCCCTAGAGACTCAAGAATTGGAGATGACAGGCATTTCTGATGGCCGGGGGAGGGGAGCAGATTTGAACAGAAGGGATGGTTAGCAGTTATGTCCCCAGATCCTTTCTTCAACTCTGCACAGCCAGAGACTGCCCTTTCTCATCTGGCAGAATATGGGAGGTTTACTCCCTAGAGAAGATGAACTATAGTTCATAGAGGTGGCCTTGGACAGAGGATAACAAGGCTGCATATGAAATGGGATGACTTCCCAGCTCCATTACCTCTCTAGTCTCTATTACTCCTGTAAGCAAGAGTTTGAAGAATCCACTTAAAATTATTCAGCCTAAGGAAAAGGCTGATAGATCTGACAGCTGGTGGTACCCCTAAAATGGCTGGGTTCTGCTCATTAACTATTAGTATGGCATGCGAGTTGTAAGGCTTCATCCTTTTGCATAAAGCAGTCCTGCTCTAAAATAAGAAAGGAAAGGCAGGATCACTAGACATCTCAGTAGAGTCTTTGTTATAAAAGATGTTAACAACAACAACAGAAAACAGTAAACAGAAACAACAAACTTTGTTTCTGTTTAATGACTTAGGAGATCATAGAATGTTTTGTTTTGTTTATAAACCAAGAGCAAATAGATATATTAAGATAATAATCATAAGGCCAGGTGCAGTGGCTCATGGCTGTAATCCCAGCACTTTGGGAGGCTGAGGTGGGTGGATCATTTGAGGTCAGGAGTTTGAGACCAGCCTGGCCAACATGGTGAAACCCTGTCTCTACTAAAAATACAAGAAAAAATTAGCTGGGCATAGTGGTGCATGCTTGTAATTCCAGCTACTTGGGAGGCTGAGGCAGGAGAATTGCTTGAACCTAGGACATAGAGGTTGCAGTGAGCCCAGATTGCGCCACTGCACTCCAGCCTGGGCAACAGAGTGAGACTGCACTGCACAAAAATAAATCATAGAATAAAAAATAAATCTTAAAAGTTAAAAGTTAGACCTGTAGTCCTAGCTATTCAGAAGGCTGTGACAGTAGGAACACTTGAACCTAGGAGTTAGAGTCCAGCTTGGGCAACATAGCAAGACCCTATCTCTTATAAAACAAAAATTAAACGGAGATAAGTAATTTAATAAAGAGTTGGAAGACAGCATTGAGAAAAGTTCTAAAAAGTAGAAAAAAAGAAATGAAAATTAGGAGTGGAAAGATCAAAAGAAATTAGATCAGTCCAGTAGGTTCAACATCCACTAATGAGAAAATCAGAGAGAACAGAGAGAAGAAAGTCATCAAACAAATGATGCAAGACAATTTCCCAGAATCCGTAGGATGTGAGCTTTCAGATTAGAAGATCCCACCCAGTTCCTACATAATTCATGAAAAGAAAAAAAACTAAACTCACATCAAGAAATGTAAATTTAAAATTTCAAAACAACTTGGATGAAGAAAAAGTCCTGAAAGCTTTCAGAGAATAAATGCAGATTACATATAGTTGGCATTAGATTCCTCTGTAGAAACATTAGATGACAATGGAAGAATGCTTAAATAATTTTGAGAGAAAAAAATAATGTTCCATTTAGAACTCTTAACAGTCATCTATAGAATACTTTGGGCCAGGAGCAAATGCAAAGTAAACCCATCGCAAAAATGTAGGCTCTTAACAATTTTACCTCCTCTGAATTTGTTTTGAGGAAGCTACTCAAGCACATGCTCCAGCAAAACAAAGGAGTCAAGTGAGGAAGATGATGAAGAGATGCTCCAGGGTAACATTCTAGGGTGACAGCCATGTAGCAGACCAAGAGATCAATTATTCCCACATCTTTAGAGAGAAACCTCCTAGAGGCTCCTGTGGATGCAGGAGGATGCAGGGCTCCAGGAGGTATGTCTCTAAAGGAGGTGGGAAGTGGCAACATTGTTTGATTGCCTAGAGTTTGTGACTACATTAAGATTTTTTCTTAACTCCTCGTTCAAAAAGCTTGGGACTGTTTACTGATTGTGTTAGGCCATTGTGTTGCTATAAAGGAATACCTGAGACTGGGTTATTTATAAATATAAGAAGTTTAATTGGCTCACTTTTCTGCAGCCTCTCCAGGAAGCATGGTGCTTGGCTTCTACTTGGCTTCTAAGGAGGCCTCAGGAAGCTTACAGTCATGGCTGAAAGCAAAAGGTGAGCCAGCCTGTCACATGGCAAGAGTGGGAGCAAAAGAGAGAGAGAGTGGGAGATGCCACACACTTTTAAACAACAAAATCTCATGTGAACTCACTCATCATCCAGAGGATGGCACTAAGCCATTTATGGAGATCCACCCCCATGATCCAGACACCTCCCACTAGGCCCCACCTCCCACACTGGGAATTACATTTCAACATGAGATTTGGCTGAGACATGCATCCCAACCATATTACTGATAGACACAAAACAGCTTGTGAAAAAGCAAAGCAATTAATACAGAAAAAAAACAAAAGCTCTCCAATAAACAAACTATACTTCCCATATACTCTGTAGCTCAGCTCTGAGCAATATATTGTAGTCATAAAAATGTAAATATTTCATATTGATTTAAACACAAATTATGGTATAATTATTGGAAGAAGGAGGAGGCAAAATGTGTATGTGAGGTGGGGGTTTGTAAGAAAACTAAATCTACATCTTCAGTAGCAGGAAGTCAATTGAAAATGTGTATTACACATCAAGAAATACTAACATAATCATTGTTATTTAGCAACATGGAGATTACAGGAGTTGAAGGAGACTGTGTATGTTTTATTTTAACAAAATTTCAATTAAACAATAAATATAAATCTATACCAAAAAATGCAAGATGTGTGGGATGAAAGTACAGTAGAAGAATGAGTTGGAGAACTAGCTTGAATGATATGATCACATTTAGATTATTCTGGCCACTATGTGTTGGGTAAATTTGAAGGTGAATTTTGAGATAAATTTGAGAGCCCATAGGCCATAGGCAGTAACCAGAGAGACTGTTGTAAATTCTGAGCTCCACAGCAAAAGTTACCAAATTAACCTCTCTTCATTGCAAACTAATCCTAGCCATCAAAGAGTTGTAAGGCTCTTGCCTGTAGAAGCAACTTTGCTGATATCTGAGCCCTGGAGATGTAAGGAGAGGCAGCTGCCTGGGGCTGAGCAGTTTCCTTCCTCCAGAGAAATTATTCCCCAATGGATAGGATCCTTTTTGTTAAGCCCCAGACAGCTCTCACAAGTTTTTAAGAAGCTTTAAGTAGGCTAATTTCATTGCAATTTTAAACAGAACCTCAAGTTGCTTTAATTCTTACTGTTTTATTGCTATATTACACTTGAGAAAATTGTTTTTCTTATAAATATGAATGAATGTTTAGGTAGCAGTGAGATTAACCATTTGTTTGTCACATTTCAGGCAAATGAATTCCAAAATGCTGTTTTCCATTTTGTTTTAATTCCGTGACTATTTTTTTTCTTCCACTGGACAGATATTTTAAACTTGTATGAATCCCAAGCTGTCAGTCTTTCCATTTTCATTTCTTCCCTGCTTTAAAGTGTAAAAAGATATTATCCCTCAGAATACTTATAAATATTCTATTCTGTTTTGTGTTGCTTTTCTATGACTCTTTTATATTTCACCCTTCCTTCTAGAGTTTATTTTGGAATATGGTTCAAGTTTGCATCTTTTGTTCCAAAGATCTGTCCCTCTTTTTAGAGAAGAGCTTTTTCAAAATAATCTTATAAATAACCCTTCTCTTTCTCTTATTTGGAGGTGCTAAATATATTACATTTTATGCTTTTTGTATATAAGTAGGCTTATTTTCTCTGTGGTGTTCTTTTGGTCTGTATTTCTTTTTTTTTCTTCTTCTTGTCCTTTCTTGGTTTTGTAGAAATTACTAAAAATGATTTTTTGACTAAAGTCTCCAATCTGCCAGGCACTGTGCCAGCAGTTTGGAGAAGAGCAAGGCATCTTGGCCCCAGAGGACTTCAAAGAGAGTGGGAGAGGCTGGTGGCTATTTATAGTCCTTTTGGTCACTTTTAGAGGGCCTTAGAAAGTAAGACAAGGGCGTGAGCCATTCTGTGGGAGGCAGAAGGTGACCTTGATCTTATTGGCAAGCAGGAGTTTTCCCTCTAAAGGGGAGGCAGGGCATTTGAGAGAGAGAACAGCAAGTGCAATGATAAGTAGCTCAGCTTGTGAAAAAGCAAAGCAACTATTAACTACAGGAAAAAAACAAAAGCTCTTAAAGAAAGGAATTGCAATTCCAGGCACTCCATGGCTCAGGGGACAGTTCTTGGATTTTGGGATTAGGGGAAATGGAAAACTTTTGGCTAGAGAATAGTTTCCAGATTGAATTGTGGAAGAAAAATTTGGAGTGGAAGGAGGAAACCAGGCTGGGAAGTGCCTCATGTTCTAGCCCTGGGTGGGGACTTTCACATTTTCAGTAGATGCCAGTAAAAGATTAGAGTCAGGATGGTATTATTATTATAATTTCTTTTTTTTAAATAATGATAACTGTGGCAGAAATGTGGAGAATTGAATGGAGAAGATGGAGGCTGGTAGCAGGATGGCTAAATATTAAGTCATGGTTACCAACGTTTATTGAGTGCCAACTGTGTGCGAGACATTGCCAGAGAGAGAAGAGGGGTGTTTTTAATAATACAGCAAGCACTTTATTATTATTGTGCTACTTTTATACAATTGTTTTCCTGTAACAAACTAAGGACTAAGCAGGGATAAGGTGGAAGAGCTGGATTCAGGAAAATCCTAGAGAGAATTAGTAAAATGAGGCAACTAATTGGAAATGGATGAAGTGGGTGCACTAGCTTGGGAGATGGAGTGGAAGTGATCTTGTTAACCAGGAGAGAGAATGCTGTAGGGGTTCACGTTTTGTAAGGAAGACAGCAGCTCTGCTTGTCCGGCGTTTCCCAAAGTATTGGTTTTCTTGAGTAACCACAGGACATAATCTGTCTGGCTTTATTTATGATTTGGCTCTGTGTTTGTAAGAAGATAACCTTTGGTGACACCAGAAGCTGGGCAAGGCTTTCTAAGCCCCCACTGTTTTTTTTTTGTTGTTGTTTTTTGTTTTTTTTTTTTGTTTTTTTTTGCTGAGACATACCATTCTATATCACACTGTGGCATAGTAATTATCTGCTTTTCCGATTATCTCGTACTGTGAGGGAGGGACCACAGAAATCTGTCTGTGCTTATTAAAGCCACTGCTGAGATCCCCGCACCAATTTTATGATATGCTTTCTCCTCTCAAACCATGTAGGTAATTTATGAGCGGTTTCTACTGCTGTTATCTTCAATTTCTCCTTTGGCCTCCTGCTTATAAATCCAGATGTCAGGTTTCTTTGGAATTCATTTTGCTTCACTCAGAAAGTCTCCTCTTTCTTTCAGCACAACAAATTCTAACCCATTTTATCCCGACAATGTCTGCTTTGGATGCGGCTGGCATGATGACCCTGTGGAGCATCCTCATGTCATGCCCAGTGAACAGAGGCATGTTGTGGTCTGGAGGTCAGGAATGATGTCTGGGCTGACCATGGGTATTTGAGAATCATCCAACTCCAGTGGGTATTTTAGGTTGGGTCTGTGTGCATGTGACTCGTATGTGTATGTGAGTCCTGGTCTTATAATGAATGAGTGGAGCAAATCTACTCATGGCTCAATACCCAACTCAAGTTTCCCTCCGCTGTGAAAAGGACACATCTGATTATAGTAGCTGCAGTGGAGCTTTTTTTATATGAATCATTCCTCTAACAATAGATACCCTGTGTCTCACAGGTCGGTTTTTATATAGGGTGAAAGTGCCTTAAAAAGAGTCAAGAATCCAGCTGGGTGTGGGGGCTCATGCCTGTAATCCCAACACTTTGAGAGGCTGAGGCAGGAAGATCTCTTGAGGTCAGGAGTTTGAGACCAGCCTGGTTAACACAGTGAGACCTGTCTCTACTAAAAATTAAAAAAAAAAAAAAAAAAAAGCTGGATATGGTGGCTTGTGCCTGTTGTCCCAGCTACTGGGGAGGCTGAAGTGGGGGGATTGCTTGAGTCCAGAGTCCAAGGCTACAGGGAGCTATGATCGTGCCACTGCACCCCATCTTGGATAACAGAGTGAGATGAGTGTGTACATGTGACAGTGTGTGTGTATATATATTTATATATTATACTTACATATTATATATATTTTAAAAGGTCAAAAATTCTATGTTAAACTTTCTTTTTCACAGACTCACATGGACACAGAGAGTAGCTGTCCAATGAGTAATAATAATAAGTAGCTGTATGCTTAGGAGTGTCCCTGAATCACTAACCACAATAATTTTTCCCTTTTATTGACTACCTTTTATGTTTTTGTCGCTGTATGGCATGTTTTATTGATCTCATTTAAATTTAACTGCTCTCTGAAATAGCTATTCCCATCCCTTCTTTTGTAAATGAGGCAAGGTGGCCTTGGAGAGGTTAAGCAACCTGCCTGAGGTCACACAGCTAGTAAGTGCAGGGACCTGGATTCAAACCCAGCTCTGTGTGTATCTTCAAGGTCTGTGGACGTCCCCACATCAACTGCCTAACCTTCTGTGTCTGCAGAATGGAACCTTCTCCTCTATGATGGGGTTGCCAGAAGGAAAAGAAATTCTGAGTCTTACAGCAAGTGGACAGTTTATCTAGGGAATCTTGCCTGTTGGGGGGGCGGGGGTGGGTGGGTGGGTGGGTGGAGTTACTTCTTTAGTTTTCCTCTCTTGGTACTTTTCAATTCTTTCGAAGCTAACAAAATTCCAAAGGAGCTTTATGTTAAATTTGAGTAGCTATTGCCTGTGATGGCCCTAGTATGTAGTGTAATACAGTTGAAACCCTCTTTAAGGCATACAGTATTTTTTTTTTTAAATAAAACATGGGAAAGAAAAATTGTATAATATTATGTGGCTTAGGAAATGTCTTACCATAGAGTTTATACCGAGGAGGAACGTTATTTGCTAACGCAGGTCTTCACGCAGCAATGGGATGGAAGAGTGGAGTATGTAAGTTGAGGGGTGCCCTTTCCTTTAGTGTGTGAGGGTGATATGATTCCTGCAGTACTTATGGGTGAATGTTCATCCCACTTTTGCAGATTCCCTAGGTCTGAAGAAGATATCTGGGCCACCTAAAAACCTTCATGAGAGAGTTATACGTGAAGGTTAAGAGCCTGGATTCAGAAATCTAACTTCTAATCTCAGCTTTGTCCCTTTCTAGCTATGTGACCTTGGGCAAGTTGCTTAACCTGTCTGTGCCTCAGTTTCCTCATATGTAAAATGGTGATGTAATCATATCTACTTTATAGAATTGCTGTGTGGATTAAATTTTCCACGTGAAATGTATAGAATAATATACCTATACATTTCACACAATAATATACCTATACATTTCAGGCACAAGCCACCACACCTGGCCATACCCCTTATCATCTTTAAAACACCTTACATTAAATGACAGGATCTTCAGGAAAATATCTACTGAAAAGTGATATATCCTTAGCCTTGCACTTACATGGAAAACTTTAATCTAGGACAATGGGCATTTCCTTGTCCCCAAGCAGCACAGAAATCCAGAGGGTCCAGCCTGAGACAGATGCCAGGGTGATGGTGAGAGTCTGGGGAGGGTATTTTCCTTCATAAGGTTCTTCCCAGGCCTGGATCAGAGGGGGCAGCTGTGGATTCCCCACAGCCAACATATTGAGGAAGATTCAGCCCTCACTAGGGATGTTCTGAGGTCATGGGAGACTTTGTGAAAGTTGGAGGATGGGCTCAGCTACCTCCTGCTTCTGCTTCCTCCATAGTAGTCAGACCAGAAGAAAAAAAAAGTATAATGTGTGTTTTTCCTCTTTTCATGATTTGATTTTTTCCACATATTGAAGTAATTTTTCCTTGAAAAGGACTGAATATTAAAAAATACATTTTATGTCTGTAATCCTAGCATTTTGGGAGGCCGAGGTGGGTGGATCTCTTGAGGTCAGGAGTTTGAGACCAGCCTGGCCAACATGGTGAAAACCCATCTCTACTAAAAATACAAAAATTAGCTGAGCGTGGTGGTGGGTGCCTGTAATCTCAGATACTCAGGGGGCTGAGGCAGGAGAATCGCTTGAACCTGGGAGAAGGAGGTGGCAGTGAGCCAAGATCACACCATTGCACTCCAGCCTGGACCACTGAGTGAGACTCTGTCTCAAAAAAAAAAAAAGAAATGGATGCTCTTGAGACTTAACTGTGTAAGAAAGAATTCCCACTTCTTTTAGAGGCACTGCCAGCCCCAAAGGTTATGAATTGGCAATGTTAATTAGATCTTTTCTTGGAACTTGAAAGTATTCTCACCTGAAATGCGTTTAAAACAAAGTTACCATCAAGATTCCCCTCTGTTTCTTTCTAGAGAGCTTTCTGGACAAGTTTCAATGTCTTTCATGGAGAATTTGAAACCAGTGGATAGAAAGCAGTGTCAACCTTGTCCTGTTTATGCAAATGGATCTGCTCTGTCACCTGTTTATAACCCCCGGGGTCATTGACTCTCAAGTTCACATTCCCCAGATGTAGATGCAGCTATGGGACATGGAATTCGCGATTTATTAGTTTGAATCAAACCAATGTTGAGATTTACAGTACTGGCTGTTGTTGCTTCTGCTGGCCTTTGATAGTTTAAGTAAGGATTGTAGACAGATGAGAGCTGCAGGAGGGGCTAGCTCATCTCATCTAATATTCAGAAATCCTCACACTGTTACTGGGGACTTGAGAGTTGGTACTTAAACAACCTTTGTGTTTCTAGGGGATTATCCTGTCTGCCTAGTCCATTGCTTCCTCACTCTAGCAGTGCACTGAGTTAAAACCAACCCATCCTAAACTTGCCTCCAGGCGTCTACATGGGCACACACACATCCCCACACCCTACAAGGAAACCCAAGCTGGTTTATACAAGCTCACTTTAGGCAGTTTGCCAAATTATACTCCGATTCGTTCAGTGGACAGATAGTTACGTGAAATACTTGCAGTACGGGAAACATTTGTTTCTCAGCCCTGGGGATAATCAATAGAGGCAAATGCCTTTGCAATCACAACGCCTGTTTATGTGTGGAGTTCTTCATTGTTCTTGGTTTGTGAGTACAGTAAACATTCTCCAAGTGGCAGCAGGAGAGAACCACGGTGCTTTCGTAACAAGCTGAGATTTACAGGCTTGTAAGAGCTGGGGTTATAAATCAGGCTTCTGGTGGAATGGGTGAAATGGACTAAATTCAAGTATTAATGGGAGAGCCACGTGTGCGCTGTGCAGGGAGAAAGGCTCATCAGTATTACAGATGGCATGTCCCTTTAGTTAATTTAGAAGAAATTCCGATCACCCAACAGAACTCTGAGGATGGATGCAGGAAAAAGAAGACTGTGGCATATGGAGGGAACATATTTGTTCTTGGAAAATCAGTAGAAAATGTTTAATGTCATCATAACCTCATTTGCATAAAAATAGTCACATGCGGTAAACCAGATAAAAGCAAAGGAAGACGTGACGGAACCAATGCTGTTTGGAGTTTCGTTTCATTATGAATAACATAAATAATTCAATTGAATAAATAAATACGAAATTGCTTTAAGTAGATGTACTACAAGTGATTATTCCTTGAAAATTCCTTAATGGTACGTGCCCCAATGATGAAGCAATGTGATTATGTCTCCATGGGCAGCCCTTTGCTGGACACTTGACCCTTGACAATAATATTGAGCTCTCTGTAGCTCTCAAGTGTTTTATGAACACAAATGAAGTTTTTAGTTTCACAATCTTATTCATAAACATGATCTTGAAGTTGTTTAAATAGACTTATCTTCATTGTGATGAATGCAGCCCCACTTTGCACATGGTTGCGCTTAGGCAATATTAGATAATCAGAAGTTTGAAGAGTCTTGGGCTGTGCGGTACTAGAAACATAATTCTAAATAAATATTTGGAACCCTGGTGGCAGAATTTGAGCTGTTGTTTCTGCCTCACAGAGTCTGGTCAGGGGAATTCTTGTGTAAGGACAAATTGTGGCATGGATAAAATTGATGGAAATTATTTATGAGTTAAATAAAAATAAAGAAAGGAATTTATTTATGATTTCAACAAATGTTTTCTAGGGTTTTGTAGAAAGCCATGCACAGGTACTATGGGAGCTATAACAGATGTGTATGACACAGTCCTTGTACTCATTTGATTTTATTCATTCACTCAGTAAATACTCGTCAATCAGCTCCCACACACCAGGCACTATGTTGGAGGTTGAGGTTATAAGGGGGAGACAGATGATAAACTGGGAAAAATAAACACGAGCTAATTATAGATTGTGATAAATGTTTTGAAGTAAATGAACAGGTGCTAACATACATCTGACCCTTAAAATCCCTGGGTTTTACATCTGCAAATTCAACCAACTAAGGATGAAAAATACTAGAAAAAAAATAAAAATAAAAAATAGCAATACGACAATAAAAAATACAAATAAAAAAACACTACAGTATAATGACTATTTGCATAGCATTTGCATTGTATTACATATTATAAGTAATCTAGAGATTATTTAAAGTATCCAGGAGATGTGAGTAGGTTATGCGCAAATACTATACCATTTTATACAAGGGACTTGAGCATCCTTGGATTTTGGTATCCATGAGGGGGTTCTGGAACCAATCCCCCTTAGATACTGGGGGACAACTGTAGAGAGTAAATGGAAACAAGAGTGTACTTTAGAGAAGGTGAATTGAAGAGGCAGAAGAGATGAGGATAAAACAGCAGCTCAAAACTCTGGCAGCGGCTGGGCGCAGTGAGTCATGCCTGTAATCCCAGCACTTTGGGAGGCCAAGGCTGGTGGATCACTTAAGGCCAGGAGTTTAAGATCAGCATGGCCAACATGGCAAAATCTCATCTCTACTAAAAATACAAAA
Source organism: Homo sapiens (assembly GCF_000001405.40). Taxonomy (NCBI): domain Eukaryota; kingdom Metazoa; phylum Chordata; class Mammalia; order Primates; family Hominidae; genus Homo; species Homo sapiens. The sequence goes on from NC_000007.14 coordinate 71,350,991, forward strand.
ATTAGCTGGGCATAGTGTTACACACCTGTAGTTCCAGCTACTCAGGAAGATGAGGCACAAGAATTGTTTGAACCTGGGAGGCAGAGGGTGCAGTGAGCCAAGATTGAGCCAGTGCACTCAAGCCTGGGTGACAAGAGAGAAACTGCATCTCAAACAAACAAACAAACAAACAAAGAACATAAGTAAATAAAGCCTCTGTCAGAAAACCTCTCTGGACAGAAAGAATAGTGCCTAGAAAACCCTAAGTTTGGAATGGGCTTGATTTAGGAACTGATAGCAGATACTGGCCAATTGTTTGAGGGTGATGGAAGGGAGGTAGGAACCATAGCATGTGGGATTGTGGGCAATGAATCTGGGATTTATTTCAATGGGAACAAAAGTGATATACTGGGTTGATAATATACCCCCAAATTCAAGTCCATCTGGAACCTCAGGTCACCTTATGTGGATAACAGGGTCTTTGCAGATGTAATTAGTTAAAGTGAGGCATACTTGATTAGAGTGCTCCCTAAATCCCCAAGATGGTTGGTATCTTAAGAGGAGAAAACACGGAGACTAAGACAGAGACAGAAGGAAGGAGGCCAAGTGAAGACAGGCAGAGATTGGAATGGAGCATCCACAAGCCAAGGAGTGCTGGGAATTGCCAGCAATCTCCAAAAAGTAGGGAAGGCAAGGAAGGATTCTCCTCTAGAGCCTTCAGAGGGTGCATGCCCTTGCTGACCCCTTCATTTGGGACTTCTGGCCTCTAGAACCATGAGAGAATAAATTTCTGTTGTTGTAGTGCCCCCATTTTGTGGTACTTTGCTATGGCAGCCTAGGGAACAGATATTAAAGGTCATGGTAGCCACTGGGGATTTGACATAGCGAAGTGTCCTGATCTGGGGTATGTTTTTAGAAGGTCATTCTGAATGATGTTTGGAGAATGGATTGCAGAGTGCAGAAGAGATGTAAGGAGTCCAGTTTGGAGGATAGTGCTAGTAGGAGATGATAGTGATTCCGACTAGGGTGTGCCTAGTGATATGTGCCTAGTGATTTGGCTGTGTCCCCACCCAAATCTCATCTTGAATTGTAGCTCTCATAATTCCCATGTGTGAGAGGGACTCAGTGGGTGAAAATTGAATCATGAGGTCAGTTTCCCCCATACTGTTCTCATGGTAGTGATAAAGTGTCGTAAGATCTGATCGTTTTATAAGGGGAAACCCATTACACTTGACTCTCTAATTCTCTCTTGCCGCTGCCATGTAAGCAGTGCCTTTTACCTTCTGCCATGACTGTGTGGCCTCCCCAGCCATGTGGAGCTGTGAGTCCATGAAACCTCTTTTACTTTATAAATTACTCAGACTCAGGTATGTCTTTATCAGCAACATGAAAAAGAACTAATATACATAGTAAGATGGGAAGAAGTAGAGATTTATGGTGGAGGTCATCAAGGAATACTACTGGGTTTTAGGTTGCAACATATGGGTGCACGGTAGTGCCATTTACTGAAGTGGTAAAACTGAAAAACAGATTTGGAGGGCTCTTTAAGAATTCTACTTGGGATTTGTTAAGTTTGATTTGATGTTTAGTCATATATTGGGAGATATCAAATAGATGGTTGAACAATTTATGAATCTGGAGCTTGAGAGAGAGATAGGGGTTGGGAGATAGACCTTTGAAGGCATCAACATAGACGTGACCATCAAAGCTGAGATCACTAAGGAGAGAGAGCTGGAGATGTGGCAGCAGCCCAGGAGTGAGTGCTGTGCCACTCCAAAATTTAGAACGTGGGTAGAGGAGAGAAATTCAGCAAAGGATGTGGAGAAGGAACAACTAATGAAGCAGGTAGAAATCCAGGAAAAAGAAGTGACGTGGAAGCCAGAAAAGGAGTGTTCCAGGAGGAAGCAGTGGTTACTGGTGATGAGCGATAGTGAGATGCCAGAATCGTTCAGCAGATTTGGCAACATGAAGTTCATTGATGACCTCAACAAGGATATTCAACCCTGATTGGGGTTGATTAAGGAGTGAATGGGAGGGAAGAAATGAGAGAGCAAAATGACTACTCTGATGAATTTTATTGTGAAAGGGAGAAGAGGCATGCTAGCCTGAGGGCTTTGGGGGGTGGGGGTCAAAGGAGGTTATTATTATTATTATTGTTCCTTATAAAATTCCCATTTTGTCATAACATAAGAGTTACAGAAAAGTTGCAAGAATACTACAAAAAATTCTCTATTTTCTTTATCCAGTTTCCTTAAAGGTTCACATTTTACAATATTTATATATCTCCATGTGTATATCTATTTTTTTCTGAATCATTTGAGTGTGAGTTGCAGACATGATGCCCCTTTGTCTCTGAATACTTCAGTGTGACCAACCCAAGAACAAGGGCATTCTCTTACATAACCACAGGACAATATGATAGTATTGCCTATCCACATTTCACCAGTTGTCTCAATAATGTCCTTTACAGAAAAAGAAAGTCCTAGATCATGTATTACATTCATTTATCATGTTTTATTTTGAAACAGCCCTTTAGTCTTTGTCTTTCATGACATTGACATTTTTGAAGATGACAGTCCAGTTATTTTTTAAAATGCCTCTTAATTCATATTTGTCCAATATTTCATCAGAATTAGATTCAGAATGTGCTTTTGTGGCAGGAATACTACAAAAATGGTGTTGCATCTGTTGCATCTTATCAGGACACACATGAGGGAAAGGAACAGCTAATGAAGAAGGAAAAAATTCAGAAGAATGTAGTGACATAGAAGCCACTCATTACTTGTCTCATTACTGGTGGTGATAATATTGATTCCTGGGTTAAATGTGGTGTATTAATCTGTTCTGGCATTGCTATAAAGAAATACCTCAGGCTGGGTAATTTACAAATAAAAGAGGTTTAATTGACTCATGGTGTCACAGGCTATATAGGAAGCATGATGCTGGCATCTGCTGGGCCTCCGGGGAGGCCTCAGGAAACTTACAATTGTGGCGGAAGATGAAGGGGAAGAAAGGTTTCTCACATGGTGGGAGCAGGATCAAGAGAGAGAGAGAAGGAGGTGCTACACACTTTTAAACAACCAGATCTTATGAGAACTCACTCACAGTACCATGGGGGAATGGTGTTAAACCGTAAGAAACTACCCCCATGATCCAGTCACCTCCTAACACACCCTACCTCCAACATCAGGAATTACAATTCAACATGAAATTTGGGTGGGGACACAGACCCGTACTATATCAGATGGTGTCTGCATGGTAGTCAATTATGTTTCCTAATACCTCCAGGACAATGTTGAATTAGTGGAGATAGTGGGAACCCTTGCCTTTCCTGTCTTTGACAGAAGTGCCTCTAGTGTTTCTCATTAAGTAAGATGCTATCTCTATGGCTATGGTATAGTTTATTGTGTTAAGAAAGTATTCATTAGTTTTAATGATCTTGAGGGTTCTTTTATTAGGATGGGTGTTGAATTTTCCAAACTCATTTCAGTTTTTTCAGTAACTATACCGAAAATCATCAATTTCTTTCTTCCTATGTCTATAAATATTTTGCATTATAATAGTGGATTTCTTAATGTTAAACCAAATTTATATTAATGGAATTTATTCCATTAGGCTATGGTGTATTATTTTCTTAATGTGATGTTGGATTCTGTTCACTAATATTTTATTTACAACTTGTGCATCAATATTTGTAATTCATTCTCTCTCTCTCTGCTTTCCTTAAGAAGTTTAATTATTAATACATTACAAAAGGAATTAGGTTTTCAATCCTCTGGAACAATTTATGGAGCATTATGACTATCTGGTTCTTAAATGTTTAGTAGAAGTCACCTGTGAAACCATCTGGGCCTGATGTTTTTTATGGGGTAGTTTCTTGATGGTTTTTGCAATTTTTTTCCTGAGGAAATAGCTCTGTTTAAGGTTTCTGTCTCTAATGATGTCAACCTTGGCAAATTGCCTTTCCCTAGGAAATTATCCATTACATCTAGGCTTTTAAATTTATTTGTATAGGGATCTGCAAATGAGTCTTTATTTTTATTTTTAACAGTTATTTGTTTCAATGATTATTTCCCCCTTTGGTTTCTTATTTATGTATTTGTGCTTTCTCTTTTTTCCCATAAGTTAGTTAAATGTGGTCTACTTTGTTAATTATGTTTTAAAAAACAGAATTTTGATTTATTCAAGATCTTGTATTTTTCTATTCTCTGACTTATTGAGTTCTGCTTTTTATGTTTATTATTGCCTTCCTTGTATTTTCTTTTGACTTACTTTGTTGTTGTTTTCCTTTCTGAAAAGCATTCTAAGTTGGAAATGTAATTCAAGTATTTTTATTGCTAAAAGGTTTTAAGGCTTTGAATGTTTTTCTTCTTAATGCTTAAAACTTCCCACTGATTGTGATATGTGGTGTTTTCATTACCATTATTTTTTAGAAATGCTTTAACTTCGGTTTGTATTTACCTTGTCACTCAAGACAGGTTTAGTAGGTTTTTGAAATTTGCAGATGGATAACTTTTTAAAAACATTATTAATAATTTTAAATTTTATTGCATAGTGATCAGAGAGTGTCTTTTTTTTTTTAAGATGGAGTCTCACTCTGTCACCTAGGCTGGAGTTCAGTGGCATGATCTCGGCCCACTGCAACCTCTGCTTCCCAGGTTCAAGCAATTCTCCTGCCTCAGCCTTCCGAGTAGCTGGATTCACAGGCGTCTAACACTATGCCCAGCTAATTTTTGTGTTTTTGGTAGAGACAGAGTTTCTCCATGTTGGCTAGGCTGGTCTTCAACTCATGGGCTCAAGGGATTCACCCACCTCAGCCTCCCAAAGTGCTGGGATTACAGGTGTGAGCCACCATGCCCAGCAGATTCTATTTTACAACTGTTCCCCTGAGGTTGAGAAGATGTGTTGCCTGTTTTCTGAGAGCAGTGTGTATTTCTATCACATGAGGCATTCTGATTTTCTGTTTTCACTTTCTTCTCGATATAGTTACTTTGTATATACGGAGTCTGCTTCCTTTTTTTTTCTGAGACAGAGTCTTGCTCTGGTCACCCAGGCTGGAGTGCAGTGGCGCGATCTCGGCTGACTGCAACCTCTGCCTCCTGAGTTCAAGCGATTCTCCTGCCTCAGCCTCTGAGTAGCTGGAATTACAGACGCCCACCACCACATCAGGCTACTTTTTTGGAGTTTTAGTAGAGATGGGGTTTCGCCATGTTGGCCAGGCTGGTCTCAAACTCCTGTCCTCAAATGATCCTCTTGCCTTGGCCTCCCAAAGTGCTGAGATTTGCTTACATTCATTAATTTTGTTGATTTGCAATGATTCACAAGATTTGTAGTTCAAAGGGACCATTGTCTGTTAGTGTCACAAGTACGGTGCCTTTGTCTGTGTTGCTGTCAAGGAATACCTGAGGTTGGATAATTTATAAAGAAAAGAGGTTTAACTGGCTCACAGTTCTACAGGCTATACAAGCATGACACCAGCATTTGCTGAGGTTCTGTCAAAGGCCTGAGGCTGTGCCCACTCTCAGAGGAGGGTGAAGGGGAGCCAGCCTGCAGAGATTGCATGGTGAGAGTGGAAGGGAGAGAGGGGTGGCAGGTGCCAGGCTCTTTTCAACAATTAGCTCGCAGGGAACTCTCTTGAGAACTCACAGAGTAGAGAACTTACTCACTACCATGAGGATAGCTCCAAGGCGTTCATGAGCGGTCGGCCCCATGACCCAAACACCTTCCAGTGGGCCCCGCCTCCAACTTTGGGAATCAGATTTCAATATAGCGTGTCAAATATCCAAAACATAGCATATAAATTCTGCAGTGAGCATATATATATATTTTTTAGATGGTGTCTCACTGTGTCACCCAGGCTGGAGTACAGTGGCACCATCTTGAGTCACTGCAACCACCGCCTTCTGGGTTCAAGCAGTTCTTCTGCCTCAGCCTCCCAAGTAGCTGGGATTACAGGCACGCACCACCATGCCTGGCTAATTTTTGTATTTTTAGTAGAGACAGGGTTTCACCACGTTGGTCAGGCTGGTCTCAAACTCCTGACCGACCTCAGGTGATCCACCCTCCTCGGCCTCCCAAAGTGCTGGGATTCCAGCCATGAGCCACCATGCCTGGCCAGTGGGAGTGTTTTTTGTGTGTGTTTGCGATAGGGAATATGTTGTGTCATCTGGCCTCTGGGTTTTCTCTTATTTAGGGACCCCCAACCCACAGGCCATGGACTGGTACGAGTTTGTGGCCTGTTAGGAACTGGGACGCACTGCAGGAAGTGAGTGGCAGGCAAGTGAGCATGACCGCCTGAGTGCCACCTCCTGCCAGATCAGCGGCAGCATTAGATTCTCATAGGAGCGCGAACCCTATTGTGAACTGTGCATGCATTGCACGCTCCTTATGAAAATTTAATACCTTACGATCTGAGGTGGAGCAGTCTCATCCTGAAACCATTCCCCATCCCCCCACACCCTTGGAAAAGTTGTCTTCCATGAAACTGGCCCCTGGTCTCAAAAAGGTGAGGGACTGCTTTTGAAGAGGACACTAAGTTTTCCCCTTTTGCATATTTTCCCATTCACCACTCAGTGTTTAAAGGCTGCCTCCCCATACTTTTTAACTTTCTTCTCTCCCAGAAACAATGCCTTGAGTCATGCAGATTTAAAGTCCCGTCTTTGGCTAGGTGCTTACGCCTGTAATTCTAGCACTTTGGGAGGTCAAGGTGGGTGGATCATTTGAGGTCGGGAGTTCGAGACCAGCCTGGCCAACATGGTGAAACTGAGAGGTGAAGCCTGCTGGACTTACTGGGTTGAGTGGGGACTTGGAGAACTTTTAAGGGGATTGTAAAATGCACCAATCAGCGCCCTGTAGCTAGCATCAGGATTATAACATGCACCAATCAGAGCTTTGTAAAATGCACCAATCAGTGCTCTGTAAAACGCATCAATCAGCAGGATCCTAAAAGTAGCCAATCGCAGGGAGGATTGAAAAAAGGGCACTCTGATTGGACAGAAATGGAACATGGGAGGGGACAAATAAGGGAATAAAAGCTGGCCACCCCAGCCAGCAGCGGCAACCCGCTCGGGTCCCCTTCCATGCTGTGGAAGGTTTGTTCTTTGGCTCTTCACAATAAGTCTTGCTGCTGCTCACTTTTTGGGTCGGTGCCACCTTTAAGAGCTATAACACTCACCATGAAGATCCGCGGCTCCATTCTTGAAGTCAGCGAGACCACGAGCCCACAGGCGGGAACCAACTGCGGACACAAAACCTCATCTCTACTGAAAATACAAAAATTAGCCAGGCATGGTGGCAGGTGCCTGTAATCCCAGCTACTCGGGAGGCTGAAGGGGAGAATCACTTGAACGCCGGAGGCGGAGGTTGTAGTGAGTCGAGATTGCGCCATTGCACTCCTGCCTGGGCGAGAGAGTAAGATTCTGTCTCAAAAAATAAATAAATAAATAAAGTTGTTTGTTACAGAACCTGATCTTATCTACCAGAGCTCGTTTTCCATATTTTCACACTTAAGCTGAGTTTCCCCTTCTGATGGTTCTTTTAGCTCAGTCCTACTCTTAGCAGCAGCTTCCCACTTTCTGGTTCCACAGTTTTCCTAGATTTTCCTTGCGCTCTGTATGAAGGTTTGCAATAGGAGTGGGAGAGAGAAAGCTCACTGGTAGTTTGTGGTTTTCTACTTTGTTGTAATTTGTTCTTTTAACTGTATTTATTATTATGTTGTAAAACGTGTTCAGAGATATGTGGAACCCAGAATTTTCACTGATTATCATAAGTTTGCTTTTCTTTCTTTTTTCTTTTCTTTTCTTTTTCTTTTTCTTTTTTTTTGAGACGTGGTTTCGCTCTTGTTGCCCAGGCTGGAGTGCAGTGGCACAATCTTGGCTCACTGCAACCTCTGTGTCCTGGGTTCAAGTGATTCTCCTGCCTCAGACTCCTGAGTAGCTGGAATTACAGGCGCCCACCACCACATCCGGCTACTTTTTTGGAGTTTTAGTAGAGATGGGGTTTCGCCATGCTGGCCAGGCTGGTCTCAAACTCCTGACCTCAAGTGATCCTCCTGCCTTGGCCTCCCAAAATTCTGGGATTTGCTTCCATTCATTAATTTTGTTGATTTGCAATGATTTACAAGATTTGTAGTTCAAAGGGACCATTGTTAGTGTCACAAGTACAGTGCCTTTGTCTGTTTGTGTTGCTGTCAAGGAATACCTCAGGTTGGATACTTTATAAAGAAAAGAGGTCTAACTGGCTCACAGTTCTACACGCTGTACGAGAAGCATGACACCAGCATTTGCTCAGGTTCTGTCGAATGCTTGAGGCTGTGCCACCTCTCAGAGGAGGGTGAAGAGGAGCCAGCGTGCAGAGATCTCATGGTGAGAGTGGAAGGGAGAGAGGGGTGGCAGGTGCCGGGTGCCAGGCTCTTTTCAACAATTAGCTCCCAGGGAACTCTCCTGAGAACTCACAGAGTAGAGAACCCACTACCATGAGGATAGCTCCAAGGCATCCATGAGGGGTCGGCCCCATGACCCAAACACCTTCCAGTAGACCCCCGACTCCAACTTTGGGAATCAGATTTCAATATGGCGTGTCAAATATCCAAAACATAGCATATAACTACTGCAGTGGGTATAATTTTTTTTTTTTTTAGACAGATCTTGCTGTCACCCAGGCTGGAGTGCGGTGGCACCGTCTCGGCTCACTGCAACCTCCACCTTCTGGGTTCAAGCAGTTCTTCTGCCTCAGCCTCTTAAGTTGCTGGGATTACAGGTACCTGCCACCATACCCGGCTAATTTTTGTGCTTTTAGTAGAGATGGGGTTTCACCATGTTGGCCAGGCTGGCCTCAAACTCCTGACCTCAGGTGATCCACCTGCCTGAAATGAACGAATAAATAAAAATTCATGATAATCCAATCCAGGGTTGATTTCCGTTTATATTGCTGAAACCATGTAAGGTTTCAACCAGATGAGATGTGGTCTCCACGATCTCCCCACTTGGTTTTAAGTGGGGAGATACTAGATTGAAGGCTTATGTGGATGGGAATACTTACCTACATCAGTGTAGACAGCTACATTAAAATCCCTTGAGGCTCTTATTGAAGTACAGATTCCCAGGTTCCAAGTTTCAAAGAACTGAAGTATTAGGTTGCACTGTATGAAATTGCTATTTGTGGCCAAATATCAACAATCTCACATGATCCAACCAAATATGATGAAAATCCCACAGTACTGAAGTAAACCTACTGAATACAATTTGATATCTTAGCTGTTTTATAAGGACTTCTAGTGAACTCATTTGTTCAAAAATTCATTCATCCGATCGACCAGATATAAATTATGACTACTAACTCGGATAAGATGTGATCTCTACCATCATAACTACTAAATAAAAGGAAAACATGTGATTTCCAGTTCAGATGAGTCACTGAAGCAAGAAACCCAGAAGGAAGAACCAACTTGTGATGAAAAAGTCATTTTCCAAGTTCCTGGGACTATGGATACCGAACTTCGGTTATCACTTTAATTACTGCAGATATACAAGCCACGACAAACTGGCCTGATCTATATATAATTACAGACACAAGAAATGCTTTGGTTTTACTAAATTTCAGATATCACATTGCCATTGTTCCTCTCTCCTAATAAGAGTGTGTAAATTACAGATACAGATGTTTTTAAAACTTTCTGATAGCCAGCGGGTGCAGTGGCTCATGCCTGTAATCCCAGTACTTTGGGAGGCCAAGATGGGCAGATCACTTGAGGCCAGGAGTTCAAGACCAGCCTGGCCAACGTGGCAAAACCCCGTCTCTACTAAAAAAAACCCACAAAAATTAGCTGGGTATGGTGGCGGGTCCCTGTAATCCCAGCTACTTGGGAGGCAGAGGCACGAGAATTGCTTGAACCCGGGAGGCGGAGGTTGCAGTGAGCCAAGGTCGTGGCACTACACTCCAGTGTGGGTGACAGAACAAGACGCCTTGCTCCTTAAAAGACGTCCTTAAAAATAATAATAACTTTCTCGTAGCTGTATTTCACATCAAGAAACAAATAATCCTGATAAAACTTATTTGACTAGCTACTTATTGGTATCAACAAGCTCTTATTGAATAAATATGTAACTGAATGACATCCTGGGGGCTCATTATTATTATATGAGTTACCCAAAGTTCCCAGAATTTCTGGTATGCAGTGCTGTAGCCAACAGTGGTCATTCCTATATCTGCTTTTACAGTTTTTACTATCTATACCAGTTACTCTCAAAACTTCATGGGCATAAGAAACACCTGGGGGGGTGTCAATTGAAATACAAAATAAATAAAAAATAAAAAACCACTATCAACAACATTTGAGTCTTGCATTTTACCTGTGATATGGGTGCCTACAGACTTTATCAGTGTGCTTCTCATGGGAAGTTTTAGCACTTGAAACCCAGGGACACCATTTCTATTATCTGAGACCGCCTTGAAGGTTTCTTCCCCTTTCGATATTCCTCTCTGTTCTTTCTCACTAATTCTTGGAAAGTCATCTTCAATTCAGTTCAACAAATACCTATTGTATATTTACTATATAGTAGACACAGAGCTCAGAGCTTAAGGAATGTGAAAATGCACAAGACCTGCCCCCTGGCTACGAGGAGTTTTTTCATCTAGTAGGAGAAGCATATGTGTCTGGCTATAATACTTGGCAGAATAAAATAGCTGTGATGTTGAGTTTCGTTGAGTTTTATTTCTATTGCATAGATTGAATGTCTTCAGCTTCAGGTTGCAAATCCTGGTGACTCCAGCACAATATGTGTTATAAATAGCATTGCATCTTGACTGCAAATGAACTCAGAGAGAGAGAGAGAGAGAGACAGAGAGAGAGAGAGAGTGGGCAGGCAGGAAGATAAAAGGTTGAGCACAATTTGGGCGTTTGTTTATGTGATTGAACTACGGCTGGGGCTGGGCTAGGTGCTGTTCATGGCTGGAGGAGGCAGGTTCTTTTCCTGTATGAGATTTTTACTTTTTATTTTTATTTTTTGAGATGGAGTCTCCCTCAGTTGCCCAGGCTGGGGTACAGTGGTGCAGTCTCAGCTCACTGCAACCTCTGCCTCTTGGGTTCAAGAGATTCTCCTGCCTCAGCCTCCCGAGTGGCTAGGATTACAGGCGCCTGCCACCACGCCTGGCTAATTTTTTGTATTTTTAGTAGAAACGGGGTTTCTCCATGTTGGCCAGGCTGGTCTCGAACCCCTGACCTCAAGTGATCCACTTGCCTCGGCCTCCCAAAATGTTGGGATTATAGGCGTGAGCCACCGCGCCCGGCTTTGTATGAGATTTTGTCTTTGTGACTAAATCACTTCTTTGTGTACAAACTTACATTCTGCCCCTGAGCATGTGTGTTCATGCTTAACTGATTCAAAGACTACATTTCCCCCAACATATTACACCAAATGTACTTAACAGCAATTAGAATGTTTGCCGCCTGCTGTGTGCAGATCTCCCCAGAAAACAAAATTCTCCTAAATGGCAGTATAAGTAATTCTGAAGATTAAAGCTGGTGATTTGCAGAGTGCTTGGTTCGCTGGCTTCCTGCAAATATCAAGATTAACAAAGAAATTCATTGATCCCATTTTGCCTCCTTAATGCCTGTGCACAGGCCTAAGGGAACGCATCCCACGTGGCTGTGTGATTCAGATGAAGACTTGCTGTTGCTTTTTTTCATGGCCAAGATGCTGATTTAGTGGCATTTTTCTTGGCAAAAGTGCCCCAAGAAAACAAATCCATTTGTGTATATTTTTACGGGAAACGCTCCACCTAACCCTGCCCCGCTGAAAGCCTTCCCCGTGAGTCGTGAAGGAAACATGGCTGATTTGCTACTGTTCAAAGGGCGACTCAGGTCTTGACTGAAAGACCGTACACGGGTTGTTTGATGCTGTGTAAATCTCAGCCACGCTGAACACTCCTTTCCCCAACTCTAAATACAGGACCCCTGAACATGTTGCCCTCCACACCTTCTTCCATTTCTTTCTTTCTTTCTTTCTTTTTTTTTTTGAGGCAGAGTCTCACATTGTCACCCAGGCTGGAGTGCCGTGGCCCGATCTCAGCTGACCGCAACCTCCATCTTCTGGGTTCAAGTGATTCTCCTGCCTCAGCCTCCTGAGTAGCTGGGATTGCAGGCACGCACCACGATGCCTGGCTAATTTTTGTATTTTTAGTAGAGCCAGGGTTTCACCATGTTGGCCAGGCTGGTCTTGAACTCCTGACCTCAAGTGATCCACCCACCTCGGCCTCCCAAAGTGCTGGGATTACAGTCGTGAGCCACTGCACCTGGCCACTTTGTTCCATTTCTAATGTGTTAATGTACTCAATAAGCAATAGTTTTGGAGTGTAGATGGTGTACCCTGAAATGCACCAGGCACTGGAAAATACAGTGGTGATTGAGAGGCAAAGTCCTTACCCTCAGAGCAGAGCAATCTTTTGCAAACACACGTTGTGTCCTGGTCACTCTAGTGAGACCAGCAGCCAATGCCAGCCGCCAGTTTGGCGGCTTTCTCTGGACAGCTCCATCACCCCCATTCCCTTTGATTGAGACCTTTCTGTGTCCATGATGATCTCCCCAACTTGGAATTCTGCTCCATTCTCTGATTTCTTCATTCTCCGACTTCAAAACCAGCCTTCTTTAGTATTCCCTTCCAGCAGTTAAGTAACTTTCGTATAGCTGATATTAAAAAGAAAACCCTAGACAAATTAAATGAAACAGAGTTTAATTGAGCAAAGAAGGATTCGCAGATCGGACAGCCGCGTGGTGGATAAAGATTTAAGGACAGCAAAAGGAGAGTGGTGGACGGAAAACAGAAGCAAGGTAGAGAAGCAGCTTCTTGATTACAGCTCAGTGTTTGCCTTACTTGAGCACAGTTTGAACAGTTGGCCACCTTTGATTGGCCGAAACTCAGTGATTGGCACAAGAATAGGTGACAGTTTGTTTCCATATCCAGTAAGGTTACAGTCCACTATTTATGGAGAAACCTTGAGGTTTAACTTAAAGTATGCAAGGAGGCAGCTTTAGGCTAAACTTACATATATACATGTTTTTTTCCATAAGTTATTGGGGTACAGGTGGTATTTGGTTACATGAGTAGGTTCTTTAGTGATGATTTGGGTGCACCCATCACCCGAGCAGTATATACAGCACCCTATTTGTAGCCTTTTATCCCTCACCTCCCCTCCCACTTTTACCACCAAGTCCCCAAAGTCCATTGTATCATTCTTATTAGGCTAAACTTAATTTAACAGTAGTTAGTGGCAGGCCAGAGATTTGAAGTCAGGCCTCAGTACAGATTTGGTGTTCTGCCTTCCTCAGTTCTTGGCATGTAGGATCTTGGTGCTCCCACACAGTTTTATCTTTTCCTTCTCTGAGTGTCCTGGATGGAGTGTCTCGCTTCAGTCCTGGTTTTCACAGGACTCAGTGCCCTCCACCAATATCCTGCTGGGCCTAATTCTGCCTCTCTTCTGTGAGGTCGTTGTATGGGGTGGGATTCCCAAGGCAACATACCATTTTGCCAGGTAAATGGCATTCCTGGCAATATTCCTTTGGACCAGTGAGGAAAGTAGAACATTTTATGGGGTAGTGCAGATGTGTGACTAAATATTTTTCATTAGAACCCGTTTTCAATGACTCATTAAAGCAATTTTTAAACCCAGGCATGGAGTCAGGGAGCAAAACTGTCTTAGGGAGAAAAGAGGGAGGTATGTCAGGACACTCATTTTGAAGAAGGCATGACTTTGCCTACTAGAGCTTAGCATGCTTTCTGCTTACAATCCCACCTGCTGGCTGAGTGGAGAGCAAAATTCTTTAAAGATGTAGGAATGTAAGATGAGAGGAACTCATTTGCTGGGGCTGAATGCCAAGTGAAAATTCCGCTTCTTTAATCTACTTCCCTTCTCCTATCTTTCCCCTGCATTCCCAGATTTCTAAAAGGAATCATTTTAATACTTTTTTTTATTATTTTTATTTTGAGATGGAGTCTCACTCTGTCCCCCAGGCTGGAGTGCAGTGGCATGGTCTTGGCTCACTGCAACCTCTGCCTCCTGGGTTCAAGCGGTTCTCCTGCCTCAGCCTCCCAAGTAGCTGTGATTACAGGCCTGTGCAACACCATGCCTGGCTAACTTTTGTATTTTCAGTAGATACTGGGCTTCACCATGTTGGCCAGGCTGGTCTCACACTCCTGACCTAAAGTGATCTGCCTGCCTCAGCCTCCCAAAGCACGGGGATTACAGGCATAAGCCACCACATCCGGTCATGGAAGGAATAGTTTTTGTTTTTTTGAAACAGAGTCTCGCTCTGCTGCCAGGGTGGAGTGCAGTGGTGCGATCTCAGCTCACTGCAACCTCTGCCTCCCAGGCTCAAGCAATTCTCCTGTTTCAGCCTCCTGAATACCTGTACTACAGGCGTGCGCCACCACTCCCAGCTAATTTTTTGTAGTTTTAGTAGAGATGGGGTTTTACCATGTTGGCCAGGATGATCTCAATCTCTTGACCTGTGGTGATCCACCCGCCTCGGCTTCCCAAAGTGCTGGGATTATAGGCGTGAGCCACAGCGCCCACCCAGGAGGAATAGTTTTAATCTGTTGCATCCATCACTCCCTCCACAGCTCAGCATAGTAAGCACTGTATTGAAATGTGCAGATGTCTCCTATGATTTCCTGCCAAATTTAATAGTTTTAATAGAGTTTTAAATTCTTTTTTTTTTAATTTAAAGAAAGTATCCAAATGACAGTTGAATATGTTATTTATGAATTGTCTAGATCAGCAGTTCCCAGCCTTTTTGGTACCAGGGACTGGTTTCATGGAAGACAATTTTTCTATGAACTGGGGGTGAGGGGTGGGTTGGTTTGGGGATGATTCAAGCTCATTCCATTGATTGTGCACTTGTTTCTATTATTATTACATTGTAATATATAATAAAATAATTACACAACTCATTACAATGTAGAATCATGGGGAGCCCTGAGCTTGTTTTCCTGCAACTAGACGGTCCCATCTGGGGGTGATGGGAGACAGTGACAGATCATCAGGCATTAGATTCTCATAAGGAGCTCGCAACCTAGATCCCTCGTATGCTCAGTTCACGATAGGGCTTGCACTCTTACGAGAATCTAATGCTGCTGCTGAGCTGACAGGAGGCAGATCTCAGGTGGTCACGTGAGTAGATGGGGAGAGGCTGTAAATACAGAAGAAGTTTTGCCCACTCTCCTGACGCTCACCTCCTGCTGTGTGACCTGGATTCTAACAGGTCACAGACTGGTATTGTTCCGAGGCCTAGGGGTTGGGGACCTGTGATCTAGGTGTATACATAGAAAAAGAAACCCTCGGCTGGGCACGGTGGCTCACACCTGTACCAGCACTTTGGGAGGCCGAGGCGAGTGGATCACGAAGTCAAGAGATCGAGACCATCCTGGCCAACATAGTGAAACCCTGTCTCTATTAAAAATACAAAAATTAGCTAGGCATGGTGGCGGGCGCCTGTAATCCCAGTTACTCGGGAGGCTGAAACAGGAGAATTGCTTGAACCTGGGAAGCGGAGGTTGCAGTGAGCTGAGATCGTGCCATTGCACTCCAGCCTGGCGACAGAGCGAGACTCTGTCTCAAACAAACAAACAAACAAGAAATCCTCTTCAAGCCCCAGCCCCAGATCTCTCTCTTCTCAGCAAAGGTGACTACTGTTGGCTGTTTCTTGTGTGTCCTTCTGCTGTTTTCTTATGCATGAATATGTTAGACATGTCCATTTTTAATCTTGAAAGATTCTGCCGACTTGCTCTCTAAAGGACTCTGCCTGTTTATATGTCACCCAACAGTACATGAGTGGCCTTCCTCACACCTGACTCCCTAGGTAAGACCAGTCTTCATTTGTTTTGCCAACCTGAAGGCTAAAAAAATATTTCTTTATAGTTCTTGGATGCCTTTCTTTGACTATTACAGAGGTTGATCATCTCTTCATGTATTTATTGAATATGTGGGTTCCTTCTGTTGATTTCTGAGAGACATTTGTTCATATCACTCACTCGGACCGAGACTTTTTGTCTTTTAGTTCATGGATTTTCAATACATTTTGTTCTACCTATTGGTGAACTATGTTGTTAGGTATGTATATTCATGACTATTTAATTGTCTCAAGCAATACCTTTGATCAATAAAAAACATTCCTCTTTGACCCTGGATTCCTTCATGTCTCTTGTAAAACCACTGCCGTAATCTTATCCATCTACTTCTCTTGCCTCTCCTCATCAATACTTCTTCCTTATAGGCTTCTGAGTATCTTTGTAAAACATCAGTAGGTTCTAGCTGGGTGTTAGCCTGAGGATAAACTGATGAAGGGTATGGGACCAAAAAACATATAGGTGGAAACCCCAAATCCCAAGCGCTGGCCATGGGTTTACCTTGACATGTGTGCAGGGGAGGTGGGAAGGGGACAGTCTGGACCACTGGCATTTGGACCACACATCATAATGACAGCCGAGAAGGGAACCTATTTGGTATAGACCGAGCTTCCCTTCTGTTTGACATGTTTGTTGGTGGTTTCCAGACAAGTGTCCCTAATCTATGTGGTTGTTTGCCTTTAACAGATGGTTCCAGGTTACAGTGGGGCCCCCAATGCCTGAGGCCACCGGGAAATTGAGAAATCAGATCTAGTGAGTTGCCAATTTCTTTGACTGGTCTCACTAGCCACTGACGAGTCCACCAGCTCCTTTCAAATTTAATTTCAGGGGTCAAATGCCCCCTTCTATTTGGGGCTCTTCCTATCAGACCAAATGCCTTGTTTGTAGTTCTGATGATTTAGGCTGGAAAACACCGTTTTCTGCCAACGATGCAGTCAGCTGCATAGAACAAGCTGCCATTGTTAATTAGGTAAGTTATGTGGTCAAGGAAGTACCTTTTACTGGTGGTCTTTATTCAGAATAAGGAAGAGGGGACTTGTGATGGAGCCACACAGAGAACTAGCAGGTCACCAGCCAGAGCACTGGACCCTAGGAGAGGACTTGGGCTCTCTGAGCCAGTTCTGACTGCCCACGGAAGATGTCTCCACACATTCCCCATTGCTTGGGGCCAAAAGGCAGTGGCAGAATCTCTGGGGCCGTGGGAGGAGCCGAAGAACAGACGTGGGGAGGGGGAGGATTGTGATCTGGGGAAGAGAGCGTGCACACACGCATCTTGGTTGGACCTGAAGGGATGCTATGTTGTTCTTTGATTAACACACATGCTCTGTGTAATGTCACTTCTCTGGTCTAAAACCCTTGACACTGGGACTTCCCATGACTGGAGGATCAAGTCTGAATTTTATAAGGTGGCTTCAGAACACCTGGTACACTGCTGTCTTCTTTTCCTCGCCTCAGTCCCTTCCTGAAACATCTATTTCAGTTTCTTGGCGGTACATTGTACATTTTCTCTCCTCTGTTTTTACACATGCTATTCATTTTTTTCCTAGAGAGTTTTTCCCGTCTTCCTGTCTCCCCCTTTGCAGGCCCTCACCTGGAAATTACTTACTCATGCTTCATGACCCAGTTCAAATTTTGTCACCTCTGTGAAACCTTCCCTGGGCCCCGTTGATCTCCTTGAAGGCAGAAATAAGCTCCCAGAGCAGGATGAACAAACGTCTCTTGTCGCATTTATCCTTCCGTGTCATAATTATGATTTACATATATATTTTTTTCTTAAGGAGCTGTGAGCTTTTCCAGAATAACAGTGAGATTTTAGAAATTTCTGTATCCTCAACACTTTGCTTGCCCATAATTGATGCTCAGTGTTTGCAAATGTCACAGTTAAGCTAATGTTTCTGGGTGATATAGACATACTTGTTCTTCGGTGTGTTAAGAAGGAAGAAACAGATTTTTAAACTGATACAAGATCCATATTAAAATCAAAGGCTAGGCATGGCCCTCCATCAGTGATAAGCATTGAGGCGTATCTATACTGCCCAGTTTCCTCGGGGGTGGGGGGGGGTGTTCCTCTCTCCTAGCTTTTACCACTGAGATGAAATAAGAATCGGAATTAAATAAAGTCACCATCCTCAGCAAGAGATGAGTTTCTTCTCCAGTGATCTGATGTGGCATTTTCAGCCAGGAATGAGATATCCTGGGAGGGGAATCAGTATTTCTACAATTATAGGTTCTTCAATAAGTCCTAGAATACTAGAACTCTGTGCTCTGCACAACCTACTCTTAGTACACATGACCAGAATGCCTTTTCTCTGTTACATTGATTAATGTATTAAACCAATACTTATCAAGTATCTGGGATGAGCCTAACCTATGTCAGTAGATATATCAGCCAAAGATTAGTGGTCCCTGACCTCATGGAACCTGTAGGCTAGGGATGCAAAGGGTAAGAGTCAGGAACAAAGGCTATGGAGAGATTTATTGTTGCTACCCTGAGTTCCTGCCTCATGTATCCACTACCATTTCTATAGCTTCCTCAATAGCCCAAAGTGTGAGGAGTAAAGTTAATATGGCAGTCTCCAAGTTCGTAGGAGATCTTCCCTGTGGGGTTTTGGAAAGGAAGGCACTGCTAGTTGGAGGAAGGTTGAAAAGAATGAAAACTATGTGCCAGGCGTGGTGGCTCACGCCTGTAATCCCAGCACTTTGGGAGGCAGAGGTAGGCGGATCACTTGAGTTCTAGAGTTCGAGACCAGCCTGGCCAATATGGAGAAACCCCGTCTCTACTAAAAATACAACAGTTAGCCCGGTGTCATGGCACGCGCCTGTAATCCCAGCTACTCGGGAGGCTGCGACACAAGAATCACTTGAACCCAGAGGCGGAGGTTGCAGTGAGCTGAGATCGCACCATTGCGCTCCAGCCTGGGTGACATAGTGAGGCTTTTTGTCAAAAAAAAAAAAAAAAAAAAAAAAAAGAACAAAAACTATGTATTATTGACCTGTGTCAGAGGGATGGTCCAGATGGCAGGGAGAATTCTACAGGACGTTCAAAAGCCAGTGGAAATGGGATTTAAAGAGGATTGAAAACGTTCTTTTGATGCCATTCTGTCCTAGGGTGGAAGTGAGGTCTAGAGGAAGCAATTGGCCATGTAAGTTATTAGATTGCTTTACAAGTGGGTATTAGTGAATGAGACCCAATGCCAGGGATGCTCAGTTAGAGAGTTCGGCTTCTTAATAAAACACCCAGCCCCGGCTCCCATCCTGTATGGCATTGTCATCATTGTAAACAGCAGTTCTATAACCTTAAGAAATTGGCATACAGCTGGAGCTAACTCAGTTTCCAAACAAGATTTTAGTCATTGTATGTTTAAGTCTCTCATGCTTCTTCAGAGCCACCTGTTCACCAACAGAGGAAAGTCTCCAAGTGGAGTGACTGATTTTATGTTTATTTTATTTTAGTTTGTTACTTTTTGAGGCGGGGGCTGAAGTGCAGTGGCAGCATCATGGCTCACTGCAGCCTTGAACTCCTGGGCTCAAGCGATCCTCCTGCCTCAGCCTCCTGTGTAGCTGAGACTACAGGTGTGTGCCACCCAAGGCTGGCTAATTTTTTAAAATTTGTATTATTTATTTTTACTTTTTTGAGACAGAGTTTCCATCTGTCACCCAGGCTGGAGTACAGT
Organism: Homo sapiens; assembly: GCF_000001405.40. Lineage (NCBI taxonomy): Eukaryota > Metazoa > Chordata > Mammalia > Primates > Hominidae > Homo > Homo sapiens. The sequence goes on from NC_000007.14 coordinate 71,370,543, forward strand.
TGTGTGATCTCGGCTCACTGCAACCTCTGCCTCTCAGGTTTAAGTGATTCTCAAGCCTGAGCCTCCTGAATTGCTGGGATTACATGCCCTAATTTTTGTATTTTTAGTAGAGATGGGTTTTCGCCATGTTGGCCAGGCTGGTCTTGAACTCCTGGTCTCAATTGATCTGCCCACCTCAGCCTCCCAAAGTGCTGGGATTACAGGTGTGAGCCACCACCGCGCCTGGCCCTTATTTTTATTTTTTGTAGAGATGGGGTCTCTCTTTGTTGCCCAGGCTGGTCTCGAACTTCTGGCCTCAAGTGATCCTCCTGCCTCAGCCTCCCAAAGTGCTGAGATTACAGGCATGAACCACTGTGCCTCGTCTGACTTTATGTTTCTTATACAAGCATATCGTGGGATTGCTCCTGGGTAGAGACAGAAGTTGGAGGTCCCCTTTAGTGGTATCTGTATTTGTTTTCAAGAATGAATAATGTGAGGTCAAGTTGTATCTTTCTTCCCCCACATCTGCCTGTCAAAGGAATAGTTGTGATTTCATTTTTGATTCAGAACTGTTGCTGACTGTGGCATCAGTGGGCAATTGTAGGGTAACACAGTGTGTCTCTTATTTAATGCCTCTTCATGTCATGCCCATGTGAAAATCTCAGGCTTTTAGTCAAGCTTTGCAGTTCCCTTTGATTTTGCAATATGATTTTGTCAGCCATGAATTGATCTAAATCGATGTGTTTTTCTGTTACATTTGCTTATGATAAAAAAAGAACAGAAAAAGTATAAAGAAGCAACAAAAATGATTTATAATTTCACCACCCAGAGGCAAAATGACATTTCATTGTTTTTTACTTTGAATGTCTTTTATTACTCATGAAGTTCTACCTGTTTTTATAAGTTTGTTAGCCATTTGTCTCTTTTGTTATATGAATTATGCATTCATGTTTTTTGTTTATTTATCTAATTGTGCTCTTTGAGTTTTCATTATTTGAATAGTGTAAGATCTTTCACTCTTTTGTTATTGCTGTAAATGACTTTTTTGCAATTTGCCGTTGTCTTTTAATGTTATTTTGATGATCAGAGGTTTTCGGCTATTATTAAACTATTACTTTTAAACTTGGAAATTCTTTCATATCCAGAATTTGTATGAATATTCACTTATATCTTGTTTTATTTTCCCTATATTTATAATTCTAAATTTAATGGTTTTATCTATCTGCAGTTGGTTTTGAATTGTGTTTGGAAGGGAGACGTGCACTATTATACCCCATGGAGATAGGAAAGGACCCCCAACACCATTTATTGAATGATTCTCTCCTTGCTTTTGGTTTGTGGTACCTTCTAGGTATTTATTCTCTAAGAGCAGGTCTGCTTGTGGCCTCTTGGTTCTGTTGCACTTGCCAGTTGGCTTGTTCTGGAGCCATCCTGATTAAATTATATTAGCCTTAGAATTAGAGTTATTATGTTGTGTGTGACAGGGTCTCACTCTGTCACCCAGGCTGGAGTGCAGTGGTGCCATCATAGCTCACTGCCATCTTGAACTTGTAGGCTCAAGTGATCTTCCCGCGGCAGCTTCCTGATTAGCTAAGACTACAGGCACGCACCACCATGCCCACCTAATTATATTCTTTTCTATTTTTTTATTTTTTGAGATGGAGTCTCGCTCTGTTGCCCAGGCCCAGGCCCGAGTGCAGTGGCACAATCTTGGCTCACTGCAACCTCCACCTCCCGGCCTCAAGCGATTCTCCTGCCTCAGCCTCCTGAGTAGCTGGGATTATAGGCACCCACCACCAAGCCTGGCTAATTTTTGTATTTTTAGTAGAAACAGGGTTTTGCCATGTTGGACAGGCTGGTCTCGAACTCCTGACCTCAAGTGATCCACCTGCCTCAGTCTCCCAAAGTGCTGGGATCATAGGCATGAGCCACCATGCCCAGCATGTTTTACTTCATTTTTAAGATAGAATCTTGCTCTGTTACCCAGTGGTAACATCACAGCTCTCTGCAACCTCTTCCTCCCGGGCTCAAGTGGTCCTCCCGCCTCAGCCTCCCTAGTAGCTGGGACTACAGGCATGTGCCACCACACCTGGCTAATGTTTTAAAAAAATTTTGTAGAGATGGAGTTTCACCATTTTGCCCAAGCTGATCTCAACCCTCTGGTCTCAAGTGATCCTCTTGCCTCTGCTTCTCCAAGTGCTGAAATTATAGATGTGAGCCACTGCCCCCGGCCATAATTATATTAGCTTTATATTGGATTGAATATCATATACAGATGTGTAGCATACAACGATGCTTTGGTCATCTGTGGCCTACACACGATGGGGAAAAGCTGAAAAATAGTTCCCAGGTAGCATACAAGAAAGGGATCCCCATGCTAGCTCCCAGAAGGGCTTAGCTCTTGTTATTTTAAGGAAACTGAGGCCCAAAAAGGAGTGATCCGCATGTCGAGGTGGGGAGCTTTTAGTATCAACACAGTTTGATAACATGCTTCTTTATGCATTGCGTGTCTCATTAGCATGTGAAACCTCTACTCCTGGGCATGATTTTCAGTATTATAATGAGATTATATTGAGGAAAAACTCAGTGAAAGGTCAGCGCTTGGAGCCCATCTTGTCTTGAGCTGGCTGGATTCAGTCAGGCTCTTTTCAGGAATGCCAGCGTCTCACTTCACTAGCCTTGGAAGATGGCCACGTTCTTACCAGGAATGGTGGAGTCCCTCTGTAACAATCTGGGGAGAAGTAATTCAAGGAGAGAAACAGGTTCTTTCTTTTATGGTTGGGAATTCTGCTTGGTTAGCTAAGTTAGGAGGGCCTGCTTTCTGCGGTGTGACTCAGGTCAGCTGGTGAAGGGAGGCAGGGAGGTTGGGGAGGGGAAGATGTGAAGGGTCTTGGTGACCATGCCTCTTGTCTGCCAGGACCGAGTCTCTATACCGGGGGTCCCCAGACCTTGGGCAGTGGAGTGGTTTCGGTCTGCAGCCTGTGGCCTGATAGGAACTGGGCCGAACAGCAGGAGGTGAGCGGCGGGTGAGCAAGCGAAGCTTCACCTGTATTTACAGCTGCTCCCCATCCCTCACTTGAGCTCTGGCTCCTGTCAGATCAGCGGCAGCATTGAATGCTCATAGGAGTATTGTGAATTCTGCATACGAGGGATCTATTTCATAGGCTGCACACTCCTTATGAGAATCTAATGCCTGATGATCTGAGATGGAACAGTTTCATTCTTAAACCATCACCCCCACGCCACACCCCCGGTTCATGGAAAAATTGCCTTCCATGAAACCGGTCCCTGCTGCCAAAAATGTTGGGGGCCGTTGCTCTATACTGTCTCCCAATGATAAAATCTAACCACACGTTTCTCCAAACATATCATATTGTTAAACACCATATGACTGTGCATCTCTGGGTTTCCTTATACCCTTTCCTTTTCCACAGTTTTGTTATTTATTGTTACCTATTCTTTCAGGTGCAATGTTGAAATCATTTCTCAAGTGCTAAAATTGTTTCCATAGAAATATTTACAAAGGTAACATTTATAGTATTTTTTAAATTATAAAGGTAATGCGTTTTTGGTGTGGAAAACTGGAGACCACAGTGAAATATAAAGGAGTAAACAGAAGCAATAAAAAATTCCTCCACTCACACCTTCCTTGATGAATAATTCCTTCTTTTCAGAAGCAGGAGCTTTGGAGTCAGGTAGATAAAGTTTAAGTCTACCCACCACTTTCTTGGCTTTGTGAAAGTGACTCTGAGCCTCAATTTTCTCATCTGCAAAATGAGGAATCCTACATGACTGGCTTATTGTGAAACAGAATGAGATAATGTATAGGCTGTACGGTTCCAGCATAGCAGCCAGAACGGCTGGGCTCACCCTTGCACATGTCCAGCTGGGGGCCGCCTTTCTGCTCCTTGTGTTTCAGGACCAGTGGGCTAGCCCAGTCTTCTCATTATGAAGGCAAGAGAGCCCCTCGTGAGGCTCACGCTTGGAGCTGGTACGTAGCTCTTCACCTGGTCAAAGCAAGCTATGTGGCCAAGCCCAGATCCGAGGGGTAGAGAAAACAGACTTTGCCTCTTGAGTGGGAAAAACTTCAGTCACACTGCAAAGGATGTGGAGACGTGGAAGGTGAAGGATTGGGCTATGAATGCATTTTCCCACATAGTAGAAACAGGATCTGCTCAATCTCTCTGGCAGTTCAGGATGGGAAGGCATTTTAGATGGACTGAGATAAGACCAGGTTAGGACTAAGCTGGACCTGGAGGGGCTGGGGTATAGGATCTGACTGAAAGGTGCATTTGGCTTGTTCTTGAGGAGGATTTTTTTTTTTTTTTTTTTTTTTGAGACGGAGTCTTGCTCTGTTGCCCAGGCTGGAGTGCAGTGGCGCAATCTTGGCTCACCGCAAACTCCACCTCCTGGGTTAAAGCGATTCTCATGCCTCAGCCTCCTGAGTAGCTGGGATTACAGGCGCACACCACCATGCCCAGCTAATTTTTGTGTTTTTAGTAGAGACGGGGTTTCACCATGTTGGCCAGGCTGGTCTTGAACTCCTGACCTCAGATGATCCACCCACCTCGGCCTCCCAAAGTGCTGGGATTACAGGCGTGAGCCTCTGTGCCTGGCTGGAAGATTTTATAAGTGGAGATAACAATAATGAAAGTAACACAAGGACATAGGGATGGCCCAGATGTGGGAAGAAACAGAAGTGTTTCAGGGTCAATGTCAGTAAAAACACAAGCTTGCAGGGCCAATTTGGGCAGAACAGTAAAAGGAAAATCGGCTCATTTGGTAATACGTTTCTCATTTCTCTGCTGACGTTGCAGGGTAACAACTTTTAGGACCAGTTTGGAGCTCTGTAAAGGGCCAAAGAGGTTGGAGGGTGAGACATTGAGTGAGAGCAAAGGGTTTTATGGCCTTCAGAGATGGTCTCGCTCTGTTGCCCAGGCTGGAGTGCAGTGGTGCAGTCACACCTCACTGCAGCCTCGACCTTCAGGACTCAGGCGATCCTCTCACCTCAGCCTTCCAGGTGAGTAGCTAAGACTACAGGCACGTGTCACCATGCCTATCTAATTTATAAATTATTTTTAGAGACACGGATCTCCCTCTGCTGCCCAGGCTGGTCTCAAACTCTTGGGGTCAAGTGATCCTCCTCCCTGGGCCTTCCAAAGCTCTGGGATTACAGGCATGAGCCACTGCCCCCAGCCTTTGGCTTTTAGTTTCTATAAAGAAACCTACTGGGCCAGACGTGGTGGCTCATGCCTGTAATCCCAGCCAAAAATCTGTGGGGCTCAGCTTTCCTTGGCCAGATATGCCAGTTTCAACGTACAGTAGGAGGGCAGAACACTTGAGGTCAGGAGTTCACGACCAGCCTGAACAACATGGTAAAACCCCGACTGTACTGAAACTTCAAAAATTAGCCGGTGCGGTGGCGTGCGCCTGTCATCCCAGCTACTTGACGGGGGCTGAGGTAGGATAATCAGTTGAACCTGGGAGGCAGAGGTCACAGTGAGCCAAGATTGTGCCACTGCACTCCAGCCTGGGCCATAGCGTGAGACTCCATCTCCAAAAAAAAGAAAAAGAAAAAGAAAAAAAAGAATCTTACTGGCCAAATTTTGGATCTGCTGCTGCTTGGCGTAAAGCTATTTATTATTTCTAATTTGCATTATTTCCTGATGTATTTTCATCCCTCTTGCAGCAGTCAGGGTTGTCCCCTCGTTTGACATGTACCATAGAAAGGTTATAGGATTGAATACTATGTAAGAATAACGTAGGCAGCATTTCCTGTGCATGCACAGGAGGATTTTTTTTTTTTAGCTCTGGCCTGAAACTGTCTGCATTAATTTACCCTTAATTGTTTTTAGAAATTCTATTCCTGAGCCATTGCTTAATAAAACTTAAGGTTTGGAGTTGTTTTTTTTTTTTTTTTTTTTTTTTTTTTGCTTTAGTTGAATTCATCAAGATAAGCTGTATTATACTCAGATTCATTTACTGAACTGAGAATCTGAAGGACGCCTCCCTTCTGCTCCCGTATGTGTGCGAGTGTGTGTGTATGTGTGTGTGTGTCTGTCTGTGTGTCTTTTCTTCCCTTTTAGAGAAAGCAGTGCTGTACAAAGCAGGGAACTATGGTAGAATTGAGGGTAAAAGAAGAAAATCCTTCTAGGCACAGTGGCCCACGCATGTAATCCTGGCACTTTGGGAGGCCCAGGCAAGAGGATTGATTGAGACTAGGAGTTCAAGACCAGCCTGCGCAACTTAGCAATGCCCCATCTCTGAAAAAGAAAATTAAAATTAGTTGGTCATGGTGTCGTGCCTGTAATCCCAGCACTTTGGGAGGCCAAGACAGGTGGATCAGTTGAGGTCAGGAGTTCAAGACCAGCCTGGCCAACATGGTGAAACCCCGTCTCTACTAAAAATACAAAAGTTAGCCAAGCGAGGTGGTACACACCTGTAATCTCAGCCATTCTGGAGGCTGGGACAGGAGAATCACTTGAGGCCAGAAGGTGGAGGTGGCAGTGAGCCAAGATTGTGCCACTGCACTCCAGCCCGGGCAACAGAGCGATATTCCATCTCAAAAAAAAAAAAAAATAAAAATAAAAAAAATATATATATATATATATATATATATAAAATCTCCTTCTGATGATAAAGGGTTAGTTTGTTTGCCCATGACAGGCCCTCCTACTGTACCTTGAAACTGGCATATCAGGCCAAGGAAAGCTGAGCCCCACAAATTTTTGGCTAAAGGCAATTACCTCATCCCTGGAAAAGCAACTCTTTATGACTCAAAGAAAAATACATATTTCCCAGGTAGCCGTGGAGCCAGTAGGTGAATATTCGGAGAATATTCCAAAATAAATATTAATAGGAGCCAGGCTGTCAAAGAAGACATAGAGCTTTGTTGAGCCTAAAGTGCTTGGCAACAGAACCTGGGCTAGTCACTGGCCTGTGACCATGGTGTTGGGGGAGACTCACACTGACAGTGATGTTCTCTGGGTGTGTAGACTGAGTTCATCTCTTCCTGCCCTGCTTCTGAGGGAAGCTGTTAAAAGGTATGAATTCTCTCCCCAGCAAAAACAAAACAAAACAAAAATTCCTTGTCCATGCACCCACAATGATATGGTTTGGCTCTGTGTTCCCACCCAAATCTCATCTCTAATCGTAATCCCCATGTGTCAAGGGAGGGACCTGTAGTCTCCACGTGTTGAGGGATGGAGGTGATTGGATCATGGGGGCAGTTTCCCCCATGTTGTCCTTGTGATATAGTGTGTGAGTTCTCAGATCTGATGGTTTTATAAGTGTTTGGAAGTCCCTCCTTCCTTCTCTCTCCTGCCGCCTTGTGAAGAAGGTGCTTGCTTCCCTGTTGCTTTCTGCTATGATTGTAAGTTTCCTGAGGCCTTCCAAGCCATGTGGAGCTGTGAGTCCATTAAACCTCTTTCCTTTATAAATTACCCAGTCTCGGGAATAGCTGTGTGAAAACGGACTCATACAATATCTTGCATTCAATTTCTAGGAGTTTTGCTGGGGCTCCATAGACCACAAAATATCTCATGCTTTAAAGCAGGCTAAATCTTGATGTGTGAACATTGCCCCAATATGACTAATAGGCAGGACACACTTGGACTCAAATGCTAGAGTAGACAGTTTGTACGGGAGACTGCTCTGTGAGGGAACTGAGCTAATGAGGTGTGTTGTTGCTTCCTGGAAGAACTGCAGAGCTCAACTGGAGGAAATTAAACCACTCAGCAAAGTGTGCATTTTTCCTAATAATGAGAGCTCCAAAAGCGGGGCCTCGCACCTCTCAGTGATTCCAACCCCCATCTCATTTTGCAAGGTTCGCTGTTGCCAAAAATGATACCACTCTTTCCCGAGATTATAGGGAAGCCTTGATGAGGAGGGAAGCATAAAGGGAAAATTGGGCTGGTTAATGCACTTGACCCAAGCAGCTTTCAGAGTTTGAGCCCTGATTAGTAAATCAAGGGAGACAGAAGTGTGGTTGTGTTCGGGATGGTATCTTTTAAGCGTTGAGGTGCCATCACTGATGCTTTAATTGAGGTAGGAAATAAGTGATGCCTTTGATCATAAGAGAAGCAGAGGGAATAAATAGGAAAGGGATTTTCATTTGTTCATTCAGTAACCATTTATCTGCCAAGCATTCTGCCAGGCTCTAGGGGAACAGAAAGAAATAAGGCCAGTCACTGTGGCTCGTGCCTGTAATCCCAGTGCTTTGGAAGGTGTACGAGGAAGAATTGCTTGAGGTCAGGAGTTGGAGACCAGCCTGGGCAACACACTGAGACCCCATCTCTACAAAAAAAAAATAAATAAATAAATAAAAATAAATTAGCCAGGTGTGGTGGTGCACGCCTGTAGTCCCAGCTACTTGGGATGCTGAGACAGGAGGATTGCTTGCACCCTGGAGGTCAAGGCTGCAGTGAGCTATGATTGTGCCGCTGCACTCCAGCCTGGGCGACAGAGCAAAACCCTATCTCTAAAAAAGAAAAAAAGAAGATGCTGTAGCTCCTGAACGCCTGCACTCTTGGAGTGGGGATGACCAGAGTGAAGAGTGCCATGATGGCAGCCCACAGAGGGACAGAAAGTAACAAAGGAGAAGTGCCTGATACCAGGCTGGGCTCTGGGAAGGCTAGGGCTGGAGACCAGAGGAAGTGCCTAGCAGGAGGAAGGTAGTGTTGGGCAGATAGAACAGTTTGTGTGACTTGAGAGACAGCATTCTCAGTTCTAGGAAATAACAAATTCATAGTGGCTGGAGAAAGGGCAGGGAGAGGCGATGAGGTTGGAGAGATGGATCGGGCTCAACTTGGGTGCCAAGCAGAGGAATTTAAACCTAATTCTGAAAGCTTAGAATTAGGAGAGGCCAGGAGATCCTTTAAGTAGAGGAGTGACGTGATCATATGTACTCTAGAGAGGTCATTCTGGTCGCAGTAGGGTAAGTGGGATGGGGTTGGAGGCAAGGGACCAGTTAGGTGGCTTTTGGTGTCATTCAGGAGGTAACCAGTGAGGACTGGAACTAAGGCGGTAGCAATGGAGGAGAAGGGACAAATGTCACACAGAGATCCTGAAAATGGCAGAATCTGCAGGATTTGGTGACCGATAGGCATGTTGAGGGGTCATGACTTGAATTTGACTCCTGAAGAGACAGGGTGGTGGCCTTCAGCAAAGACAGGGTGGTACAAAAAGAGGAGGTTTCAGTTTTCAGCATGCTGAATTTGGGATGTTTATGAGCGCTCCACGTGGAGATTTACAAGGGGGAGCTGAAGTTTCAGTGAAGGTCCAGGCTAGAGATGTGGGTTTGGGAGTTGCCAGGGTACTTGGAGCTGTAGACTTGCATGAGGTCACCCAGGACCCGTTTATGAAGAGAGAACAGTGAAGGGCAAAAGAAGGAGCTTAAGGATTTGGGGAATTTAAAGGAAAGGGTAACCTGTGCAACAAAACCAGTGGCCAAGGAAGATCCCAGAGGAGAAAAAGCCCAGATAGGAATGGGGGAGGAATATTGAGTGTCCAGGATCCGAGAGGAAATAGCGATTATACAAGGAGAGGGATGGCGGTGTTGCATACTGCAGAAAGGATCATCAGCGATGGTGAGGTTGGGAAGGTCCCTCCATTCTGGCCACGTAGAGTAGATGTCACTGGAAACTTTAACAAGAGCAGTTTCAGCAAAATAGGTTGCACAGGAGCCAAGTGCTGGGTGAAGCGAGGAATGAATGAGAGGTAAAGAAGGGAGACAGGGAGGGAAAGGAACATGTCAATTAAGCCAATTAAGGCTGTGGAAAAAGAGACTATTTACTTATTTTTTATTAGTATTAATATTATTATTATTATTTTTGAAACAGAATCTTGTTCTGTTGACCAGGCTGGAGTGCAGTGGTGCCATCATGGCCCCCAGCAGCCTTGAACTCCTGGGCTCAAGCCATCCTCCTGTCTCAGCCTCCTCAGTAGCCAACACCACACCCGGCTAATTTTTTAAATGTTTTTGTAGCGATGGGATCTTGCTTTGTCGCCCAGGCTGGTCTCGAACTCCTGGCCTCAACAATCCTCCTGCTTCAGCCTCCCAAAACTCTGGGATTATAGGCATGAGCCACCGCACCAACCCAGTTTTTTTACTTAAATGGGAGGGAGTTGAGTAGAAAAGGTTGGCAGAGGGAGAGCGAAGATGCAAGAGAGAGAGTGATGGACGAGGCAAGGCTCTGAGGTGGGAGGAGGCTGGGATCCACAGTAAGGATGCAGGGGTCAGCCTTGAACTCCTGGACTCAGCTTCCATCAAGAGAGGAGGTGAAGACAAAGAATGGGTTGAGAGGTAGGTAAGCTTGCAGGAGGGAAGTGCTTCTCCCATTTCCAGTGTGCAGGAACCACCCAGAGAGCTTGATAAGGGGTAGATTGCTGGGCCCCACCTCCAGGGATTCTGAGTCCCTAGGTCTGGGAGGAGCCTGGGGTTTTTGTTTTTTTTTTTTAAGACAGGATCTCGCTCCGTCACCCAGGCTGGAGTGCAGAGGCGCGATATTGACTCACTGCAATCTCTGCCTCCCAGGCTCAAGGTATCCTCCCACCTCAGCCTCCTGAGTAGCTGGGACTACAGGTGTGTGCCACCACGCCCAGCTGATTTTTATATTTCTTGGTAGAGGTGGGATTTCACCATGTTGGCCAGACTGGTCTTGAACTCCTGACCTCTGGTGGTCCGCTGCCTCTACCTCCCAAAGTGCTGGGATTCCAGGCGTGAGCCACCACGCCTGGCTTGGTCCTAGGGATTTTTATTTCTAACAAGCCCCCAGACGATGCTGTTGCGGATGCTACAGACCTGTGGACCACATGTGGAAATTAGGGCTGATGGTATTGATTTCTCTGTGGAGTAGGAGGCACTATCCCTTGCGGACTGGGAGGTTGGCCCAAGGAACTTGGCAAAAGGTAGAGGACAGTGAAGGGTAATGAAATCCAGGGTTCTGACCTAGAACAGAAAGAAGCCTGCAGAGCAGGCCAGGTGCGGGGGCTCAGGCCTGGAATCCCAGCACTTTGAGAGGCCGAGGCGGGCGGATCACCTGAGGTCAGGAGTTCGAGACCAGCCTGGCTAACATGGTGGAACCCCATCTTTACTAAAAATGCAAAAATTAGCTGGGTGTGGTGGTGCATGCCTGTAATCCCAGCTAATCAGGAGGCTGAGGCAGGAGAATTGTTTGAACCTGGGAGGTGGAGGTTGCAGTGAGCTGAGATCATGCCATGGCACTCCAGCCTGGGCTACAGAGCAAGACTCCGTCTCAGAAAAAAGAAAAGAAAAGAAACCTGCGGCGCAAAGAGTGGAGCCCCTGGAGGTGTCTCCTTTGCAGCTGCATGAATGTGAGACTTGGTCTTGCAGCCTGCAGTGTCAGCTGTGTAAGAAAAGGGGAGAAGAGGCAAGTGGGTGGTTCTGTCTAGAGCTGGGGTCCTTCAGCACTTGTGGGAAAGAAAGGCAGAGGGACAGGAGAACTGTGGGGTTGGCAAAAGGCAGAGCCTGGTTGAAGGAAGTATGGAGAGTCCAGTTGGACTGGACGAACTTGAAACCAGGGAAGGGCTAATAGATTAAAAAAACAAAACAAAATGGCTAGGCGTGGTGGCTCACGCCTGTAATCCTAGCACTTTGGGAGGCCGAGGTGGGCAGATCGCCTGAGGTCAGGAGTTCAAGACCAGCCTGGACAACATGGTGAAACCTCGTCTCTAATAAAAATAGAAAAATTAGCCGGGTGTGGTGGCAGGTGTCTGTAATCCCAGCTACTTGGGAGGCTGAGGCAGAAGAATCGCTTGAACCCAGGGGGCGGAGGGTACAGTGAGTCGAGATCACGCCATTGCACCCTAGCCTGGGCCACAAAAGCAAGACTCCATCTCAAAAACACAAAAACAAAAACAGAACAAAACAAACAAGTGTCCCAGGGCCTGAAAGTCTAAGAGTAAGGGTTTTGGGACTACGAGGCTGGAGAACTGGGATGAAGAGAGATTATGACTGTTGAAGTCAAAGGTGGTCCAACTGCAGCTGTTCTGGGTGTCAGTGAGGTCCAGGAAAAGCCATGGGGGTCTGAGATAATTGCACTGCAGTAACCGAAACGAGGTGGTCCTCCTGGGCATCCCTGGGTGTGGGGTCAGAGGCTCTTGAAGTGGTGACAGGAAGGAGAGGTTGCAGTGACAAGGTTCTGATGAGGTGTGACACCGCAATCTGGTGTAATCTTCTTTTCCAAACCAAAGGGCAGTGCGTTCATTCGGGTTCCCTAGAGAAAGAGAAGGAATTGGGCAGGGGCAGGATGGGGAGGTAGAGAGAGAGAATGAATTTATTTATTTTTCCCATTTTTTATTGTGTTAAAATATACATAACATAAAATTTACCATCCTAACCATTTTTAAGTGGTTCATTGGCATTAAGCACGTTTACATTGTCATGTAACTGCCACCACCGTCCATCTCCAGGATATTTTCCTCATCTGAAACAGAAACACTGCACCCAATCACAATAATTTCCCATTCCCCCTTCCCTGTCCCCTGATAACCTCTTTTCTATTTTCTGTCAATGAATTGGACCATTCTAGGTAACTCCTGTAAGTAGAATCATACAGAATTTATGTTTTGTGATTAGCTTATTTCACCTAGTAATCCTCAAAGTTCATCCATGTGGTAGTATATTGCAGAATTTCCTTCCTTTTTAAAACTGGATAACATTCCATTTTATATATACACAGCCATCCCTTGGTATCTGAAGGGGATTGGCTCCAGATCCCCCTTGGATACCAAAATCCCTGGAAGCTCAAGGAAATCCCTCACATAAAATGACATAATATTTGTACATAAACTACGCACATCCTCACATATACTTTAAATCATCTCTAGATTACTTACAATATCTAATGCAGTATAAATGTCATGTAAATAATTGTTACGCTTATTGATTTTATATCATTATTATTATTGTTATTGAGACTGAGTCTTGCTCTGTCGCCCAGACTAGAGTGCAGTGGTGCGGTCATAGCTCACTGTAACCCTGAAGTCCTGGCCTCAAGCAATCCTCCCACCTCAGGCTCCTGAGTGGCTGAAACTGCAGGCATGTGCCACCATGCCTGGCTAATTTTTACTTTCAGAGATGGGGTCTCACTGTGTTCCCCAAGCTGGTCTTGAACTCCTGGCCTCTAGCACTCTTCCCACCTTGGCGTCCCAAGTAGTTAAGGCTACAGGTGTGAGTTGCTATGCTTGGCTCTGTGTTTTTTTTATCTTGATTTTGGGGATTTTTTCCCTCTGTGGTTGGTTGAATATGAAAATACAGAACCTGTGGATTAGAAAGGCTGACTCCACATACTACATTTTCTTGATTCATTTGTCTATTGATGAACACCTGGATTGCTTCCAACATTTAGCTGCGAATAATGCTCTATGAACATGCGGGTACAAGTATCTCTTCAAGACTCTGCTTTCAGTTCTTCTGGGTATATACCCGGAAGTGGAATTGCTACTCTACTGTTAACGGACCACCCACCATACTATTTTCCACAGCGGCCGTAACATCCTCCCCTTCCATCAACAGTGCACAAGGGTTTCAATTTCTCCGCATCCTCTTCAACACTTGTTATTTTCAGGTTTTTGTTTTGTTTTGTTTTGTTTTTTTGTTTTTTGTTTTAACAGTAGCCATCTTAATGGATGTGACGTGGTATCTCAGTGTAGTGTTGATTTGCATTTCTCTAATGATTAGTGATGTTGAGCAGAGAGAGGTTTATTTTAAGAACCTGGCTCACATGGTTGTGGTAACTGGCACATCCCACGTCCGCATGGTAGGTGGAGACCTTGGGAAGGGTGTCTGGTGGCAGAATTTCCTCTGGCAGTGGAAAGAGACGATGTGAAGATGGGTATGTCCACAGCGTGCTGCAGTTCTCAAGGGTTTTCTCATTGTCTTGCAGCTACTCTGAGGATGTCAAGGTGGTGTTCTCTGACTCAAACTACCTTTTCCATCAGAATCCCACAGTTTCCGTCCCATGTTGCCTTCCAGAGCTCTGAGAGTTTGAGGGTAGTATGTGGTGGAGAGGCCTGAGTGCCCAGAGAACACGGACCTTCATCAGCGGTAAAGACTTTATTAATTAATGCTCATGATCTTCTGCATGTTTATGGAGCACTTTGGAAATGAATAGGAATTAGCCCGGTAGGAATTTGCAGAGCCTGGTGTGAGGCTGTCATTGCATTGTGAGTCTAGCTCTTTACTGTGTAATCTCTAAAGCTTACAAGATTTCTCCTGGAAGGTCAAGGAAGAGTGCCTCTGTACTCAGTAGAGCTCTGATATCACATTTCTCCCTCTGTTCTTGACCATGCAAGTCTAATTCAGTGAGATCTATCCATTCAGATCCAGCCTGGAGCTCACCGTCCCCACCTTCCTGGTCCAGCTTAGCCCATCTATTACAGCTGTTGTAGATACTTCGTTTGACACTTAGCATCTCCTGCATTGCATTGACAACTGCCTTGTTAGAAGTGTTTAATGTGCTTTAGCCCTCATATCCCAGAACTCTGGGTGATTGGGGTGGGGCAGTGCATGGTGATTGGTCCTGTCCCTTGGGTGTGGCAGATGTTAGGGCAGAGACTGAGGGGCATCACTGCACTTGGGAGCTAGAGTTGAGGCAAGCAGCCAGGAAGGCCTGCAGATCAGCCACACAGTTTCGCCCATGTGAGCCAAGCGATACCGAGAAACCCAGGTAGACCCTCGAAAGGGGAGCGCTCGCCTTAGACAGACCCAAGAGACAAGGGCTGGAGGCTGAGCTCAGGCCCAGTGGTCACCTGCCCAGCCCGGCAGTCATCTGCCCAGCCGTCTGAGCATGCACAGTGCAGCTTCCATATCCAGCCCCTTTAAGATCCTCTTCTGTGCCCCTGCCCTGAGGGATGATGGTGACGACAGAGTCAGGCCTTGGTGCACAGTGGCTGAAGTGCTGCAGTGGCTCATTAGCACAGGACTTTTGCAAGGCCTAGAGTGACTGAGGGCAACCTTGGCTCCTCCCTGCCTGGGATTCTTCAGTTCCAGGGCTTGGGGGCAGAACACTCTCCCACATGAGCTTTATGCACATTCCCGCCAGCCTGATTAACCCCAGGGGAGGTGGAGCCGGCTTCTGCTCACCCACATCCCCCTTGAAGGGAAATCAAACCTGACCCGGCTCAGTGATACTATGTGGGAATACTTTGCCCCCAGCAGGCCATGGGCACGGTGCACCTGGCTGCAGAGGACCTTCTCCTAGTTGGGGCTTTTAGGGCAGAGATGAAGAAATCAAGAAATTGGCTGGGTGCGGTGGCTCATGTCTGTAATCCCAGCAGTTTGGGAGGCTGAGGTGCGCAGATCGCTTGAGGTCAGGAGTTGAAGACCAGCTTGGCCAACATGGTGAAACCCCATCTCTATTAAAAATACAAAAATTGGCCAGGTGTGGCAGCACATGCCTGTAATCCCAGCACTTGGGAAGGCCGAGGCAGGCAGATCACCTCAGGCCAGGAGTTCGAGACCAGCCTCTGAGGGACCCTCTGGAGTGCTCTTGTTTTGTGGACCACCACACAGTCAATGAGATGATTCCTGCCAACTGCCTGTGAGCCCGTCAATAATCACTGTAATCTCCCTGGCAGCCCCCAGAAGTAGATTTACAGCAGCATGGTAAAAATGAGGCTGCTTGATCAATGCATCCCTGGACGATCTTCTCCAGGAGACAAACACATATTGTAACAAAACTTTATTTTCTTCTGAAAATTGCCTACATGATTAATATGGCCTGACATAGCCCAAGCTGCTCAGCATAAGAAACAGCTGTATTTCTTGCTCCCTCTTCAGCTCTGCTTCTCTCTCACTCCATGGCTTCATCTGTTTTCTTTGTTCTGCTCCCTGTTCCGTTGTGCTATATATTGTGCAATCTCCCATAAGGAGAAGAAGGATGCATTAAAGTGCAGGTACCTCGGCACTCCATTCCACTGTGTTTCTCTTTGCTATTTCCAATGTGGCTTAGGCGTAAGCATGAAATGAAATTCCTCAGTGCTCCCTGGACGGACTCTCGGTGCACCTGTGACTGAGAGAAGCAGAGCACGTTCCCCGGGTACTAAATCATCTCTTACATCACCTGGAGCCGTGGAGAAGGCCAAAGCTCTATGCTCTGGAGTCCATACTGGATGAGAGGAATTCTTCCCTTTAATCACTGCGCTCGGGCATATGAGGGCTGCTGGGTATTCTGAGGGAGGGATGTCAGCAGGTTGTCCTGTCTCCTGTCTCCAGGGAGGTTCTAGGACTTCCCGAAGAAGAGCTGGTGTGCCTTAGGTTGCACACTCCTCCAGGTGTAGGGTCCTTTTCCTTGACTATGATTATTGGCGTGGGTGTTTTATTTCCTCTCCTGGAATGTTAGCTCTGTGATAGCAGGAACCTCTAGTATAACATAATACAGAGCACTTAGTGGGTTCAGTAGATGCCTTCATTTGGGTTCCCCCAGAAACAGAGCCTGAAACAAAGGGTTTGAGTGCAAGTAGTTTATTTTGGAGGTGAAGAGAGCATCACTAGGGGAGTGGCGAGTAAGACTGGGAGGGAAAGACATCCCCTCTCCAAAGGGTGTGTTATGAAGATTGCTCCTGTGGGTGATGGGGGCTTAATCCTGCTGCGGAAATTTACATTTAACCTGCTCTTGGGCTGAGGGAGCTGGGGTATTTGTATTAGGTTGGTGCAAAAGTAATTGAGGGTTTTGCCATTACTTTTAATGGCAAAAAAGTACTTTTAATGGCATTAAAAGTAATGGCAAAACCCGCAATTACTTTTGCACCAACCTAATACATCAGTTCCTGGTGTTCTTTTTTTGGGGGGCGGGGAGGGGGAACAGGGTCTCATTATGTTACCCAGGCTGGAGTACATTGGCATGATCATAGCTCATGGTAGCCTTGACCTCCCGGGCTCAAGTGATCCTCCCACCCCAGCCTCCCAAGTAGCTGTGAATACAGCCATGCACCACTGCACCTGGCTAATTTTAAAATTGTTTATAGGTACAGGATCTTGCTATGTTGCCCAGGCTGGTCTTAAACTCCTGGCCTCAAGCGACGCTCCCACGTCGGCCTCCCAAATTGCTGAAATTACAGGTGTGAGGCACTGCACCGTGTTCCGGGTGGTCCCTAGTTGAGAGATTTAGGGGGTGGAGTAATCGCTTAGGCATCAGCAAAGAAGGTTTCAGGCAAGGAAATGGAGGGGCTGGAGTCAGAAGTTGTGCGGTGTGCCCTGAAGCTCAGGGCACAGGTAGGCAGCACAGGTAGATGCGGGTAGATGGCACAGGTAGATGCAGGTAGACATATGCCTGGGACTGATGCCTGGGACTCCCCTAGTGATGCTCTCTTCACCTCCAAAATAAACTACTTGCACTCAAACCTTTGTTTCAGGCTCTGTTTCTGGGGGAACCCAAATGAAGGCATCTACTGAACCCACTAAGTGCTCCATATTATATTATAGTAGAGGTTCCTGCTATCACAGAGCTAACATTCTAACTCACCACCTGTAGGGTGGTGAATCTGGGAGAAGTGGGGCTGCATCTGTTAATGCTGTCCTCCTTAGGGTTTATTCTCAGTTCTTAGCCAAGGAGAAGCCTAAGGGAACCAGTGATTCACGCCTTGGGACGACTGGATGAGGATTCGGCTGAAATCTTACACTATGTCCAGCTGCAGTGCCTGAGCTTTTATCCTTCCTCTGACTCTGCATTTCCGATCTCTCCTTCCCCAGGTGTAAGGAGCTCAAGTACTCCAAGGACCTGCCCCAGATATCCATCATATTCATCTTCGTGAACGAGGCCCTGTCGGTGATCCTGCGGTCCGTGCACAGTGCCGTCAATCACACGCCCACACACCTGCTGAAGGAAATCATTCTGGTGGATGACAACAGCGACGAAGGTACAGGGGTGGCTGACCTGTGCACAGGACATGATGACAGCAGGGGGAAATGCCACTTTCATTCCAACGCGAGCCCGAGCATCTGTGTCTCCTGGTCCCTGGAGCATATCTGGGGAAGGGATATTTTTTCTTTTTCTTTTTTTGAGATGGAGTCTTGCTGTGTCGCCCAGGCTGGAGTGCAGTGGCATGATCTCAGCTCACTGCAACCTCCACCTCCCGGGTTCAAGCGATTCTCCTACCTCAGCCTCCCGAGTAGCTGGGATTACAGGCACCCGGCACCACGCCTGGCTAATTTTTGTATTTTTAGTAGAGATGGGGTTTCACCATGTTGGCCAGGCTAGTCTCGAACTCCTGAACTCAGGTGATCCGCTCACCTCAGCTTCCCAAAGTGCTGGGATTACAGGAGTGTGCCACCGTGCCCGGCCCAAGATTTTTTTAGAGGAAGATATCTAGGCTTACCCTAGTCTATTATTCCTTGAGTCCTCTAGAGCAGGGGTCCCCAACCCCAGGGCCATGGACCAATAGCAGTCTGCGGCCTGTTAGGAACTGGGCTCCACAGCAGGAGGTGAGTGGCAGGAGAGCAAGCGAAGCTTCATTTATTTTTACAGCTGCTCCCCAATGCTGGAATTACTGCCTGAGCTCCACCTCCTGTCAGATCAGCAGTAGCATTAGCTTCTCATAGGAGCATGAACCCTGTTGTGAACTGCACAAGCAAGTGATCTAGGTTGTACCCCTGCCCTTTTTTTTTTTGAGATGGAGTCTCGCTCCATCACCCAGGCTGGAGTGCAGTGGTATGATCTTGGCTCACTGCAACCTTCACATCTCAGGTTCAAGCGATTTTCCTGCCTTAGCCTCCCGAGTAGCTGGGACTGCAGGCACACACCAACATGCCTGGCTAATTTTTGTATTTTTAGTAGAGACAGGGTTTTGCTGTGTTGGTCAGGCTGATCTCGAACTCCTGACCTCAGGAGATCTGCCCTCCTCAACCTCCCAAAGTGCTGGGATTACAGGCCATGAGCCACCGTGCCTGGCTGGTTGCAACCTTTTTATGAGAATCTAATGTCTGATGATCTAAGGTGGAATAGTTTCATCCTGAAACCATCTCCCCTGACCCCCATGTTCCATGGAAAAATTGTCTTCCACAAAGCCACTCCCTGATGCCAAAAAGGTTGAGGACCGCTGCTCTAGGGCTCATAAGAATCATTGACTGGCCATGGATCTAGATGAACTTCCTTCTTCTCATTAGCTAAAGCAGATGACAGTGAAGAGCTGAATTCCTCCTCCACTCCCCACCCCGCACCCCATCTTTGTTGTCCTTCTCCAAAAAGCGAAATAAAAAATTCCATCCCGTGTTAGGAACTGTTTATCTACATTGGAATTCTCCTCTGGGCCACTGTGCCCAAAATGATCTTAAGTAGAAGTGAGTGGTGTTTGCTCATCTTCTGGAATTCAGCGCTACTAGGAATGATGGCTCAATGAAAACTGTACAACAGGCAAATATTGCATGTCAATAACAAAACTCCTGGGAGATCCTTGGAGATATTTAACAGTTGGACAAAGGCGTGGCATCCAGGGCAATGGGGGTGGGTGCTGCTGATGGTGCCTTTGTGTTGGATCCCAACCTGCAAAATTCAGTGTGCTCACTGCTGGGAGCCACCCCCACAAGCTCATGAGATAAAAGAAAGCCAGCTAGAGTGAGTGCCTGAAGGCCAAGAAAGCTTATCTTCTCAGCAACTACAGGATTAGGAGTAGGCTAAACCCCTTCCTTTCATCGTGCTGGGTAGGAGAGGGATTACCCTGCAAGCTGCTCCGTCGTCCGGAAGATGGTGAGGAGGAGGCAATGCCACGGGTCCTGTTTAAAACCGGATTATCTTGAGGAGCACAGGAATGAGCCTCTCCTATTTAATCAGCCTGGGAGCTGATATCCCTGGCCCCTTCTGAACCGGCCCACTCTTCTGAAGGGCTTGGGTGCACCTGGGCCCAGTGGTTTGCCTTCTCTGGGACCTCTGGCTTACAGAGATGGGTCATTTGTTGGATTTTTCACATCCTTAGTTTTATTTCCTTACCTTTGGCCATTAGTTATCTATAGATTCTTCTAAACCTGAGAATGGTTGTCTCCTTGTGAGAAGGAGGCTCTTTCAGTTCCTGGAAGCCTCTAAGTTGTGCAGCAAAGTCTCTTTCCTTGACATGCCCACGGCTCTCTGCTCTGTGGCCTTTCTCTGCACCTACCACAGACCTCTTGCTCCAGCAGTCCTTCCACACACCCCTGCATATTTTCCCCAGGCCAGAAATCTCTTCTCTCGAACTCCCTGTTCCTGTGGCCCCCTTCATCAGCCTTCTAAGTCCCACCTGTTTCCCAGCTGTCTCCAGCAGAGCACTTCCTCAGAGAAGCCTCCTCTGATCTCTGAGTGGGGAAGTAAGACTGTGAAGGGAAGCCATTGTAAAAAGATTGGTACTGTCAGTGTCAGAGCTTAATCCCACTGGGGAAAATCCAGGAGCAAGTGTAAACCCAGACCTCAGAGTTAACTTGCTCCAAGTGCGAGGGAGCTGTGGTATTTATACACCTTTAGGATAATGAGGCCCCGGTTCTGTGCTATCTTAGCACCTTGCTACTAGCTGTCGCACTTACTAGCATGTGGTGTGTCTGCACAGTGGACTCTCTGAACTGGGTGGGATGTTTCCCAGGGCCTGGCTGGTGGTTGAAACTCAGTAAGTCTTTCAACAAGGGAGTGCATGATGAAGCCAGGTAGCACTAAGAAAAGTGCAGGTGTGAGCTAGTGGCAAAAAGACTGGAGGTGGCCCGGGGCTAGAACACCCAGAGAGGAGCATGAACTGCAGATCGGGCTGGATTGGGGTGAAGACTCACTGCCAATGGCGCACCCTCTCCTGAGGAAATCTAGGTAGAGCCCAGCCCAGGAGGAGGAAGGGAAGGTTAAGGCAATCTCAGCCATAACTCCAGCTCCTTGACCGCAGGGATCTCCAGTACAGGGTTAGACACTTAGTGGGTTCAGTAGGTGTATTAGTCCCTTTTGTGTTGCTATAAAGGAATTCCTGAGGCTGGGTGATTCATTGATTGACAGATTGATTGATTGATTTTGAGACAGGGTCTCTCACTCTGTCGCCCGGGCTGGAGTGCGGTGGTGCGATCACAGCTTGTTGCAGCCTCCAACTCCTAGGCTCAGGTGATCCTCCTGTCTCAGCCCCCTGAGAGGCTGGGACCACAGGCATGTGCCATCATGCCTAGCTAATTTATATATATATTTTTTGTAGAGATGGGGTTTTGGCATGTTGCTTAGGCTAGTCTCAAACTCCTGGGCTCAAATGATCCTCCTGCCTCAGCCTCCCAATGTGCTGGGATTACAGGTGTGAGTCACCATGCCTGGCCTTGGGTGATTTATTTAAAAAGAAGGTTTTATTTGTCTCACGGTTCTGCAGAATGTACAAGAACCATGGCACCAGCATCTGCTTGGCTTCTGGTGAGGCCTCAGAAACTTCTAGTTATGGCAGAAGGGAAGGGGAGCAGGTGAGTGTCACATGATGAGAGAGGGAACAAGAGAGTGGTGGGGAGGTCCCAGACTCTGTGAGAACTTCCTCATTACCATGAAGGAGGCATCGAGCCACAAATGAGGGATCCACCCCCATGACCCAAACATTTCCCACCAGGCCTCACCTCCAACATTGGGGGTCACATTTCAACATGAGATTTGGAGGGGACAAATATTCAAACCATATAGTAGGTATCTTCATTTAGTTTCCCCCAGAAGCAGACCCTGAAATAAACATCTTCAAGTAGATGGGTTTATTCACATCAAGAGTGCAAGTAGTTTATTTGGGAGGTGAAGAGAGCACCAGTAGGGGACTGGGGAAGTAAGAATGTGAAGGGAAAGCATCCCCAAAAGATTGGTAGTGTGGGTGATGGAGCTTAATTTCACTGGGGAAATTCCAAGAGCCAGTGTAAACTCAGACCTCAGAGTTAACTTGCTCCAAGGGTGAGGAAGCTGGGGTATTTATACACCTTTAGCAGCAAATGTTTTAGTGTAAGAACCCCCTGGGACTCCACCCTGGAGGAAGTTCTGCTTCAGGAGGCTTGGGGTAAGGCTGAAAATGTGCATTTCTTATAAGCTCCTATTTGATGCTTACGTAGCTTGTGTGGGGAGCACACTTTGAGAACCATTGGGTTAGGTAACCACGCCTTGAGCCCTGTCTGTGAGTCCCATTTTAATGGTTCACATTTCAGTTCTACATGAAGATGTTCAGTGAGTAAGAAAATGGGAGGAGGAGGTATTTGGTTCAGCCAGACCATAAATCAATATCCATTCATCATCCTCCTCCTCCTCTCCCAAATACCCAGGGGACCGGGAGTTGACGATATTAACATGATCTCCCTCTTTTCAGTTCCTGGTTCTGTTCTCTATGTTTTTTCCCCGGGCCAGAAATCTCTTCTCTTGAACTAGAAGAGGAATCTAATATTTTTCATTTTATTAAGATGTTCTTTGTAACTGGTATTATCGAGTTTTGTAAATGTTCTACGTCTATTTAAAAAGACCCCCACACACTGTAATCATGGAATTGAATTCCTGCCAGACATCAATTTTGTGTATTCTGGTAGGCTATGAGTTTATTTTTTTTAAGTCTTTTTGATAATGGTGTTTTAAAATCTCCTTTTATAATGACTCTTCCTTCCTGTGTTCCTAATACTTGTTTTCTGGTATCTTGTTGTCAGTTTCTTTGGCAACTATAGATTTGTATCTGCATGGCTTCATTAATAGTGATGGTTGTTACCATTATGTAATGCTCTCTTTATCTTAGAAGCATACTCTGTTTTTTTTGCCTTGAATTTAGTTCTTCTTACATTAATATTGTTGTTCCTGCTTGCTAGTTCACATTTGATTAAAACTTTTTTTTCCCAGCCTTACAATTTTGTTTTCTGATCTTAAAAGTAATGCGTGCTCTTTGTTGGAAAATTCGAATGTATCAAAAAGCAAATATAATTGGAAAAAAATAAATACTGAAGAGACTAACCAGAGGCAACTGCTCATTCGCCCATGCCCTTACCCTCTTTAATGCACATTTTGCATAGTTAAGATCAATAGTATAAACAAGTTGATGTTCTGCTTTTTCCCCCGAAGTGTAAAGCATAATCAGTGCCCCCCTTTTTTTTTTATTAAAAAATCTCTGCAAACATCATTTTAATGAGGGCAGATTGATCTATTCTCAGACTCACTAAGCTCTGGTCAAGATGGGCTCAGGGAATGGGTGTACAAAGCCGGGGCACTCTGGAGAAGCAGACGAGATGAGACTGCAGATTTTCCTTTGTCAGGGAATTTTGTTTTTATTTTAAGTCATTTGTTTCACTCAGTTTGAATATTGACATTGGCCTGTGTTAAGCCCAGGTAAGATGCAATTCTTTGTACTCTGTACATCCAGCTGAAATCATTCAGGCAACATTTGCCAGAAATCACTGCTCACCAAGTCCAGCGAGCATTTTGCTGCCCAGATCTTTTGGCACCATCTGATATTGTCACGCAGCTTCCTTGATGGGGTGTATCGCTCCTCCTGGTGCCCCGACACTACTCTCTGCTGATTCTCCCCGATCTTCTTTTTGCAGCTGTTCTTCTCTTCCTTGGTTTCTTAGTCCATTTGTCTTTCTACAAAGAATACTTGAGTCTAGGTAATTTATAACGGAAAGTAATTTATTTCACACACGGTTCTGTAGACTGTACAAGAAGCATGATGCCAGCATCTGCTTCTGGTGAGGGTTTCAGAAGCTTCCACTCATGGTAGAAGAGGAAGGGGAGCTGGTGAGGTCACATGATGAGTGGAGAGAGAGAGGGGAGGAGGTGCGAGGCTCTTTTTAACAGTCTGATTTCATGGGAACTAAGATGGAGAACTCACTGAATTCCATAAGAATGGCACCAAGCCTTTCGCGTCCATGACCCAAACACCTACCACCAGGCCCCACCTTCAATATTAGGGATCACATTTCAACATGAGATTTGGAGGGGACAAACCATATCACTCGGCCCCCTCCCTTCTTAAACTGGGATCACTTGTGATTCTCAGCATCAGGACACACTGGGCAGTCTGCTCCACTTTATGTGTTCTGACAGTTTCCCATTGGAATTGTCCAATAGGATCTACCACTCAAGCCCAGAACAATTCAAACCTGTAAGGCCTCTGTCTCCCAGATGGTCATCCTGGGTCTTTGTAGCTCCATTGGTCCAATGATGAACTTACTGTGTTTGCCTTGATCTTTGTTTGGGTGACCAGGATGGAGGAATTCGGGTGCACAGAGGTATCACAGTCATAATACTTGACACACTCCATCACTGGTTCATGCATAGCCATTCTTTATTTTTCCTCACTTCTGATTGAGATGTAATTCACATACCATAAAATATACTATAAAAATAAAATAGACCAGGCACTGTGGCTCACACCTGTAATCCCAGCACTTTGAGAGGCCGAGGCGAGCAGATCACTTGAGGTCAGGAGTTCGAGACCAGCCTGGCCAATATGGGGAAACCTTGTCTCTACTAAAAATACAAAAATTAGCTGGGTGTGGTGGCACGTGCCTGTAGTCTGAGCTACTCGGGAGATGGGGGCAGGAGAATCACTTGAACCTGGGAGGCGGAAGTTGCATTGAGCCGAGATCATGCCATTGCACTCCAGCCTGGGCATCACAGCAAGAGTCTGTCTCAAAAAAACAAAAAATAAAGTATACAATTCAGTGATTTTCAGTATATTCAAATGATTTGCACCTATCACCACTACCTAATTCCAGAACATTGTCATCACCTGCAAAATAAACCCTGAACCTGGGAGTAGCCTCTCCCAATTCTACCCTTACCCCATTCCTTGCCAAATATTAATGTATTTTCTGTTACGATAAATTTGCCTCTTCTGGACATTTGATAATAAATGAAATCTACAACATGTGGCCTTTTTTCCTGGCTTCTTTCACTGAACATAATGTTTTCAAGGTTCAACCAAATTGTGGCATATATAAGTACTTCATTCTTTTTATGACTGAATAATATTCTGAGTATAGATACAGCACATTTTATTTATCTGTTTATCAGTTTAGTTGATAGACATTTGGGTTGTTTCTACTTTGGGGCTATTAGGGATAATAGGGCTATGAATATTCATGTACACATTTTTGTTTGGATATGTTTTCAGTTTTCTTGGGTACATATCTAGGAGTAGAATTGCTGGGTTATGTGATAATTCTGTGGTTAACTTTTTGAGAAACTGTCAAATTGTTTTCCACAGCCAGACTGTTTTTCACCTCAGCTGCACCATTTTACATGATCACCATTCATATATGAGGGTTCCAGTTTCTCCACATCCTTGACAATTGTTACTTTTTTAAAATTATGGCCAATCTAGTGGATATAAGGTGGTATCTTGTAGTTTGGATTTGCATTTCCCTAATGACTAATTATTTTGAGCATCTTTTCATGTGCTTATTTTTCATTAGTCTATCTTCTTTGGAGAAACATCTATTCAAGTACTTTGCCCATTTTAAAATTGATTATTTGACTTTTTAAATTATTGACTCATAATTATTCTTTATTCTCTTTATACTCATCTTTATCAAATATTCTGCAACCAATTTTTGCAAATATGCTTGCAAATATTTTCTCTCTTTCTGTGGGTTGTCTTTTCACATTCTTGATAATGTCTTTGGATGCACAAAAGTTTTTAATTTTGATAAAGTCCAGTTTTTCTTTTTTTCCTTTGGGTGCTTGAGCTTTTGGTGTCATATCTAAGAAACTGTTGCCTAATCCAAAGTCACAAAGAATTGAACCTTTGTTTTCTTCTAAGAGTTTTATAGTCCTAGCACTTCCATTTAGGTTTATATCCATTGTGAGCTAATTTTTGTATATGGTTTGAGGTAGGGATCCAAATTCTTTCTATTTTTCTTTTTTACATATATAGTTATCCCATGAGCATTTGTTCAAGAGTCCAATTTTTCCTCATTGAATGGTTATGTCACCCTTGTCTAAAATCAACTTACTGTAAATATGAGGAGTTATTTTGGGACTCTCAATCCTATTTCTTTGATTTATGTGTCTATGCTTATGGCATGATCACACTGTCTTGATAACTTTTTCTTTATAGTAAATTTTAAAAGTGGGAAGTGTGAGACCTCTCACCTTGTTCTTTTTTCAAGATTGTTATGTCTATTCTGGGTTCCTTGCATTTACATATTAATTTCAAGACCAGCTTGAACATTTCTCTGAGAAATAGCTGTTAGAATTTTGTTGGGATTGTATTATATGTGTAAATCAATTTGGAGAGTATTGTCATCTTGATAATATTAATGCTTGTAATCCATGAACATAGATGTCTTTCTATTTATTTATGTCTCTAATCTCTTTCAACAATGTTTTATAGTTTTCAGTATACACATTTTACACTGCCTTGGTTAAATTTATTTCTTAATGTTTTATTCTTTTTAATACTATTATAAATTGAATTGTTTTCTTAATTTCATTTTTGCATCATTTATTGTTATTGTATAGAAACACAACTTATTTTTGTATGTTCATGTTGTATCCTTTAACTTTGCTGAACTTGATTATTAGCTCCAGTAGGTTTTTTTGTAGATTCTATAGAGCTTTCTATATAGAATATTGTGTTATCTTCAAATAGTGATAATTTTACTTATTACTTTCCAATCTGGATACTTTCTATTTTTCTTGCTTAATTACCTCCTCTATTTATTTTTAAAAATGTATTTATTAATAAATATCTCTTTTCCTACCATGTCAAGGATGAGAACATTCACCCATATACCTTCCTAAGGGTTTATAAAAGCCTCTTCTGGAGAAGACGGCTAAGTCATGAGTGAGCTCAGTAAACATGGGACTCACCATAGTGGGCTATTGTGTGGACCAGGTACTGGACTTAAGGCAAAAATCTGGACAGAATGCAATGGGCTTCTCTGTATTTACTGCTTCTGATCTTATCAAGACCTACTGCCTATCCTCAGGAGCAGGTCAAAGCAGAACATGTCTTGAGAGATACGAGATATGATACAGTGAATGTCTTCCACTGATCCAGGCAGTAGACAGAAAGCCTGTAGTCAGAACATCCAATTATAGATAAGAATGGGTGCTATACTCATTCAGGCAATCCATCCTCAGCTTAAAATGAGGTACATTTGCAGGAGCAGTGTTAAAAATGACAACTCTCGCTGCATCTATCTGAAGTCACACTGCCCTGTTATGGAGGTTGGCCTCTGTGGCTGTGCGTTGTTGTCGTCTTGGATCTCCCTTCACTGTCTTCTTGTGGACTCTCTGACCCTCTTCTGTGCTGTCTCCTGTGCTCTTCTCTTGGTTTATGTTCTTATTTTGGTGGAACACAACACCTGGAAGCTTCTTAAGAGAGACTGCAAGGAAGAGAAAATCTTTCAAGTTCACTCATGCCTCTAAAGATGGCTTTAGCCTCATCTTCTAGGTGAATGATGGTGTCGTTGAGTTAGATGTTGCCTTCTTTCAGAATTTTGATGGTTTTGCTCCATTATTGTCTTTGTTGTTGTTGTTGTTGTTGTTGTTGTTGTTGTTGTTTTAGAAGAACCAAAGGCATTCTGATTTCCTGGTTTTTTGCATGTTCTTTTTTCCTTTCTGGAAGCCTGTAGAGTCTTTATCTTGTCACCATAGTTTTAAATTTCACAATGATGAGCCTTGATATGGGTCAGTTTGCATTGATTAGATGGGGCATTTAGTGGCTTCCATCCTCAATCTATTGTCTATCCATTTTTGGAAATTTCTTGGAATTTTAATTGATAATTCCTCCTCATTTTTTCTGTTCTCTCTTTCAGCATCTTTCATTATTCTAGTTTGGGGCCTCCTAAATTGAACCTCTAATTTTCTTATTTTTCTCTGCTATCTTATCTTTCGCTATCTGATATTTTTGCTCTGTTTTCTTTATTCTCGCTTCAGTTTTTTTATTCTTCCCTTCTATCCATTTTTTCTATTTCTGCTATCATAGTTTTACTTCCAAGTGATCATTTTTATTCTCTGAAAGCTCCTTTTATAACATATTGTCCTTTTTTATTGGAAGCAATATGTTTTCTTGTCCCTGGAGGATGTTAATAATATTTTTTGTTTTAACTTTTTCTCCCTGCATAGTCTGTTTCTAAAAGTTACATTTTTCTCATTGATGTTTAGTTTCTATCTTTCATGTTGGAGGCTTTCCTTAGATATCTGGTGAGTCTTTTCTGCTTATGATTATCTCTTAAATAGTGATTAGACAGCCAGGGGCTGGGTGGAGGGGGAATGGGGAGTTATTGCTTAAGGGTATGGGATTTGTCTGAAAAGATGAAAAAAGTTGTGGAAATAGATGATGATCGCACAATAATAGGTATGTACCTAATGTCACTGAACTGTATACTTAAAATGGTTAAAATAGTAAATTTCATGTTATGTCCATTTTATCAGTTTTTAAAAAGCTGATCAGACATTGTGCACTTGAGTTGGACTTACTGGATTTGACAATAGAGTGATTTGTGTGGGCTGAAACAAGAAGTGGGAGTGGGGGCTGGACGTGGTGGCTCACGCCTGTAATCCCAGCACTTTGGGAGGCTGAGGTGGGACGATCACTTGAGGTCAGGCATTTGAGACCAGCCTGGCCAACATGATGAAACCCCGTCTACGCTAAAAATACAAAAAATTAGCTGGGTGTGGTGGTGCACGCCTGTAATCCCAGTTACTCAGGAGGCTGAGGCAGCAGAATTACTTGAGCCCGGGAGGTGGAGGTTGCAGTGAGCTGAGATTGCGCCACGGCACTCCAGCCTGGGCAACAGAATGAGATTCCATCCCCCCTGCCCTCCTCCAAAAAAAATGTGGGAGTAGGAATTTACCGATCAGTTTCTTTTCAAATAGCCTTCGTGCTAGTCTTCCTTATTCTGGTCTGTCCATTTTACCCCCAGTTCCAAAGGCACCTGCTGCTGCCGGTTCCATTGCCTCTTGAGTGTCCTCTGGTATATATCGAGTTGATTTCTCAGTTTTGGGCATTGTTAGCTTGGGATCATCTGTCACACATCTGTCACTTGGTTAACCCTCTGATTCTGCGTTCTAGCTTCCTCAATTTCATGGCTGTTGTCTTGTCTTGCATTTCCTCTGGCTTTGGAGGGTTATGGTTTTTGTTGTTGCTGTTTGTCTATTTTAGAAATCCTTTTACTGTAGTTTTTTTGTGAATTTTGACTAGTGGTCTCTGATTCATGAGTTAAATTCATCATCTTATTCTGAAAGTTTTATATTCATCTTTGAGAATGTTTAATATAAATTGATAAACTGTCTTCCAGGTATGTGGTAATGTCACATGAAGAGTATATGAAAGGCTTTTTTTTCTCTGTATTCTTACCAACACTGAATTTTATTAATCTTTGCCATCTTTGTTGTTCTGGTGCAGGGGAAATGGCATTCCATTTTTAAGTGTGCATTTAAAAAAATAGTATTGATGATGAATACTTTTTCATATGTTTATATATTTTTTAGAGGTTTGCCTATTGATGACTCCTTATCCCTTTTTTATTGGAGTATTTATCTTTGTCTTATTGATTTACAAGAACTTTTTATTTTATTTTACTTTAAGTTCTGGGATGCATGCGCAGAACGTGCAGGTTTGTTACATAGGTATACATGTGCCATGGTGGTTTGCTGCACCCATCAGTCCATCATCTAGGTTTCAAGCCCTGCATGCATTAGGTATTTCTCCTAATGCTCTCCCTCCCCTTGTCCCCCACCCCCTGACAGGCCCCAGTGTGTGATGCTCCCCTCTCTGTGTCCGTGTGTTCTCATTGTTCAACTCTCCCTTATGAGTGAGAACATGCGGTGTTTGGTTTTCTGTTCCTGCATTAGTTTGCTCAGAATGATGGTTTCCAGCTTCATCTGTGTCCTTGCAAGACATGAGCTCATTTTTTTTATGGCTTCATAGTATTCCATGGTGTATATCAAGAACTTTTTATATATTAAACAAACCTTTTTTACATCACTTTGCAGGCATTTCTCTCAACTTTTGCTTCTCACTTTAATTCATTCATAATCTTTTTTGGCAAGTATAAATTTTACATTATATAGTCAAATCCATCAGTCTTTTCTTTTTGATACCAAAGTCTTAAGAATGTGATTCATTATGCTTAGACTATACAAATATCGACAACTATTTTTATGAGTAAATGTTTCTTTCCAAAATAAATTCCAGACAGAGGAAATATTTTTATATAAAGTGTAAGAATTTTTTAACACAGAGACTCTGTCCCAAAGTATGGTTATCTCAATTTAATAGTAAGTCCTTTAACCACCGATATGAAATTCACTGTTTTTATCTGCTGAATTATTTAATATTTGGAAACACTGAAGCTGAATCACATGATGACTGATTGGTTATAAAGAGGAGGCAGGAGTCAAAGAGGACCCCCAGGGTCCCTGCTCAGGTGACAAGATGGGTATTGGTGCTTCTCATTAAGAATGGGATATGCTAAGAATTAAGAATCACAGGTTTGGGAAGGCAATGGACTTCACTTTTTGGATTTGTCAAGTTCCAACATCCTATGGAAATTTACTGTGCCTTTAAAACTTAGGTGAGTTGTAACTTTAGCCATAAAGTTTTCCTTAAACTACTATGAGAAGCTTCTTTGTTTTTACAATTAGTGTCCTCAATACTCTTTTCTTTTTCTTTTTCTTTTTTTTTTTTTTCTGAGACAGGTTCTTGCTCTGTTGCCTTAGCTGGAGTGCAGTGGTGTGATCTCAGCTCACTGCAACCTCCCACCTCCCAGGTTCAAGCGATTCTCCTGCCTCAGCCTCCCGAGTAGCTGCAATTACAGGTGCCCACCACCACACCTGGCTAATTTTAATATTTTTAGTACAGATGGTGATTCGCCATGTTGGCCAGGCTGGTCTCGAACTTCTGACCTCAGATGATCTGCCCACCTTGGCCTCCCAAAGTGCTGGGATTACAGGCGTGAGCCACCATGCCTGGCCCTCAATACTCTTTTATATGTCTTATTAATACTTCACTTTTTTAATTTACCTTGTTACCTTCTTTGTTGTAAAGCAGGGGTCCCCAACCCCCCAGGCCATAAACTGGTCCATGGCCTGTTAGGGACTAGGCCGCACAGCAGGAGGTGAGAGGCGGGTGAGGGAGCAAAACTTCGTCTGTATTTAGAGCCACTCCCCATTGCTCGCGTTACCACCTGAGCTCCATCTCCTGTCAGATCAGCAGTGGCATTAAATTCTTACAGAGGCATGAACCCTATTGTGAGCTGCACATGTGAGGAATCTAGGTTGCGCGCTCCTTATGAGAATCTAACGCCTATGATCTGTCACTGTGTCCCAGCACCCCCAGATGGGATCATCTAGTTGTAGAAAAACAAGCTCAGGGCTCCCACTGATTCTACATTATGGTGAGTTGTAGAATTACTTCACTATGTATTACAATGTAATAATAATAGAAGTAAAGTGCACAATAAATGTAATGCTCTTGAATCATCCTGAAACCATCCCTCTGCTCTGTCCATGGAAAAATGGTCTTCCACCAAAGTTGTTCCTGGTGCCAAAAAGGTTGGGGACTGCTGTTCTAAAGCAATAGCATGGGGAGGAAAGAGAGGAATAAAATCCCAGCCCAAACTTTAGCTATGTGGTCTTGGCCAAGGCACTTAACTTTTCTGACCTTGTGTAAGTTGGGGTAATAGTAGCTTTCATTCAGGGTTTTCATTGTGAGGTTTAGAGGTAATACTTGCAAGGCACATAGTGCAAGTCCTAACAATATCATAAAGGGTACTGTTGAGTGTGCTCATGACATTATTTGATTTGCTAACTCCAGTTCATTCATCGGTATTCAACTTGCATATCATCCACACTGGGAAACCATACTGAATTGCATTCATTTATCTGCCTATCTCTAAGTGGTAAGACACTTGATGGTAAGACCAATAGCTTGCTCTGTGCCATAATCCCAGGATCTAGCCCACAGCTAAATTACAGTAATTGCTGAATAGGTTAATTTCAATTGCACATGTGCAGAGATTTTTTTCCCCACTTCTGGAATTGTTCTGGAAGCTTTTGCATTTCACATTGTACATATTTTGGCTTGAATGCTACAGTTATTTTGGTTTAGGTGTCAGAAATTGCCTATCTCCCATCACCATCATTTGAGTTTCTTGATGATTTGGACAGTTGTACATCTTGTCACTAATACTTCCCTGTACGACAAGCATATCTGATCAACATCTTGTCTCGGTTGGTTGTATTCAAAGGTTGAAAGCAAGATGGCTGAAAACTTTTTGGAGTGGAAGGTTATACCCTCTGCACTTCCAAAAGGGATTTTGGAGAAGTCACACTGGCATTGTTTGCTTTTCTTCTTGGTTTATAATTGCAGAGATGGGAGAAGTCTTGTGTTTCCAAGAGATAACATTCTTCCTGTGTCGCTGAGGCTCTGAGTGAAATAGCCGAGAGACAACTTGTTATCACACAGCTCCATGCTTGGCCAGGCTCTCTTTATTTGAACATCACCTGCCTTCCCCCCTGCCTGTAAAGAGCCTTCCTAATCAGTAAGAATACTTGTTTTTGCCCCCAACCAGATCATAGCAATGTGACAGCATTTGCTATGTGGGTCTGTAATCCTAACTAGGTTGTGCATTTACATTTCTCTTTGTGTTTTTTTAGGCCCCAGGGAGGAAAGAATGAGAGTGTGTATCTTTACACAAGCAATAGTGTGTGAAAACCCCAGCTAAAGCTTCAGCCACTAACTGGCTTTTAAAAACAAGAAGAACAACAACAAAACCCTTTTTAGTTCAAACTAATTATAGGTTCACAGAAAGTTGCAAAGATGAACAGGAAATTCCATGTAGCCTTCGCTCAGTTTCTCCCAGTGGTAACATCTTGCAAAACTCTAGGATACTGTCACAACTAAGAAATTGGCTTTGGTACATTGGCTTTTTAGCCCAGATAATTGAGAAGTGTGGGAAGGTCAGGTGGTTTGGTATTAGCAGAGCTGATGTTCAGCTGGAATGTGCTACAGTGCCATTCCAGTCCACATCTGCTCTGATGTTATATAGCTCGATAGTCTCCGCTAGCTAGAAGAAACATGTTAGGTTCTGCAGCCCTTTTGGATGCTAATAAGAGCTGCTATTGATAGAACACTCGTATGATGCATTAGTAACTTAACGTGGACATTTCCTGTAAGCAGGCATGAGCATTTCGTTTGCGCATAGGATTCACACTGCCTTTGACCTTGGAAACTTCAGGGTCCTGAATACGGAGCACCCCAGAATGCTAGAGAAGGATGAACTGGCCGGATGCCTCACCTCAGTTATTCCACTCCCGGCTGCCAAACGCGTTTAAAGAAAACTCGAGGAAGAAGTGACCAAGCACCAGCGTGTAACCCTGTTCTCCCCAGGGCTTTACATTTCTTGTGTTCTGTTTTGCTCTCTCTTTAATGACTGTGACTTTGGCTATTTCAAGGAAGAGATTCGCCAGCTTCTGAGCATTTGGAATCAATATCACCGTAAATAAGAACATAATGAAAGAAAAACACAGCCCAGCCTGTAGACAAATTTGATTGCTGAAATTCACGTGTTATTATTAGAATCAGCTGCAAATGCCAGACTTTCAAATGCCTTTGATGGGGTAAGGTAGGGGAATGCTCTTTTAAATTGGGGAGACAACTTGGAGCTCTCACCTGGATAGCCTATAGCTTATGCGTACTATGATGTTTCCTTGTAGGTTTGGGCTACTCGTATTTATTTTCTAAAAGGTAAAATGTAAATGGAAGAAGCAGTAGAGATGAATTTCTCAACAAAGGAATTGGAAGCTGAGATGGCTTTCCTTTACAAAGTGCCCCTCATGAATGCACAACTCAGTGTGATATATTTGGTTTAACACTTTGGTATTTTG
Organism: Homo sapiens; assembly: GCF_000001405.40. Classification (NCBI taxonomy): domain Eukaryota; kingdom Metazoa; phylum Chordata; class Mammalia; order Primates; family Hominidae; genus Homo; species Homo sapiens. The sequence continues at coordinate 71,404,310 of NC_000007.14, forward strand.
CACCTCACATCTCTTTGCTTTTCTTTTCGTCTTTTGCTTTCTTTTGTCCTTTTTGTCCTTGCTTTGATCTCACTATGGAATCGCCCTCAAAATGCTTTCATACACAGCAAAAGCTTCCCTCTTTAATCTCTCTCATTCTTCCTGAAGTTTCTCACTCTTGCCTCATTTTTGCTCCAGCCCATAGTCAGCAAGTGCATTATTTAAGTCTGCAAAGCTGAGAGATGCTCAGAGAATAAAATATGCAATGCAGCCACCTCCTGGGTTATTTCATCTTGCAGTTTTAGATGCTTGGTTCCTCACCATGGCTATTCTTCAAGCCCAGGATTTCAGAGACAGATGGGCCCATGCCATAGTGGCAAGGCTGGGGTGGGGTGTGTGTGTATCACCATATATGTGGCTCCTGTATCCCTGAGGCTTCTTCAGAGCTTCATTGTATTGTTTAGAAGAGTTGGAGGCCCAAAAGATTCCCTGGATGCCCACTCTTTTGAAACCTCTTAATCAGCCCTTAGGCCTCTTCTCTGCGGAGCACTGACCATAGTCAGCAGAAGGCAGCCTAGAAAAAGGAGGCGCCTGCCTCAAGTCCAGAGCCTGCTGCTCCCATCCTGCAGCCTGGCCAACTTTCCACTCATGGTTACAGCCCTAATCCTTTATCTTCACTCTCTGAAACTGGTGCTGATGGCTGCAGATTCAGAAGAAAATGGGATCATCATACTGGTGCTTTGCACTCACATTTGGTCCTCATGCAACCCTGTGCAGTGGAATAATGTTGTACACACTGATAATTAGTCTGTAATCAGAAGTGTGGGTGCTTCCAAGCTACTTGAGGGAGCCAGCTCTCAGGACAAGCCCAGGCCAGGCCACAGCAGCTTTGTATTAGCAGACAAATGACTTGAGATTTCACAACATCACATTCACAGGAATCAGAGGTAACAATGGTGATGCATGTAGGCATGCCACTTACAAATGGTGTGACCTAGGGAGAGTTGCTGGCCCTCTGTCTTAGTCCATTTGGGGACTGCTATAAGAAGTACCTCAGGTTGGGCATTGTGGCTCATGCTTATAATCCCAGCACTTTGGGAGGCTGAGGTGGGAAGATCACTTGAGGCCGGGAGTTTGAGACCAGCCTGAGCAACATAACAAGACCCCATGTCTACAAAAAATAATAATAATAAAATATTAGCCAGGCATAGTGGTGCATGCCTGCAGTCCCAGAAATAATACCGTAACTACTTTGTATCCATAAAAATAAAAAATAACAAAGTTAAACAAAAATGCCTTAGACTGGGTAATTTATAAACAGTGAAATGTATTGCTCACAATTCAGGGGGCTGGGAAGTCCAAAGTCAGTGTCTGGTGAGGGCCTAGTCCTCATAGATGTCTCTCTATGTGTTTCTATGTCTTGTAAGTGGTGAACCAGCTCCCTGGGGCCTCTTTTGTAAGGACACTCATCCCATTCATGAGGGTAGAGTCCTCCTGACCTAATCAGCTCCCAAACACTTGCCCTCTTAATACCACCCCATTGAGGCATTGATTGGCATTTAACATGAATTTTGAGGGAACACAGACATTCAGCACATAGCACACGCTCTGTGCTTCCGTTTTCTCATCTGTAAAATGGGGTCGATCGTGCCTTTACCTCACAGAGTCTTTAAGAGGTATGAAGGAATTGTTGTAGGCCAACAGCATGTGGCTCTTAATAAGGACCCAGTAAGTATGAAGACAAATGTTGTGGAATGTTACGAGTTTCCAAGACAGCCCATTCACTGGTTAAATTACCAAAGGAGATCTAATTTGGCTGACTAGTGTTCTGGAGTGTTTCCTGATTAGCTGACATTTTTAGTGAGCTTGGTTAGCAATTTGGGGATATAAATATTTCATTATAGACACAGACAAGCATAGTATTTGAAATGTTTGAAAAATAGTGATTGTCAGCAGAAAAGGAACTCTGGCATTGGTGGAATCTGCCTCCCCAGTTGGTATTCTCACTGAGAAACTAACAAAGCTTCCGCATTGGGCCCCTTACTTGCACGGGTGCCCTTCGAGGTCATCTGATGGCCCCTTGTTGTGTGTTTACATGTCATGCATTTTTGGAGAACTTACAAAAGTAAGCTTTTAAAATGTTTCTCAAAGAGAATGCCTCAAATTGTGTAAATTTCAGGTCCCACAAAACCCAGGTTCATTTCTGGGATTTGCTATCTCCATTGGACAGATAAGAAACCCCCTAGGTTGCATGAGCAGAATATGCAACCGAGTTTCTCCCCGCGCCACCATCTTTTCGTTCATTTTTAAAGATAATATTTTAAAACTTTGTCTAATAATATTTTTAAAATATTTTAAAATAGTCTTTGTAGGGCTGCTTTTATACATTTAGCTGATTGGTTATTTCAGGCATAAAGGTATTCTCAGGCGCACCTGTATTTCCAGGTGGTTTTTTTTTTTTTGAGATCGCATCTTACTCTGTCACCCAGGCTGGAGTGCAGTGGTGCAATCACCGCTCACTGCAACCTCTACCTCAAGCTGGGCTCCCACTTCAGCTTCCCAAGTAGCTGATACCCAAGTGTTTTCAGTCTGTGTTTTATGTTCTTTCTAGGGCATCAAAGCTAATTCTTACATATATAAAATATTGAAATCTCTCTGAAAAAAAGAAAAAAAGAGATGATGCAGAAATGTCAAGTGTCCTGACTAATGTCTGTGCCAAACTCTGCGTTGAAGACCATTTTTTCACTGTGATCTCTGTCATAAATCCCTAAGCACAGAGAACTGGAAGTTTCCATTGGGGTGGAGAGAAAGGCCGGCATCTGGGAGGGCCCAGGGTATGGTCACCATGCAGGGGCTGGATTCTCTCCACATCCAGTCTTGAAGAGCTCAGGAACTCAAGTCCCATCAGGATGAGGAGTCTTATCTAAGTGTCTCACCAAATGCTTCCAGACAGAGGTAGACTTGGAAACCCATGGAACAAGCTAGGAGCAGAGATGTGCCCAGGGAGAAGGTGGCCTAGGAGGAACCCAGGGGAGGGGCAGGCCAGCTGACCAGACTGGGCTTTAGGAGCAAGCCTGCAGTCCATCAATTACCAGCATGGGGGTTGGAAGAACCCCCTGGCCACAGAATATGAATCAGACCTTCAGCAAGGTCAAGGGTTTTAAATTCACACACACGGTCCAGGCATGGTGGCTCATTCGTGTAATCCCAGCACTTTGGGAGGCTAAGGCAGGAGCATCACTTGAGCCCAGAGTTCAAGACCAGCCTCAGCAACATGGTAAAACCCTGTCTCTTCAAAAAATAAATAAAATTAGCCGGACATGGTGGTGCATCCTTGTAGTCCCAGCTACTCAGGAAGCTGAGGCAGGAGGATCACTTGAGCCCAGGAGTTGGAAGCTGCAGTGAGCTATGATCCGGCCACTGCTTTCCAGCCTGGGTAACAGAATGAGACCCTCTCTCAAAACAAAACAAAATTACACACAACATAAAATCACCTCTTCTGCACCGTCAAAATTAACAGACATAAAAGACCACATATTTTACGACTCCATTTTCATGAACCATGTGTATTAGGCAAATTTATAGGGGCAGAAAGCATGTTAGTGGTCACCAGGGGTTGGGAAAGGGGAGATGGGGAGCAGCTGCTCAATGGGTATGGGGTTTATGTTTGGGGTGATGAAAAAGTTCTAGATAGTGGTGATAGTTGCACAACATTGCGAATGTACTCAATGCCAGTGAATTGTATATTGTAAAATGGTCAAAACATTTTAAACATGGTAAAAACAATGAAAAAAGTGAACCAGTGCTTTTGAGATGTTTGGGGTTTGCGTGAGAACGACCTGGGGGTGCTGGCCAGTTCCACTAAGGCCCACTGAATTAGGGATACCGAGAAAGGAGCCTCGGAACCTGCATTTTCATAAGGTCCCCAGTGATTCTCACTCTGGGAATACTGGCAGGCATTTTCATTCTATTTTGTTTCTTAATTGGAACGTGCCATATGTGCTATGTTCTCGTCCCCAGCTGTCACAACCCATGCATTCACAGTGAGCAGCATGCCCAAACCTCAGCAGCTGCTGGTGGGGAGAGGTGTTGGTGATAAGCGTGGCAGTGGTGGCAATGGGAGTTGATGGTGTCAGAAGGAGTGTTGATAGAATTGTGGCAGTAGTAGCAGTGGTAGCAGGAACAGGGAATGAAAGCAGAAGGCAGGACCATATGGGATCCTTGTCCAGGGACTGACCTAATTGTGAGATTGCCCCACGCAGAGGTGGCCAGCCATCAGGATCCCAGTATTGGAGCCAAGCTTGGTGGCTCACATCCATAATTCCAGAGCTTTGGGAGGCCAAAGTGGGGAGCGGGGGAGGGATTGCTTGACGCCAGGAGTTTGAAACCAGCCCGGGTAACATAGCGAGACCTCATCTATACAAAATAAAATAAATTAGTTGGGCATGGTGGTGTGTGCAGGTAGTTCCAGGTACTCAGGAGGCTGAGGCAGGAGGATCGCTTGAGCTCAGGAGGTCGAGGCTGTAGTGAGCCGTGATTGCACCACTTCACTCCAGCCTGGGCAACAAGGCCAGACCCTGTCTCTGTCTCTGTCTCTGTATATGTGTGTGTGTGTGTATGTATGTATGTATGTATGTATTTATATGTATTTTATATATATATACTGTATATGTGTACATGTGTATATATACATATATATACACACATACATATATATGCACATACACAAACACACACACACACACACACACACACACACACACATTTAAATATATCTATATTTTAAAAGATTCCAGTTTTGGAAATGGCATGCCAAACCCTCACCATGTAGGCCAAAGTCACTTCCAAGGGGTTCAGTTTTTTAGATGAGGCAGGACAAGTAGGTCGTAGGCAGTGGGGAAAGTGGAGATGGACAGGGCAACACTGGGATTCTGGAATGTCAGCTCAGTTGGAGTAAGCTCTGGCCCACACTCAGGGTCTAATTCATCCCAGATGGAGTTAGGCAGGGGGGTAAATGCTAAGCCAGAGCCACCCAATATGCACTTAGCAGACCAGTTGATGCAGCAGCTCCCCATTTGAAGCTTGTAAGAAATACAAGTTCTTGGGCCACCTCAGACTTACTGGTGATTCGGATGCAGGTTAAAGGTAGAGGAACACTCACTCATCTAAGCTTAGACAGATTCTCCTGAATCTCCATACTCTGAAGGGCAATTGAAATATTCAGTAAGTCTCATCATCAAGGCTTAACAACTGTGTGAGGGTTGAGAGGTCAGGTTGCCCACCATTGTGGATGTGCAGACTTGGCCAAGTCCTGGACTGGGTGGCCACTTCCCAAGTACACATAAAAATCCCAAGCACTGACACTTTTGCATTGGTTCTGGAAGCAGGTGGAGCTGAGTCTGTTTTAGGACCACCAGGTTCGTATGTCCACTGTGCAGTAACAGATCAATTATGCTGAGACAGCAGGATTTGCAACAGAGAAAGAGTTTCATGAGTATAGGGTAGCCAAGTGAGGAGACAGGAAGAGATCCTCAAATCCACCTCCCCAACGATTTCTGGGCTGGGGCTTTGAAGGGGATCATGGAAGGTGAGAGGCTGGAGAATCAAGGTCATTCATTGATCAGGGTAAAGGGGATGAAATTATCAAGATGTGGAAACTGCGTTCTTTGGTGAGTCAGCTTCTTGTGGGGTCCTTCAGACCAGCTGATGTCAGCAGTTTCATTGGTATGCAGGACATGAAAGAATATCTCAAAGGGAAAACTTAATATTTTATAATGTTCAAGTTGTTATCTATAGAGCAGTTAAAGGGGACTGTAATCTTGTAACAGGGTCTATTGTCCTAGTCATTCTAGGACAATAGGCACTAAGAAACTATGATGAAACAGGTCAGAGACTAATGATTAATGCTGAATGTGCTGCACGCTTGGTTTATTTTAATTTTCCCCTCACTTCTTTCCTGATTTTTTTTTTTTTTTGAGACAGAGTCTCACTCTATTGCCCAGGCTATAGTGCAGTGGCATGATCTTGGCTCACTGCAACCTCCACCTCCCAGGTTCAAGGGATTCTCCCACCTCAGGCTCCTGAATAGCTGAGATTACAGGCGTGTGCCACAAAGCCAGGCTAATTTTTATATTTTTAGTAGAGACGGGGTTTCACCACGTTGGCCAGGCTGGTCTTGAACTCCTGACCTCAGGTGATCCACCCACCTTGGCCTCCCAAAGTGCTGGGATTATAGGTGTGAGCCATCACACCCAGCCTCCTGATTAATTTTATAAAGTGTATAGGGGCAATTTCAAGTCTACTAGGTCAATACTTGCTCCTGAGCAGGGCTCTGAGCCCAGGGATGGTACCGATAGTTTATTCTGTCATATCACTGAAAGTGCGGGATTGAGACAGAATTCTGTAATGTTCTTTGCTTTAGTTCTTACCGTTTTGTAGCTTTCTTTTTGCCAATTTATGCTCCATGAGCCTGGATGACATGTGTTTGTTTTATTGTTAAGGAGCAGGTATGCATACCTCCCTCTCCAGTCCTTCCTGATCACAGGCAGTGTTCGCTTCTCCCCCTCAACCTCCTCAAATGCTGTTTATCAAAATCTTAAAAAACACAATGGTTCCCAAATGGCACTTGGCCAATTTTGTATTGGATTTTATAACATTTATTTTTGTCGAAATGAGTTTCTGCATTTATTTTTGCAGAAATGAGTTTCTGTTTTCTTCTCTGAGTTTTTTGTGAGGAAAAAAGAAAGTAAGATGTTTTTCTTAGTGTTCTTATAATGTCCTAGAATGGTTTCATCTGTTAAGGATGATAAAGGATCTTAGGTGAAGGGGTGACTTTCTTTTTTTTTCTTTTTTGAGAGAGTCTCGCTCTGTCACCCAGACTGGAGTGCAGTGGCACAATCTCAGCTCACTGCAACCCCTGCCCCCTGGGTTCAAGCGATTCTTCCACCCCAGCCTCTCGAGTAGCTGGGGTTACAGGCATGTGCCACCACGCCTGGCTAATTTTTGTATTTTTAGTAGAGATAAGGTCACACCATGTGGCTAGGCTGGTCTCGAACTCCTGAGCTCAAGTGATCTGCTTGTCTAAGCCTCCCAAAGGGCTGGGATTATAGGAATGAGCCACCGTGCCTGGCCAAGGGGGTGACTTTCTAACCAGTGTCAGGTTGGGGATTTGTGTGCTTCCATGGGAGCCTGGGGGCCTTGTTTTACTTGGCTAATTTATAGACTCATTCACTTTAAGGTGAATTTGGGCTCTTGCACCCCACCTCTTCTTCGGTTTCTCTCCGTTTTCAAATCTCAACACCCTAATGCTCTTAGGCTGTCTCAGATGTGTTCCACCAGAGCCAGGCTTCCTGGAAGTCCCTCTTGAGATGTCCCACTCATCCAGTTCTCCTTGTATTGACCCTGCCCCTGCAGGAGACAGCTGCATCTGCAGGGATTTCTTTTTTCTCACTGGTACTATCAGGGGCCTTCTGTTTGTCTTGATCAACGGACCATTCTCAGCTTGCATTTTCTCTAATGCATTTGACTTTCCTGACCCTGGAGGTTGAGCAGCTTTTGGAGGACAGGGACTCTGAACCTTCTCACCCACAGAGGCTCCTTTAAATATTTATAAAATGAATGCACATATCCTTCTTCCAGAAACTCTGCCAAACACTTCACAGGATAATGCTTCGGAACTGGTGTCATAGGAGCATTATCCTGTAAAGTGCTGGACTCTGTTTCAACACCTGCAGATGATGCTCTTGGGCTCTCAGGTTTGAGAACTTCATTTCCTCCTTGGAGTCCCGTCTGTACCGCCTTGAGTATGGCTTCTCCAGCCCTTCTTCCTTCTACATTCTCTATCCAGCCCTGTACAAAATAAAAGACATTAGCTGGGCATGGTGGTGCACGCCTTTAGTTCCAGCTGCTCGGGAGGCTGAGGCAGGAGGATTGCTTGAGCCCGGGAGGTCGAGGCTGCAGTGAGCCATGATTGCTCACTAGCCCTCCTTCCTGCCTCCTAAATACATGTGTTCCACAACGTGTGGTTCTAAGTCTTCTTCCCTGCATTTCCTGGAACTGTCACCTTCTCTCCTAGGCCATCATCTCCCTTTTTTTTTTTTTGAGACGGAGTCTCGCTCTGTTGCTGAGGCTTGAGAGCAGTGGAGCAATCTCGGCTCACTGCAACTTCCGCCCCACCAGGATCATGCGATTCTCCTGCCTCAGCCCCGCTGAGAGGCTGGGATTACATATGCCCGCCACCACACCCGGCTAGTTTTTGTATTTTTAATAGAGACGGGGTTTCTCCATGTTAGGACATCATCTCTTATCACTCAGTGCCTGACACCTCTGCCCTGTTTTCTCACCTCCAGACCATTGTCGTGGTTCAGCTGCCTACCCCAGAATGTCCTCTGGCCCCCTCAACCTGTCCTCAGAGAAACTCATCAACTTGTTCTTCTCTTCTCTTCTTTTTCTCTTTTTAAATCAATCTTATCTGGCTAAGTGTGGTGGCTCACGCCTGTAATCCTAGCACTTTAAGAGGCTGAGGTAGGGGGATCACTTGAGGCCAAGAGTTCGAGACCAGCAGGGCCAACATAGCAAAATTCTGTCTCCACTAAAAATACAAAAATGAGCCGGGCATGGTGGCAGGCACCTGTAGTCCCAGCTACTTGGGAGGCTGAGGCAGGAGAACTGTTTGAACCCAGGAAGTGGAGGTTGCAGTGAGCTGAGGTCACGCCACTGTACTCCAGCCTGGGTGGCTGAGCAAGCTTCCATCTGAAAAGGAAAATAAAATAAAAATAAAATAAATCAATGGCATCTTCCCAGTTTCCTAGACTGAAACTTTGATGCTCATGATACTGTCATCTAAGTAGATCCAATTTTTCACTTAGGTGTTTTTTGGTGTGGTATTTTAGAATAGTGAGAGCTCACGTCCAGATCTGCTGCATAACTTAAACAACTTTTTCCGTTAATGCTCCCAGCCAAAACAGTTTCTCTGTCTGTGACTCCTCACAGCACTCTTCCTCCGTGACCATTTTTTTTGGGCGAGTGGGGGCCATTAGCCTCATTTACCTTATAATATTGAATATTATAATTTGTTTTTATTTTATTTTTTTTTTAGGCAGAGTTTCGCCCTTGTTTCCCAGGCTGGAGTGCAGTGGTGCGATCTCGCCTCACTGCAACCTCCGCCTCCCAGGTTCAAGCAATTCTCCTGCCTCGGCCTCCCGAGTAGCTGGGATTACAGGTACCCGCCACCATGCCCAGCTATTATTTTTTGTATTTTTTTTTTAGAAGAGACAGGGTTTCTCCATGGTGGCCAGGCTGGTCTCAAACTCCTGATCTCAGGTGATGCACCTGCCTTGGCCTCCCAAAGTGCGCCTTCCTATAATTTTTAAACGTATCTCATCTCCTTAACTCGATTGTAAGCATCTTGAGGGAGCACTTGTGTCTGAATTGTCTTTGAGCACAGGCCAGAGCACAACTCAGTATCTTATAAAGTCCAGAATCACACTGCAGGGACTGGGAAGGAAGCCTGCTCAGTGTCACTTGTTCTTAAACCCTGATCATTGGAGGTGGCATCTACCTTGATGTTTCCATACACTGTTGTTTGGAACAGTGTATCCCTGTACATTGTAAGAGTGAGAATGGTGTCTACTGCTATACAGTAGGCCCTAGACTTTATAAATCATTTTGGTGGCCAGGCACAGTGGCTCATGCCTGTAATCCCAGCACTTTGGGAGGCTGAGGTGGGTGGATCACCTGAGGCCAGGAGTTCGAGACCAGCCTGACCAACATGGCGAAACCCCATCTCTACTAAAAATACAAAATTAGCCGGCTGTGGTGACACATGCCTGTAGTACCAGCTACTCGGGAGGCTGAGGCAGGAGAATCACATGAACCCAGGAGGTGGAGGTTGCAGTGAGCTGAGATCGCGCCACTGCATTTCAGCCTGGGCAACGAAAGAGAAACTCCGTCTCAAAACGTAAAAATAAATAAAAATAAAAATGATATTGGCTAGTTAGAAAGACAATCTGTTGTTCATAGGAAGTTATGTAATTGATCAACATTAATAATTATGATAAACCAATTATTATTAGATTTACCATTTATTGAATGCATATTGAGTGCTTTCTATATAGCTTTTCCTTTAGTTGTAGCAGCCATAAGGCTAGTACCAAATGATTAGGCCTTATCCTTTTACTCCTTTAATACCTCCCAAAGCTCTTTAGATGTGAGAAGGCCAGTGGTAATGACCCACACTTTCTTTTGCCAACCTTGCCAATCCCTACCCATATATCTTCCCTGAAGTCTCGCAACTTCTTAACAAATGAGGAACTCATTTGATACCCGGATGTGGTGAGTGATGTAGCCAGGAGCTGACATCCTGTTCCTGGGAAGAGCCACGACTAAGTTGCAGGTCACGTGGCAGCTAAGAGGTAACAGTGCCTCCAGAACTCCTGGCATGGTGCCCAGCGCTCAGCATTCAGAATATTCTCCCTGAACTTACAGAGATTCCTGCAGTCACAAGCCAACCCTGGTCAGCAGGCGGGATTCCCCTTGTAGCATTCCATGACCTGTGGCCTTTAGTGACATGTCCCTGAGTCCCCCAGCACCCATGCAGGACATGTACCTGGAGTGCAAGTATCTAAGAATCCCCTCCCTGTTAGCCCCTCCTTTTCCTCCCTATACCTGGTGATTTTTATGCACACAAAGTATCACTTTTTTTTTTTAAATGCCTTTAGTTTTATTTATTCTTAAAATTAGACACCAGGTCTTTCTCTGTTGCCCAGAATGGAGTGCAGTAGTGTAACTATAGCTCACTGCAGCCTCCTGAGTTCAAGTGATTCTTCTGCTTTGGCCTCCCGAGTAGCCGGAAGTACAGGTGCACAACACTGCACTCAGCCAAGTATCAGTCTTTATGTCTATAGAGTTAGATTCAGTTGAGTTGTGTTTCAGCTCTCCCGTTAGCCCATATGTGACCTTGGAACAGGTTAGCCTCCCTAAGATTATGTCTTCATTTGCAAAATAGAATTAATTTAGTTAATTAATGAAATTAATCTAGCAACCTCCTAGGGTTTCTGCAAGGATAAAATTAGCTCATAGAAATGAAGCACTTTGCCACCTGCTTGTTGCAGAAGGGAGGGTATTCAATCCCTGGTAGCATTAGTTCTGCCTCCAAGGTAGCATTTCTACTACTGAGCAAAGACTTACATTGCATCCCAAGGCACGTACTGTAAGAACGAGTCTGTGTGCAGATGGAAAAGCCCATATAGAATTTGATAAACCGGACAAGGATTCTGGCCAAGTTTGGAGGAAGGGCCACTAAGAAAAGGAATCTTGAAGGACGTCTGCCGGCTCATAGCAGCCGGGATATAAAAGCCAGGCCTGGTTCCCATCCCGCTGTACGGATTGCAAACTGTCAGAAGATAGCTGTCCTGGGTGAATGCATCAGAGATGTCTTCTGACTCCTAGACTGATGAGATTTTCTTTTCTGCCAGAATTACTAACATGCGATTTTTTTTGAGATCTTTGAACTCCCTGAAGATCTGTGGGCATTGCAGTGGGTTAGATGCAAATTTGAAATGACATGTTTATAGACCTTCTTGCATTTTTGTCATTTGCAGAGGAGCTGAAGGTCCCCCTAGAGGAGTATGTCCACAAACGCTACCCCGGGCTGGTGAAGGTGGTAAGAAATCAGAAGAGGGAAGGCCTGATCCGCGCTCGCATTGAGGGCTGGAAGGTGGCTACCGGGCAGGTCACTGGCTTCTTTGATGCCCACGTGGAATTCACCGCTGGCTGGTAGGTCATGAGCTGAAACTCAGGGGTGCTCAAGACCTGCATTGTGGTTGAGAGGGGCTGGAATCTGGGAGGTGGGACATTTCACCTGTTACCTGTAGTGGCACTGGGAGACTAGAGAGAGACTCGTCAAAGAAGAAAGTGAGACCATTGTCTGGGATAAAGCTAGGGAGCAGGGAGAAATTTGTCTGCCGTCTGTTCAGTTCACCATCATTGGCATCATCGTCATCATCATCGTCATCAAAATCCCCAGTGAAAATGTTTTATCAGGCTGGGCATGGTGGCTTGCGCCTGTAATCCCTACACTTTAGGAGCCCAAGGTGGGTGGATCATTTGAGGTCAGGAGTTTGAGACCAGCCTGGGCAACATGGTGAGACCCTGTCTCTACTAAAAATACAGAAATTAACCTGGCATGGTGGAGCACGCCTGTAGTCTCGGCTACTTGGGAGGCTGAGGCAGGAGAATCGCTTGAACTTGGGATGCCAAGGTTGCAGTGAGCCTAGATCGCGCCACTGCACTCCAGCCTGGGTGACAGAGAGAGACTCCATCTCAAAAAAAAAAGAAAAAAAGAAAACGGTGTATCAATTAGATAAAACTCAACAGAATCCTTGCAAATGGTACAAGACAGTCATATTTTTCTTGTTCTCTTTTCCTTCTTTGCTGCTCTGTTTGCAGGGAAGGATGGTTGTCTGTCATTGTGAGAAAAGAGATATAGTTATAATTCTAACTACTCAGGTAAAGCTCCCCAGAATGTATGGGATTATCTTTCACATCATTCGGAGGAAGGTGAAGCGCATTTTCTGCAGATAGGCCCTGATATTTTTCCAGGTGAAAAGAACAGAATGTGAGAAATTGGTTGAGTGTACGGGGAGTAGAAGATTTTGGATGCACAAAGAGTGAGGCCACAAAAATGCCAGAATCATGTTAAAATTGGAATAGGACTTTCCAGTTTTAAAGCATGGTCAGATAATTGTTGCTAAGTAACCAATGATCCATCAAGTTAGAGGTTAAATAACCTGTACCCTGGGTTGCTTAATTAGTAAGAAGCAGAGTCTTGTATTTCACAAATATGTTTATTTACACTCATTGAGGCCTTCTTGAGTAAGTGTTGTTCACTGTACTAGATTTGAAGAACCAATATCCCATCACTAATTAACATTAAAATGTCTGTTCTTCTTCATTTGCAACAACCTCTAGAATCCTTTTAATGGCAGGATAAAAAGACAATGTTTATGCATGTGACCACGTAAGAAACCCAGGGCCACTGATAACACTGACCCCTTCAAGTGCATGCTGGGGTCTATTGCCATCTCGGCCGCCAATTTTCCCTCCCAGTTTTTTGCTGTCATCAAACCCTGGTGACACCCAGCTGCATGTCTTCAGCCCTCATCTCTCTCCTGAGCTCCAGAGCTGTTTATCTCTAGTAATAATCATTCCCAAAGTGTGGCGCCCCAGACCCACAGCATCCGCAGAATCTGAGAACTTGTCGGAAATGCAAATTCCTGGGCTCCACTCAGTCCCCTGAAATCAGAAGCCGTGCAGGTGAGATCCAGCGATCTGTTGTAATCAGCCCTCCAGAGGACTCTGATGCATGCTACAGTTTGAGAAGCACTGAGCCATAATGGAAGCCTTCTGAAAAAGATTCAGGCGAATGTTCCGTTACAGCCTCAGGCCTGGCATACCTTGTCTTTTCCTTGGCATCATTGCCTCCTCGTTTCTTTCCTTTCAAAACTGAAAGGACATGGCCCCGACACATGTCCCTTTCCCTTGATTTTCCCCTTGCCATCATGTTACTCATCCTGTCAACCTCCACCTCCAGCCAGTTTTGTCTGCCATTTCTCCTGTCTCCCTCTTTCTCTCTATCTTGACCACCACTCTCCTAGCTTGGTTCTTTCTTGACATTCACCTAAACCAATGCGGTCACTGCTGGAACTCATTCTTTTGGCAGATACTTGCTAGATGCCTACCATATCCCTGGTGCTGTTCTAGGTTTGGAGTTTGGCACTGAGTGATTTCTCAGGACTTTCAGTGGTAAGGCTGGAAGAGTACTGCACAAACTGGGACAGTTGGACACTAAGCTGGGGTTCAAAATCCAGCAGGTTTGGTATCTGCCCTCAAGTCTACAGTCTAATTCTAGTCTACCTAATCAAATCCACCTATCATCTAATTCTCACTGATGTCTGTGACTTTAGTCTTTGCCATTCAGACGCATTTTCCACACTTCTACCCGGGTGGCATAGAACCCTCTCTGAATTAAAACCCCTTGGCAGTTCTTCATTACAAGGTAGACAGTGTGTCTCAACTTTTACCAGGTTCTACTGCAATAAAAGTCTCCAGTCACAATGACTTACAACAATACATGTTTCTCTCTTGTCTGCATGGCACGTCAGCTGCGGTTGTCTGGCTGTGGCTGTGCTTGATTTCTCCTCTGTGTTCTGAGAGTCAAGGAATCCTCCTGTCTAGGACATTCCATCTTTGTGGCTCAGGGAAAAGAACAGTGGCTGAACTTCGAAATGGCTGTTTCTGCTCTGATGTGACACCGTCATTTTGCTCACATCCCATTGGCAAACCAATTCACATGTCCAAGTTAAATGGGAATTGGAGACTGGGGGAAGGAGTGTGCTTCTCTAAGGAAGCATTGCAGGCCACCTGGTAATAGGCAGGACATCCCCAGGGAGGAGGGAGCAAATTATTGGGAATCGTCATACATTGTCTAGTAGACAGTAAGATCAAAATTCTCAGCCGCAGAAATATCAGTGGGACCAGGCGTGGTGGCTTACACCTCTCAGCACTTTGGGAGGCTGAGGCGGGCGGATCACCTGAGGTCAGGAGTTCGAGACCAGCCTAGCCAACATGGCGAAACCCTGTCTCTACTAAAAATACAAATACAGGCGCCTGTAATCCCAGCTACTCAGGAGGCTGAGGCAGGAGAATCGCTTGAACCTGGGAGGCGGAAGTTGCAGTGAGCTGAGATCATGCCATTGCACTATAGCCTGAGAGACGAGTGAAACTCCGTCTCAAAAAGAAAAAAAAAGAAATATCATTGGAACCAAGGTCTTCTGCCTCCATACTCAGTGACTCTTTCGCTGCTGATAGATGGGCTGAACTGAATGCTTCTAATGCATGATCTGGACTTGCATGGGGTTCATCATGGTTCATCAAAGAGGTAGTGGAGCTTCAGAATTAAGACATGAACCAGACCAGCTAGGTTAGAAACCTCCTTCTACCACCACTTGGCTGTATAACCTGGGGCAAGCTACTTAACCTCCCTGGTCCTCAGTATCCTCATTTATATAATGCTGATCATTGTATCTACCTCATACGATTATCTTGGGGGTTGCATTAGTCAACACATGTGAAATATTTCGAATGGCCCCCAGCACTAGTAAGTGCTTAATAAAGATCAGCTATCATTAGCTCATAAGGAAAAATAATTCGTGTTCAGAGTTGATTAGCAAAGGCAGCTGCGCAGTCATTGTGACTTGAATAAGGTGGGGAAAATGATCTAAGAGTTGAGAGGAAGAACTCCCACGGGAGAGGTGGTACTTGGTCTTGGGACCAGGTGGTGAGAGAGGTGTGGGAGGTGGTACTTGGTCTTGGGACCAGGTGGTGAGTGAGGTAGGAGAGATGGTACTTGGTCTAAGCCTCCTTAGATGGCTGTGCTCTCTGCCAGTAGCAAAGGGCATCCCCAGGGGAGAATTTCATGAGTGGAGGCTTGGCCAGGGCCATGGTCCTAAGCCTGCCTGGAAGCCTTGGAAAATTAGTGCCATTTGGCTTCAGCTTATATGGTGTGTGCAGAAGTATTGGAAGCAGGTAATGGCCCAGGGTATATTTTATTGCTCATTTTAAATAGAAAGATGAGATGAGCCAACAGGTAATTCAATAGCTGCAAATGAAAAGAGATGGGTTGTCGACTGTGTGTTCTCATTATTCTTCCCGATAATGCAGAGGAATGGGATTTTCGCTTGACTCTGTTCCAAAGCCTGCATTCTGTTATAAGCTGGGAGATTAATGCCCTGGCTTAGGAGAGCCATCTTCTCCTTCTCGAATATGGGAAATGATCCCTTCCCGCGCCTGCCTCGGAGACACACGATGGTGGAGGTGTCTGGCCATCTGCTGTCTCCTAAGCCAGTCGGGCTACACCTTGAACCTGGAGCCAGATTCCTGACGAATTACCTGCTGCAGCCTCGAGCTGGGGAAGTGAGCAGGAAGCTGGGATTCTGCCTGCCTTTGCATTTAATTAGTTTCCAGTCTCCTATTGCTAACCAATTCAATTAGATCCCTTTAAGAAATCAATTAAATCATCAATTAAAACAACTGAAATAATCACACACACACACACAGAGAAGCTAGTGAAATGTGTGTTAAAACCAGGCCATCCGGGCAGAAGTGACCTATTTTGGGAAAGGGAATTCAGTGCCAGCAGAAAAAACAAGCGGTGGCAGTCAGTGCCCTGGGGGGAAACTGACGACACTGTATAAAACTGTCATGCAATGTGAATCATGGAGTCCACCGTCAGTATGAGAAGTGAGACTTGGCACTTTCTTGGGAAGGAGACCCCATGTTCTGAACTCCTCTTGCTCCAGGCTTTTCGGGCCAGAGCAGGCATCACTCTAGTGATTCCAACAAGGGGAAAGGGGTGCGCTGATTTCACACGCTTCACAGCCCAGGAGTGAAGCTGCAGGATCCAGCGTGGGCAGGTCCCTGGGAGCCTCAGTTTGCATCTGAGTTCCAGCCTTCCCAAAGCCCAGCCTTAAGTAGCTAAATGCTGTTCATTCCGTGTGGTCTTGGGAGGTGTGCCTCACGGGAGAGAAGAGAGGTTTCATGTCTATTTCTCTATGTTTCAGGGCTGAGCCGGTTCTATCCCGCATCCAGGAAAACCGGAAGCGTGTGATCCTCCCCTCCATTGACAACATCAAACAGGACAACTTTGAGGTGCAGCGGTACGAGAACTCGGCCCACGGGTACAGCTGGGAGCTGTGGTGCATGTACATCAGCCCCCCAAAAGACTGGTGGGACGCCGGAGACCCTTCTCTCCCCATCAGGTCTGTGGCTGGTGAGCCCTGGCGGCCAACGAGCCCCCAAATTCAAGGGTAAAAAGGAGCTACTGAGAGAGGCCAGGAAAGCCTGCCTTGGGCTCGAGCAGCTGTGTGCACACAGCTCTCCAGGAGCCGCCGTTGTCTCAGGATCACAGCTTTCCTGCAGAGGGAGGATGTTGCATTTTGCACCTTTATGTAAAGTTTTCAAGTGCAGCTTTCCAACAGCGATACTGAGAAGTTTCAAACTGATAGTAATGTTCACACTTCTTTATTCTTCCTCGTATAGGAGGAACTGCGTTCAGGAGCTTTTAAGGATGAAGTTTGAAAGTTATTTTTTCTGGGGCTATTTTATACTTGAAGCCTTGTACTGTTGTCATGTTTGCACTCTTTTTCATGATACAAGATCATATAGAAAAGGACAAGGGGGTGTGGCATTCTGAGGAACTGGAGGGATGTTGGGGAGCTCTTTATGGCTCTTGCCCCGGGTCCCACCCAGCTGCCTCTCGGGATATGGAGATCAATATCTTGAGGCATACCAGTTGCAGAACTCAAATAGAAAGGAGGTTGAGGCCGGGCCTGGTAGCTCATCCCTGTAATCCCAGCACTGTGGGAGGCCAAAGTGGGTGGATCACTTGAAGTCAGGAGTTCGAGATCAGCCTGGCCAACATGGCGAAACCCCTTCTCTACTAAAATTTAAAAAATTAGATGGGCGTGGTGGCAGGTGCCTGTAATCCCAGCTACTTGGGAGGCTGAGACAGGAGAATCACTTGAACCTGGGAGGTGGAGGTTGCAGTGAGCTGAGATCATGCCATTGCACTCCAGCCTGGGCAACAAGAGCAAAACTCTGTCTCGAAAAAAAAAAAAAAAAGCAAGGAGGTTGAATGAAATAGGTTGATTTCAATGCTATATTAGTTTCCTCTTGCTGCTATAACAAGTTACTATGAAAATAATGACTTGAAACAGCACAGATTGATGCTGCTACAGTTCTTGAGGTCGGAAATTTGCAATGAGCTGATGGAACTAAAATGAAGAAGGGGTTGGGTCAGGAGGGCTGGGTCAGGAGGTCTGGTCCTTCTGGGGGCTCTTGGGAGATCCATGTCCTTGCCTTTTCCAGCTTCCAGAAGCTGCCTCCTCCCTTGGCTCATGGCTATGTCGCATCTCCCTTTCTCTCTGGCACCCTTCATCACGTGACCTTTTCCTCCTTTGCTTCCTTCCTTCCCACTTATAAAGGCTTTTGTGATTACATTCTGGGACCATACAAGAATCCAGGATTATCTCCCATCTTGAGATCCTTAACTTAACAACATCTGCAAAGTTCTTTTCCTAAATAAGGGACCATTCACAAGTTCCTAATCTCTGGAACCTGTGAATGGTCCTTTATTTGGGAAAAAGTGAAATGGGAGTGTTCCCTTATCCCCTTTGCGGGGCATATGACAGGGGTGTGGCTTGCTTCTTCAGTGCCCCACTGCTCAAACCCCTAGGGGGATCATGCAGATGGGTAGGTTGCGGGGAGCATTTTGGGGCTCCGACCCCATGGCGGTCTCCAGGATTGAGTGTTTACAGCTCCCGAAGCCCCAGTGGGCATGTGTTACAGTGTGCTCTTTCATCTTTGCCATCTGCAGGGAGCTTGTGTTAATCAGCTTACTTAGACCCTCTGCCTTATCACAAGGACAGAGGGCTTTCTGTATCCTGGGTCCTTGCCCTAGTGTGTCAGAAAAACCAGATCACATGTGGGCTTAGAGAATGAGTGCAAGGTGTTCCTGAGTGGTGGAGGTAGCTCTCAATGAGATGGATGGGGAGCAGGAAGGGGGATGGAGTGGGAAGGTGGTCTTCCCCTGGAGTTGGGTTGCACAGCAGCCAGACTCTCCTTCAACTACCCCTGGCCGAACTCCCCTCAGCATCCACGTCATTCTGTTGTTGCTAGCCTGCTGGTGTCTGCTGGTGTCTGTCCATGTGTTCTGCTCCTCTCAACGTCCAGCCGCTTGTGTCTGTGCCCACTGTGGTCCCGGGTTTTTATGGGCACAGGATGGGGGACAGGGTATGGTGGGCCAAAGGGCAACTTTTTCAGTGCGAAAACAGAAATACCTGTCCTCATTTAGGTCCGTGGGCACAGGCCCGAGGGTGGAGCCCTTGCCAGGGACCCTGCCCTTCTCTACCCAGCACTTCCCTGCCCCTGTTGCATATCAAAAGGACTTTGCAGATGTGATATGGAAATCCTAATCTCTGGAACCTGTGAATGGTACCTTATTTGGGGAAAAGGGCTTGGTTGAAAACCCTCTGATCCCCGAGTTATAGTTCAGTACTTTATGTGAGTTCTACTTGAGGACCAAACTGACTCTAAAATCATGGTTCTGTCTTAAGTAGGGAGAGGCAGGAGAGGCCTGTGTACCTGGGCTCGGTTTTAGGGGTGTGCTTGTTGGTGTTAAGTAAGATAGCACGATGGAATAATGAAGTAGGGATGAAGACTTTTTACAGATAATCATGAAGTTCTTTCTCAGTTTAAACATTTGTGATTAACAAGAGTAAAAGTTTAGCCAGGCCCAGTGGCCCTCACCTGTAATCTCAGCACTTCGGGAGGCCAAGGCAGGAGGATTGCCTGAGTTCAGGAGTTTAAAACCAGCCTGGGCAACATAGCCAGACTGTGTCTCCACTGAAATAAAATTAAAAAAAAAAATTAGCCGGGGTGGTGGTGTGCTCTTGTAATCTCAGCTACCCAGGAAGCTGAGGAAGGAGGGTTGCTGGAGCCCAGGAGGTCGAGGCTGTAGTGGGCTGTGATCACTCCTCTGCACTCCAGCCTGGGCAATAGAAGGAGACCCTGTCACAAATAATAATAAAAAAAGAGTAAGCTTTTGAAAAGTTCGTTATTTTTCTGCTGACACCAAAAGCTGAAAAATAGCCTTTGAGTAGAGCATGGGCAAATTTGTACAGCAGAGAAGGTAATCTTTTGGGTCTACAACTTCCTCAAGCTGTCTTGTGGCTCAGCTCCCACACCAACTGTTCATCATGCAGTGTTTCAGGACCATATTCTTGGCTATCTGCAAATAATATTAATAGTGTAAGGTTAACTAAATCTAAGCCTTCAGGGATATTTGAGCTTTAATGGCGAGTGCTTGAAGACATGTTGACCTTCAGATCTCAAAGGGATGAAACTCAAATGATGGACTGACAGACAGTGAGTTTCATGTGTTGGCTGAAAGATACTTTCTCCCAAGTCTTCACACTGATACACGGGAGACTGGCCTCCAGCCAGGACAGATAACAGTATGAGGGTGTCACCGTAAGTGCTGTCAACAGAGAAAAAGAAGTGCTTGCAGTGGAGTGCCTTCGGATGCCCAGCAAACATCTGTAATGATTGTCTCTGGGTGTGTAAGGTTCTAAGCAAAAAGTTAGCTTGTATTTCATAAGTTACGGTAATATTAACAGATGATTAATATGCACTTTAAAAAGACTCAAGAAAGTAGAGTCATGATCATGAGTCATTAATGTGACATGCATCTCTGTTGTACAAAATAGAATCAAATGCCAATGATGTCTTTTTAATGTGTCTTAACTTACGGAATGCTTAATTTGTTAATAGTTGATGGGGATATTTAATTGCAGGGATGAATTTTTATGGTCCTTCTGAAATTATTAAGCGGATACAATATGCTTTCTTAAACATGAGGACATGGCAGTTTCTCTTTCTTGCTGTGAAGCCAACATTTTAATAGTACGATTTTGCTCCAGTAAAAGATGGGCCAAAGAAAACATTTCATCATCCAAATGGTGTTAGATTAGATGAGTCTTTAGATACTGAGACTTCCCGGTAAGCAACATAATATAGGAGATTTGCATTAAGGGAATTGATAATTCCTTCTGTTTCAGTTCTTTTCCTGTTTCTTTCTATATATTAATATTTTTTTTGTCCTGCCTGCTAAATAGCTGTTTTCTCAGGTTTTCTCTTTGTCCTCCACTTTTATTTTTCCACACCAGAGTTTCCAGTATAGCAAGTGGGCAAGTGCCATTAAAGAGGGCAAAGGCCGATTGTAAGGGTAAGAGGTGGGGGAACTGAAGAACACAGGTCCTGCCCAAGGAGGCAGCTGTTCCCAGCTCTGCTTGGTGGTGCCAGTGTGGTCAGGTCTTCAGAATTTTTTTTTTTTTTTGAGACAAAGTCTAGCTCTGTCGCCCAGGCTGAGTGCAGGGGAGCGATCTCGGCTCGCTGCAACCTCTGCCTCCCGGGTTCGAGCAATTCTTCTGCTTCAGCCTCCTGAGTATCTGCGACTACAGGTGCATGCCACCACGCCCAGCTAATTTTTTGTATTTTTAGTAGAGACAGGGTTTCACCATGTTGACCAGGCTGGTCTTGAACTCCTGACCTCGTGATCCACCCGTCTCAGCCTCCCAAAGTGCTAGGATTACAGGCGTGAGCCACTGCGCCTGGCCCAGAATTTTAAGAGAAGCCATAAATCTAGAGCCTTTGTGAAATCTCCTGCCTTCTAAATGTTGACAATAAACCTCTCTTCTTCAAAACTTCAAGGCCCCAACCACATGCGTCTAGACTGCATTTGACCACCCGGCCCCCAGAACTTGATCTTGCCTTTACACTCAACTCCTTGGAGACCTGTGTTGTTCCCAGGATAGCTTTCATTTATGCAACTTACACCGGCAGTGGGCACCTGTGGTATGTATTGTGGGTGCCATGGAGGATGTATTAGTTCTTGCCCTGCTGTAAAGAAATACCTGAGACTGGGTAATTTATAAAGAAAGGAGGTTTCATTGGCTTAGGATTCAGCAGGCTGTACTGGAAGCATGGAGGCTTCTGCGTCTGGGGAGGCCTCAGGAATCTTACAGTCATGGCAGAAGGGGAAGCAGGCACGTATTACATGGCCAGAGTAGGAGGAAGAAGAGAGAAGGAGAAGGTGCCACACACTTGTAAACAACCAGATCTCTTGAGAACTCTATCATGAGAACAGCACCAAAGGGATGGTGCTAATGCATTCATGAAGGATCCACCCTCATGATCCAATCACCTCCCACCAGGCCCCACCTCCAACACTAGGGATTACAATTCAACATGAGATTTGGGCGGGGGTGCAGAGCCAAACCACGTCAGTGGGGCTGGGGGATTTGGGGAAAGTGTCACTCAAAGCCACAGGAGCAACATGGCCAGACTTCCTTGAACTCCAGTTCAACCTGTAGAGATTCCCCTCATGTTGTATTATTGTGTGTCCACAGCCCTCTCTGCTGAGGTTCGTCTATGTAAGACTTTGTGCAGCACTGACCCAGCTCTTGCCTCTGTGTAGAGAAGCTTCTTAAATCTGCTGTCTTAAGCTCTGATTGTTCTCCAAGAGCAACTTCCTTTCTGTTAGGCGGTTCTTGAATTGCTACAAAGAAATGCCTGAGGCTGAGTAATTTATAAAGGAAAGAGGTTTCATTGGCTCACAGTTCTGCAGGCTGTACAAACCTGGCACTGGCATCTTGGCTTTTGAGGAGGCCTCATAGAGCTTTTACTCATGGCAGAAGGTGAAGTGGGAGCTGACACATCTCACGGCAAAGCAGGAAGAAGAGGCGGTGGCTCACACCTTTAATCCCAGCACTTTGGGAGGCCGAGGTGGGCTGATAACTGAGGTCAGGAGTTCAAGACCAGCCTAGCCAACATGGATAAACCCTGTCTCTACTAAAAATACAAAAATTAGCTGGGCATGGTGATGCACACCTGTAATCCCAGCTACTCGGGAGGATGAGGCAGGAGAATCACCTGAACTTGGAGGCGGAGGTTGCAGTGAGCCAAGATCATACCACCTGCACTCCAGCCTGGCTGACAGAGCAAGACTCCAGACTCCGTCTCAAAAAAAAAGATATTGGCTAGTTAGAAAGACAAGCGTGTTCTTCATAGGAAGTTATACCATCAATCCATATTAATAATGATAATATACCAATTATTATTAGATTTACCGTTTATTGAATGCATATTGAGGACTTTATATATAGCTTTTCATTTACTCTTTTTTTTTTTTTTGAGATGGAGTCTTGCTCTGTCACCCAGGCTGGAGTGCAGTGGCATGATCTTGGCTCACTGCAACCTCCACCTCCCAGGTTGAAGCGATTCTCTTGCCTCAGCCTACCAAGTAGCTGGGACTACAGGTGCGTGCCTCCACACCTGGCTTTTATTTTTATTTTAATTTTTTTTTGTATTTTTAGTAGAGACGAGGTTTTACCGTGTTAACCAGGTTGGTCTCAATCTCCTGACCTCGTGATCTGCCTGCCTCAGCCCCCTAAAGTGCTGGGATTACAGGTGTGAGCCACCACCACGCCTGGCCTCATTTACTCTTAACAGTCAGAAGCCTAGTACCAAATGATTCGGCAGTATCC
The DNA here is from genome assembly GCF_000001405.40 of Homo sapiens. Classification (NCBI taxonomy): domain Eukaryota; kingdom Metazoa; phylum Chordata; class Mammalia; order Primates; family Hominidae; genus Homo; species Homo sapiens. The sequence continues at coordinate 71,427,451 of NC_000007.14, forward strand.
TTTTTTTGTTTTCAATGTCCACACCACATTGGGGTGTAGGAAATCTGAACCTCCAGGTTGCTTTTTTGACCCCATGCAGGCAGTGACTCCCTTCAGCTGGCCTCTCCTAGGGTACTCTCGACTTCTGCCTTCTTGTTTGCCCCATGTACTCTTATTGCTGGAGTCTCCATGCTCTGGTAAGCCACTGTCCAGGGCAGTGGTCCTCAACCCCTGAGTTGCGGACCAGGGCTGGTCCTGGTCCATGGCCTTTTAGGAACTGAGCCTCACAGCAGGAGGTGAGTGGCAGGCGAGCGAGCAAGCAAAGCTTCATCTGTATTTACAGCCTCTTGCCATCTCCCACATTCCCTCCTGAGCTCGGCTTCTCATCAGATCAGCAGGGGCATTCGATTCTCATAGGAGCACAAATCCTATTGTGAATTGCGCGTGTGAAGGATGTAGGTTACGTGTTGCTTATGAGATAATCTAATGCCTGATCATCTGAGGTAGAACAGTTTCATCCTGAAACCATCCCCACCCACCACCCTTGTCCATGGAAAAATTGTCTTCCATGAAACCAGTCCCTGGTGCTGAAAAGGTTGGGGACTGCTGATCTAGAGCATCCCTTTTGGTTTTGTTTATGATGTTCTTAATCGTGGCAATATATATGTAACATAAATTTTACCATTTTATCCATTGTAAAGTGTGAAGTTCAGTGGCAATAAGAACATTCCCAGTGTTGTGCAACTATCTCCACGATCTACTTCCAGTTTTCTTATTCCCCCAAATAGCGACCCAGTGCCCATTAAGCAGTCACTTCCTATTCCTCCCTCCCACCAAACAGTGAAGGCTGCCAATCTACTTTCTGTCTCTATGGATTTGCCTATTTTGGACATTTCATATAAGTGGAGTCCTGCAGAATGTGGCTTTTTGTTTCTGGCTTCTTTTATTAGCATACAGTTTATGAGGTTCATTCATGCATCAGAAATCCATTGCTTTTCTTGGTGGACATCCCTTTTATTATTTTTTTTGAGACAGAATCTCTCCCTGTCACCCAAGCTGGAATGCAGTGGTGTGATCTTGGCTAACTGCAACCTCTGCCTCTGGGTTCAAGCAATTCTTCTGCCTCAGCTTCCCGAGTAGCTGGGACTACAGGCATGCACCACCATGCCCAGCTAATTTTTGTATTTTTAGTAGAGACGAGGTTTCACCATGTTGGCCAGGATGGTCTCGATCTCTTGACCTCGTGATCTGCCCACCTCGGCCTCCCAAAGTGCTGGGATTACAGGCATGAGCCACTGCGCCCGGCTGACATCGTTTTTAAAGTGGTTCCAAGTCCACATTCCTTCTGCAGGTTCCATATCTGGTTTCTGGGATTTGCACACCTTTGTCCCTCTTGGGTGGAAAGACGGCTTCCCTGACCAGGGCTCCCCTGTGTTCCAGAGGGCACGTTCCCTTTCGTAAGTGTGAGTCGCACACCAGTGAGCATGTGTCTCCACTTCCAGGGACACCGGCCACTAGGCTTGGGGTTAGATGGTAGGACTCTCGTCCCTCCCTTCAGGTACAGTTTGCTTCTGGGAAACCCTCCTGACACCTTCTTTTCCTGGACTCCACTTACTTATCCAAAGTATTCGGCTAATCTGTTTGTCTGTCTATTGAAATTTTTGCAAGATCTCTTTTAATACAGCATCTATTGTCAGAATGTCTTCAGCCCCAGTGTGGACACGAAGAGCCCTGTTTTAACACAGTACATACATCTGAAGGCATGGAACAGGGAGAAGGGGAAAGTCTGAAGGCAGAAAGGAAGGGGTGGGGACTGATTGGGAAAGAAAGACCCTGAAGAAGGAGGCGTGGGTGGGCTAAGGACATGAACAATGGTTTGGTCTTGAATGGTAGGAAGGGAAAGGTCATGCTGTCTGACTCACATTTTCCTTGTGAATGAGGAGAGAAAATCATTTGTTAAGAGTGAGAGCTGGGCCTCAGATAGGAGGCTACCCAAAAGGGGTAAAAGTCTGGAATCATTGCTGAAAGTTCACCAAGAACAGAAAAAATAATGGCTATTTCAAGGTGCAAAGAATATAAATTCAACAAAATTTCCACCAGGATTTCTTTTTCTTAGTTATTTATATTTTTAGAGATAAGATCTCACTCTGTTGCCCAGGCTAGAGTGCAGTGGTGAGATCATAGTTCATCATGGCCTCCAACTCCTGGGCTCAAGCGATACTCCTGCCTCAGCCTCCAGCGGAGCTGGGACCACAGGCATGTGCCACCATGCACAGGTAATTTTTAAATTTTTTCTTGAGACAGTCTCACTCTGTCTCCCAGGCTGGAGTGCAGTGGCACCATCTCAGCTCATTGCAATCTCCACCTCCTGGGTTCAAGCGATTCTCCTACTGCAGCCTCCCAAGTAGCCGGGATTACCAGTGCCCACCACCACACCCAGCTAATTGTTGTACTTTTAGTAGAGATAAGGTTTTATCATGTTGGCAAGACTGGTCTCAAACTCCTGACCTCAAGTGATCTGCCCGCCTCAGCCTTCCAGAGTGCTGGGATTACATACGTGAGCCACCGTGCCTGGCTGTAATTTTTAAAAAATGTTTGTAAAGTCAGGGGTCTTGCTATGTTGCCCAGGCTGGTCTTGATCTCCTGGCCTCAAGCAATCCTCTTCCCTTATTCTCCCAAAGCACTGGGATTATGAGCAAGAGCCACTGCACCTGACCCCACCAGGATTTCTTGACAAAAAAAACTACCATAAATTCAGTTGTGTTTTGTTATGAACTCAGATTTTGTTATTCATGACATTATGTATATATGGGGAAAAGAGTGAGGTGTAAGATAAGAATGAAGGATACCATTTATTTAGCCTGAATGCACCTAGGTTAGGTGCACCATAAGTTCATGAAAACCTGGCTTAGTTCTGCTGCCTTCAGAGAACTTTTGCTCGTAGCTTGAGAACTGCTGATCTGTACACTTCTCTCCAGCTGCAAAAGCCTGAGACTTTCACCATGAGAGGGAAGGTTCCAAAATGCCACAGATGGGACATTTTACAGCATATGTTGCTTTCAGGGCACTGGCTGAAAGCTGAGTCAGGCATCTTCTGTGAGGTGACAGTGGTTCCTCCCTGCTGTATGTTAGGTGGTCCTATAATTAGTGACATTGCTCATGAATAACTAATTAAAGGCAATGATTAACAATTTAGCAATCCTTAATCCAACATATAATTTGATAATAAATTATAAGGTATGGGTGCTGTTAGAGCCTGTTAGACTCCTTTAGTTGAAAGGGATGCCTTGGATATATAGTTGCCGGGATCTCAAATTCTGTGCACAGATATGTACAAAGGGAGAAGGTTATTTTTTCCTCCCTAAAGGAATATGACTGGCTTACAGAGGAGGAAAGCTTTAAGAGAAGAAATCAGACTTTAAAATAGAGGTATCTTTCCTATGCATCAGCAAATATATTTTAGGGGCCAATTGTGTGCTCAGCTTTGGGGTAAGCATTTCCAGCAGGGATAGTATTGGTAAATGAAATGATTATCCTGTCTTGATGGAGTTCATGGGTGGTGACACAGGCTTTCAAATGTGTGTGATAGCACTTCAGGGCAATGAAATGTGGAATCATGGGAGGGAGGGAATTTTTGCCATTGGAGTGGATGGAAAAGCTCATAGCCATAACTAACACCACAGTGTTCTATGTGTCAGGTACAGTTCTTGTATTTAGCACAATACACATCTATTCGCTCCTCATTCTCACCCTATGAGTATTTTTTTTTCTTTTCTTTTCTTTTTTTTTTTTTTTTTTTTGAGACAGAGTCTTGCCCTGTCACCCAGGCTGGGTGTAGTGGTGTGATCTCAACTCACTGCAACCTCCACCTCCCGGGTTCAAGTGATTCTCCCGCCTCAGCCTCCTGAGTAGCTGGGACTACAGGCATGCACCACCACAGCTGGCTAATTTTTGTACATTTAATAGAGATGGGTTTTGCCATGTTGGTCAGGTTGGTCTCAAACTCCTAACCTCAAGTGATACACCCTCCTCAGCCTCCCAAAGTGCTGGGATTACAGGTGGGAGCCACCGTACCTGGCCAAGATGAATATTATTATATCCTTTTTACAGGCAAAGTTGCTGAAGCATGAGTTAAGCACCTTACCCAACGTCACACACCTGGTAAGAAGTGGAGCTGGGATTCGGATGTAGTCAGGCCCAGAGTCTGTGTTCTTACCTGCTGTTCTGTCTTTCCTGGAAAAGATTTGACTAGCTGGACCTTGCCAGCTGGAGGAGATTTTTACCGGCTGAGTATATGCAAGATAACACAATGCAGGGTATAGTTCTGCAAATGAGTGTGTTTGGGGTCTTAAAGCCCACTGTCATGTTTCATGATTCACCAGGAGAACTCTCGAAACTCAGAAAAGCTGTACAATCATGGTTATTATTTGTTAATGATGAAAAGATACAGATTAAAATCAACAGGCTGGGCATGGTGGCTCACACCTATAATCCCAGCACTTTGGGAGGCCAAGGCAGGTGGATCACCTGAGGTCAGGAATTCAAGACCAGCCTGCCCAACATAGTGAAACTGTGTCTCTACTAAAAATACAAAAAGTAGCTGGGTGTGATGGTGCACACCTGTAATTCCAGCTACTCGGGAAGCTGAGGCAGGATAATCACTTGAACATGGGACGCGGAGGTTGCAGTGAGCCGAGATCACGCCATTGCACTCCAGCCTGGGCAACAGAGCAAGACTCCGTCTCAAAAAAAAAAAATCTGCAGAGATGCATGAAGAGTCCCACAGAAGTCAGTTGCAAGCTTCCACTTGTCCTCTCCCAAATGGAGTTGTATGGGTAGGGCTGATTTGCTCCGCGGTGGCACATAACAACTCATTTCAAGTCCTGCCAATCAGGAAGCTCACCTGAGCCTTGGCATCCCGGGTTTTTACTGTGGGTCAGTCACATAGGCATGGAGAGCCTTGCATGACTCTCCTTAGCTACTCAACCTCCAGCCCTTGCCCACCAGAAGTTAAACTGCAGTAGCATCGTCCAGGGCCTTGGCATGCAAAGACACTCTTATCAGGTAGGATATTCCAAGGGCTTAGAGATTGTCTCCCAGAAGCTGATCCAGGGCCAGTTCTTTCTCTGGATTGTGCGGGGTTTAGACAACCCAAGCCCACTGAGTTAACCCTTTACTACATAATGAAGATGAGTTGTTTAGTGTCTTATGAAGATACTGAAGGTGGGAAATATGCATTAAAAAACAGAAGAAAGAGGTTGAGTGCGATGGCTCTGGTCTGTAATCTTAGCACTTTGGGAGGCCAAGGCAGGAAGATCACTTGAAGCCAGGAGTTCAAGGCCAGCTTGGACAACACAGTGAGATCCCATCTGTATTTCTTTTTGTTGTTGTTGTTGTCCAGACAGAGTCTCACTCCATCACCCAGGCGGGAGTGCAGTGGCTTGATCTCGACTCACTGCAACCTCCACCTTCTGGGTTCAAGCGATTATTGTACCTCAGCTTCCTGAGTAGCTGGAATAACAGGCATGCACCACCACACCTGGCTAATTTTTTGTATTTTTAGTAGAGACAGGGTTTCACCATGTTGGCCAGGCTGGTCTCCACACCTCAGGTGATCTGCCCACCTTGGCCTCCCAAAGTGCTGGGATTACAGGAGTCAGCCACTGTGCCTGGCCCCATCTCTATTCTTTAAAAATATAAAGTAAAAATAGAGGAAAGATGGAAGACTATCCGGTCTTCATCTGGAAGTCGTCATCTTCCAGATAAAAACAGGAGGTATGCTGTATAGAGGGCTCTAAAAACCAAACAGCAGAGCCCAGACTCACCCCACTAGTCTGGTGAGTCTAACTAAAGATGAATAAAAAACCAACCAGGGGAGACAGAAAGTAGAATAGTGCTTACCCACTACTAGGGGTCACCCCCATCTGTGGAGGAGGGATGGATAGAGGAGTGACTGATAATGAAGATGGGGCTTTGGGGTAGAAGTGATGAAAATGTTCCAAAATTGGTTTTTGTGACATTGCATAACTCTATGACTATACTAAAAACCATTGGCTTGTACACAGCAAGCAGGTGAATTATGTGGTCCGTGAATTCTTTCTCAGAAGCTGATGGCTATCGGATGACCAGTCCTTCAACAAGATGAAGACAGATTGAGTATCAATTATTGGTTCACAATGGCCTGGAACGTTTCTCTCTGGTTAACCCTGAGATTTTGCCTGTCCCTTCTTTTGTCAGAGCAGCACAGAGTACAGCAGGTGATCCAATCGGGGTCAAATTTTAAACCAGCAGAACTGGTCATGGTAGAGTCCTGAGTGGGAATTTAGAAACCAAGTCTGATGGTTAATACTGGGTGTCAACTTGATTGGATTGAAGGATACAAAGTATTGTTTCTGCATGTATTTATGAGGGTATTGTCAAAGGAGATTAACATTTGAGTCACTGGACTGGGAGAGGCAGACCCACCCTCAATCTGTTTGGGCACCATCTAATCAGCTGCCAGCGTGGCTAGGATAAAAGCAGGCAGGAATGTGGAAGGACTAGATTGGCTGAGTCTTCTGGCCTCCATCTTTTTCCTGTGCCAAATGCTTCCTGCCCTTGAACATCAGACTCCAATTTCTTCAGCTTTTGGACTCTTGGGCTTACACCAGTGAATTGCCAGGGGCTCTTGGACCTTCTGCCACAGATTGAAGGCTGCACTGTCAACTTCCCTACTTTAGAGGTTTTGGGATTCAGACAGGTTTCTTTACTCCTCAGCTTGCAGACGGCTTATTGCGGGACTTCACCTTGTGATCATGTGAGTCAATTCTCCTTAATAAACTCCCCTTTATATATACATCTATCTTATGAGTCCTGTCCCTCTAGAGAACCCTCACTAATACACCAAGGAACATCCTTGGTGAAGGTTTAGCATCACACAGGACCAGACCAGCTGAGGCTGCTGACCTCCCTGGGCCTGGTAGAGAATCCTGGTCAATTGCAGTGTGTTGTGGGTAAGGTCAGGTTGAAGACTGGTACTTTTCCTTGGTCTAGCAAAGGAGAGTTCGTAAAGCAATCCAGCCAGGGGCCAAGTGAATGCTGGCACATTTCAGGAAGAGAAAAGTCACAGTGAAGAAGATAGACATTCTCCACCTTTCTTTTTTTCCCTGTCCTGCTAGTCTTCCAATAACAGAGAAATGGCCTGTTCACTTTTGCCACCCGTGGGTTCTGTGTCCTTAGGCAGATCACTCACTTGTTGTGTAAATGAGCTTTTAATTTTCTTGTCCTTAAAACTTCACCAGCATTGAAATGTCGATTGTTCCACTAGTAGAAAATTGCCGTAACAAAACTTTTGGTCCCTTAGATGAAAAGCACTAATTATAAACTCTCTGGAGTTGTGGCATGGGCTGTTGTAGATAATTAATGTTTCAGTTAATAGAATTCTACTACAGAAGCAAGACATGGAGAGATAGATGGTAAAAAACAAACAAACAAACAAAAACCCTCCACAAAATTCTGTTTGCTTTCTTCAGGGGACCAGTCTGGAGAAGGCTGGTTGACAGAGGGTGTTGCTTCCATTGAGGGAATTCACATCACACTAGAAGAGGCATTATTATAAAATATTACTCAGGAATATGGACAGATGCAGTGGGTCATGCCTATAATCCCAGCATTTTGGGAGGCTGAAGTGGGAGGATTGTTGAGACCAGGAGTTCAAGACCAGCCTGGGCATCCTAGCAAGACCCCATCTCTACAGAAAAATTTTTAAAATTAGATGGATGTGGTGGTGCGTGCCTGAAACTGCCTTTGCAAAATTATGACTGAGACGGTGAAAAAGATCTAACCTAAGTGACTCCATCTTCCTTCTAACCTTTAACCTGTCCTTGTTCCTTCTGGGTCATAGGCTGAATTAGCTTAGGGAGGAACTTAGTTTATAGTTTAAAACAAAGATGATAACAGCCCTTTCCCAAAACAAACCTCCTCTTGCCTGGGGACTAGACCGCCTTTGTAGGACTAACAAATTAGCCATAACATTAGAAATTATGGTTTAGGAGTCATGCAGCTGGAGGCTACAAGCTTCTGACCCTCCCTAAACCACTTCCTAAGATCAGTGCTTGAGATATTTTGCAGACCCTGCACTTGATGGATCAGCTGGTGCCACCCAGATCTATAAACTAGTTCATCTGATCTTCGGGCCCCCACCCAGGAACTGACTCAGCGCAAGAGGACGGCATCAATTCCCTATGATTTCATCTCCGACCCAACCAATCAACACTCTCAACTCACTGGCCTTCCCCCACCGAAGTTGCTCTAAAAAACTCTGATCCCCAGCCAGGCGCAATGGCTCACGCCTGTAATCCCAGCACTTTGGGAGGCCGAGACCGGTGGATCATGGGGTCAGGAGATCAAGATCATCCTGGCTAACACAGTGAAACCCCATCTCTACTAAAAATACAAAATAATTAGCAGGGCGTGGTGGCGGACGCCTGTAGTCCCACCTACTCGGGAGGCTGAGGCAGGAGAATGGCGTGAACCTGGGAGGTGGAGCTTGCAGTGAGCCAAGATCACGCTACTGCACTCCAGCCTGGGTTACAGAACGAGACTCCTTCTCAAAAAAAAGAAAAAAAAAAAAAACAACTCTGATCCCCGAATGCTCAGGGAGACTGATTTGAGTAATAATAAAACTCGGGTCTCCCAGACAGCTGGCTCTGGTGCGAATTACTCTTTCTCTGTTGCAATTCCCCTGTCTTGATAAATCAGCTCTGTCTAGGCAGCAGGCAAGATGAACCCACCGGGTGGTTACATGGCTGTAGTCTCGGACACTCAGGAGGCTGAGATGAGAGGATTGCTTAAGCTCAAGAGTTGGAGGCTGCAGTGAGCTGTAATCATTCCACTGCACACCAGCCTTGGCAACTGAGTGAAACCCTGTCTCTAAAAGAAAATGAAATGAAATAAAATTTAAAAATAAACTTGTTCTATGGAGGACACTCTTATTGTATGTCAGTCCTCTTTAAAAATGTATCCATGTTGGCTGGGCACGGTGACTCACGCCTGTAATCCCAGCACTTTGGGAGGCCGAGGCAGGCAGATCACGAGGTCAAGAGATTGAGACCATCCTGGCTAACATGGTGAAACTCTGTCTTTACTAAAAATACAAAAAATTAGTCAGGGATCGTGGCGGGCGCCTGTAGTCCCAGCTACTCAGGAGGCTAAGGCAGGAGAATGGTGTGAACCCGGGAGGCAGAGCTTGCAGTGAGCTGAGATCGCACCACTGCACTCCAGCCTGGGCGACAGAGCGAGACTCCATCTCAAAAAAAAAATAAAAAATAAAACAAAAATAAATGTATCCATGTTTCCACACTTTCGAGACCCCAAATGCAAACTCTGAATGAAAACAACTGCTAGAGAAACAGTGTGAGTTTGACTGTCTGTAAGATGGTCTAATGGAAGGCATATCCATTTCTCTGCGGGGGTCCATCCTGCAGACCCTGACCCAACAATGGATGAATAACGTACACTGACACAGATATTCTGCTTATCAGTCCAGCTGAGCATCTGGGCTCCTCACAGACACCAAGGAAGATGTGTGAAGAGTCAGCAGCCACATCTTCGACTCGCTGGCCCTCCCGGCATTTATTCAGCACACATTAAATGACAGAGGTCTTAAGTAAACACCACTAGAAGGTAATTACCGTTGCTGACCCCCCTGAGTAGAGAGCAATCATGCAACCACGGATGGTCAAAGGTTAGTCTTAGGACCACATGAGTAAACAAGCTATTTAGATAAACTACTCTGCATCCTTTTGTATCTGCACCCTAAGCTCTCTGGCTCCTGAAAAGAGAATCTGGCTGCCTTCAGCCAAACTACCTAAAGTTATGCAAAACTCCCCAGCCTTCCAAGATTTGCTTTTTTCTATTCCTGTGATTTTACAATTTCTCCCACCATCCTGACTGAATCCCCATATTTCTTTAAAACATTTGCTATTTGTTCAAACAATCAGCTGGGAAGAATGCCTACGAACCATCACAGTTGATCAGGTCCCTAAAGGAGCATCATGATCAACTTTATCACTTTCTGGGAAAGTAGGTACAGTTCACAAGGTGACACGGGATATCACTCCCTAGTTGGTCGGCTCTGCGTGGCCGTCCACAGCTGACTGCTGCCTTCCCACAGGGCTCAACGAATATGTAACTTCACAGATGAGGACAAGTGATTCTTCAGTGACTTCAAATGTCAGCAGCATGATGTGATAGAACATCTCCCAGGTTCTGGAGCCTGTTTCAGTTTTTGTTGTTGTTTTTGTTTGTTTGTTTTAAATTTTTTGAGACAGGGTCTCACTCTGCCACCCAGGCTAGAGTGCAGTGGTGCAATCATAGCTCACTGTAACCTTGAACTCCTAGGCTCAAGCAATCTTCCCACCTTAGTTGCCCAAGTAGCTGGGACTACAGGTGCATGCCATGCCCAGCTAATTATTTTTATTTTTTGTAGAAGTAGGGTCTTGCTATGTTGTCCAGGCTGGTCTCAAACTCCTGGTTTCAAGCATTCCTCGTGCCTTGGCCTCCCAAAGTGCTGGGATTACAGGCATGAGCCACTGCACTTGGCAAAGAGACCTGTTTTCTAAGCCAGATTTGAACCACAAATTTTGATATTCAGTTTACTTCCCTGTAAAATGGTGGATTTGGACTATGTGATATTAGTCAGGGTTCTCTAGAGGGACAGAACTAATAATATATGTATGTATGTATGTATATGGGTTTAATAAGTATTAACTCACAAGATGACAAGGTCCCACAATAGGCTGTCTGCAAGCTGGGGAGCAAGGAAGCCAGTCCAAGTTCCAAAACTGAAGAATTTGCAGTCCAATGTTTGAGGGCAGGAAGCATCCAGCATGGGAGAAAGATGCAGTCTGGGAGGCTAAGCTAGTCTAGTCATTTCACGTTTTTCTGCCTGCTTTATATTCTAGCCATGCTGGTTAGTGCCCACCCAGATTAAGGGTGAGTCTGCCTTTCCCAGCCCACTGACTCAAATGTTAGTCTCCTTTGGCAACACCTTGGCAGACACACCCAGGATCAATACTTTGCATCCTTCAATCCAATCAAGTTGACACTCAGTATTAATCATCACAGATGCATTGGATGAGATGTCTTCAGATTCTTCATCTGTAAAGGGGATAATAATAGTACTGTCTTATAGGGTTGTTGTGAAGATTAAATGAGATAATACATGTAAAATGCTTAAAACAGTCCATGGCACATAGTAAGTGCTCTAGAAATAACAGCTGTTCTTGCTATCAATATTATTAGAGCAATTCTCTATTCTACAATGCTCCTCACTTTGGGAATATTATAATAGCCCTTTTCTTTTTATTTGGTCTAGGTCATACAACCAAATAGTTATAACAAATAACCTGATCATTGGATTATCACTAATTTATGTCCTACACATGACAGACTCTGGTCGCTAATAAAAGATAGACTTTTTTTTTTTTTTTTGGAGACAAGGTCTTGTTTTGTGGCCCAGGCTGGAGTGCAGTGATGTGATCATAGCTCACTGTAGCCTTGACCTCCCAGGCTCAAGGGATCCTCCCACCTCAGCCTCCCATGTAGCTGGGACCACAGGCATGCACCACCACCATGCCTGGCTAATTTTTTAAAATTGTTTGTAGAGATGAGTCTTGCTATGTTGCCCTGGCTGGCCTCAAACTCCTGGCCTCAAGTGATCCTCCCACCTCGGCCTCCCAAAGTGCTGGGATTACTTTGCCAGGGGTGAACCACTGCGCCCAGCCAGGCCAGGAGAGACATTTTAAATGCCAAGGGATTTGCACAGAAAAGAAGGGACTCATGTTCTTGAAGCCACTCTCTTCAGAAAGCTATTCCTTATGAAATGGGAGTGCACTTACAGAATGGTGAACACCTTGCTTTTGGGTGAAATACATGCTATTTCTTGACATCACCTAGGTACCTTCTGCACCAGCCTGGGTAGATCAATATTTCTTTTTGCGTGACACGCTGATATTGCTGCTAGATAGCTTTCCTTTGGAAGCAAAATTCCCAGGCAGTGCCCTAGAGCTGGAGCAACATTAGCAACGTAAACTTTCTCTGCGATGACAAGCAGAGAGGCCTGCCTCCATCAACCGACATGCACTGTGACAGCTCCCAGCGGCAGGTAGATTAATCTGAATAATGTCAGAATGACTTTTCTCCTCCCTTGTAAAGAGGTTCAGTGTTGCGGGCTGCCAAGGAGCAGACACATTTTATTTTAAATTTAAGGATTTTTAAAAATGGAGGACACTTTACCTCTGAATTAAATGCTCAGTTCCTGAGTTATTGCTGGACATAAATAGGGAAGCAGCCATCCCATTAATTTTATGGAGCTGATCTGTGGGGAGAGAGTAATAGGCTTCATATTCTCCTTCTGTTGGTGCTAGATGTAGACTATAGTGAGGGGTGGAAAGGGGTAGGCTCCAGCTCTTATTTTGGTAGCTTTAATCCCCCTTTCTAGATGGTTCCAGAGTGTTTCATCTTCCAGGCCCTCTTTTTTTTTTTTTTTTTTTTGAGACAGAATTTCACTCTGTCACCCAGGCTGGAATACAGTGGCACAATCTTGGCTCATTGCAGCCTCGCTTCCTGGGTTCAAGCAATTTTCCTGCCTTAGCCTCCCGAGCATGCGCCACCACGCCTGGCTAATTTTTCGTATTTTTAGTAGGGGCAGGATTTCACCATGTTGGCCAGACTGGTCTCGAACTCCTGACCTCGAGTGATCCATCTTTTCAGGCCCTCTTACATATCTTTCTTCTTCTGCCCTTTCTTTTTATTCCTTTTTCCACTGTATCCTGAAAGGCTGAAAAGTAACTGCAGAAGACTCTGAAATTCAGTTCAGGGCAGAAAATAACCTTTCTTCCTTGCTCCCCCACGACCTCTGATGGTTTTTTTCTACAGCACAGTTCAGAACTCTTTCTTTCTTAATTTTTTTTTTTTTTTTTTGAGATGGAGTTTCCCTCTGTTGCCCAGGCTAGAGTGCAATGGCACGATCTCAGCTCACTGCGACCTCCGAATCCTGGGTTCAACCAATTCTCCTGCCTCAGCCTCCCAAGTAGCTGGGATTACAGGCATGTGCCACCATGCGCGGTTAACTTTGTATTTTTAGTAGAGATGGGGTTTCACCATGTTGGTCAGGCTGGTCTTGAACTCCCGACCTCAGGTAATCTGCCCACCTCGGCCTCCCAAAGTGCTGGGATTACAGGTGTGAGCCACCGCGCCTGGCCAGTTCAGAACTGTTTTCTTGTCTCCTGGCCCTTCTGGTCCTCCACGAATTATTATTTCTTAGTTGTTTCCAGGGGGTCCTTTAGAAAAGAAAACGAAGATTATCACTTGTTCTCAAACCCAAACAGCCTTTTTTGTTTACCTAGTCTCTCCAGTAGCACTTGCTGGAGTTTTCATCCTCCGAGGTGTGGCAATGAGTAACTTCTCATCAGGCCTTACCAGTCATGCAAGGTGTGTTACGTTTGAGGCCATCCATTTCTCCTCTTGTTTATGGAAATACAGGAACATATGACTATTTCATGTCTTGTGCGTTGGAGAGAAAGCATATCAGTTTTTTTGTTGTTGTTCTTTTTTTTTTGGTTTTTTTTTGGAGATGGATTCTTGCTCTTCCGCCAGGCTGCAGTGCAGTGGCGCGATCTTGGCTCACTGCAACCTCCGCCTCCTGGGTTCAAGTTGTTCTCCTGCCTCAGCCTCACAAGTAGCTGGGACTATAGGCGCCCGCCACCACGCCCGGCTGATTTTTGTATTTTTAGTAGAGACAGGGTTTCATCATGTTGGCCAGTCTGATCTCTATCTCTTGACCTCGTAATCCACCCACCTTGGCCTCCCATACCAAATTTTATTTGAGATTGGGAAGTCAATCATGAGTACCGATATCAGAGCCTGCAGAGCCTTCTCTTCCAACCAATGAACTATCTGCAGTACAGCATACACAAATGACCATTTGTGGTTAACCACCCGGACACCATTTCCATTTTTCATCCTGTTGACCCTCCACAGTTTTTTTTCTTTTTCTTTTTCTTTTTTTAATTTTACTTTAAGTTCTGGGATACATTTGCAGAACGTGCAGGTTTGTTAACACAGGTATACATGTGCCATGGTGGTTTGCTGCACCTATCAACCGGTCATCTAGGTTTTAAGCCCTGCATGCATTAGGTATTTGTCCTAATGCTCTCCCTCCCTTCGCCCCTCACCTACTGACATGTCCCCGTGTGTGATGTTCCCCTCCCTGTGTCCATGTGTTCTCATTGGTCAACTCCCACTTATGAGTGAGAACATGCAGTGTTTGGTTTTCTGTTCCTGTGTTTGCTGAGAAGCATGGTTTCCAGCTACATCCATGTCCCTGCAAAGGACATGAACTCATTCTTTTTAATGGCTGCATAGTATTCCATGGTGTGTATGTGCCACATTTTCTTTATCCAGTTTATCATTGATGGGCATTTGGGTTGGTTCCAAGTCTTTGCTATTGTAAATAGTGCTGCAATAAACGTATGTGTGTGTGTGTGTCTTTATAGTAGAATGATGTATAATCCTTTGGGTATATGCCCAGTAATGGGATTGCTGGGTCAAATGGTATTTCTGGTTCTAGATCCTGGAGGAATCGCCACACTGTCTTCCACAATGGTTGAACTGATTTACAGTCCCACCAACAATGTAAAAGTGTTCCTATTTCTCCCCAACCTCATCAGCAAGTTATTTTTTTGACTTTTTCATAATAGCCATTCAAGCCTGCAGAAGTGTTTTTTTTGTTTTGTTTTGTTTTGAGATGGAGTCTCACTCTGTCACCCAGGCTGGAGTGCAATGGCCCGATCTCAGCTCACTGCAAGCTCTGCCTGCCGGGTTTACGCCATTCTCCTGCCTCAGCCTCCTGAGTAGCTGGGACTACGGGCGCCCGCCACCATGCCCGGCTAATTTTTTTGTATTTTTTTAGTAGAGATGGGGTTTCACCGTGTTAGCCAGGATGGTCTCAATCTCCTGACCTCATGATCTGCCTGCCTCGGCCTCCCAAAGTGCTGGGATTACAGGCGTGAGCCACCGGCCTGCAGAAGTTTTAAGCAGACTTTCCCAAAGTCTGAAAATTGGGTTGGTACTTTGCAATATCTTTTTGGAGTGTTGGGTCACAGTCTTTCCTTTTTTGGCTGCCAACATGACTCTAAAAATAGCTTCTGCTACCAGGCACGCAGAGAGTCAGGGGTAATTGACTTCATTTTCTTCCGGAAGTGTAGGCTCCTGTGTCATTAAGTCATTCTGGTAGTACATCCTTACAGCAGCAGAGAGGTTGCAACAAGCTTGCTTAACTGTTGTGAATAACATAACTACCAGTCACGCTTGATAAAGCAGTGGCCCCTTCAAAGCCCTCCGAAAACAGGCAGTGTGTGAGACCCGGGAGAGCTGGCCTGCATGGGAGGTCCTTTATACACTTGGTAGGATGCCCCAGTCAGTATTTTGGAGTTTAACTTCCGTGCATGAAGTTCAATGGACTCCCAGGCTCTTAAGAACTTCAACTTAAAGGAAAGAGGAGAGAAATGTTTCTTGAGTGTCTTTTATGAACATTGAATTTCCGACTGTGGTTTCTGTGGCGGCTGCAGGAGGTTTCAGCTGGTGGCATGAGCCCTTCCCATGCTATAAGCAACTCTGAAGTTTCAGTTGCATGGACAGGGTCTGAGAATGACTCAGGGCAGGTTACAGCTCTTCATTTTCGAGGTCAGCTTCGTCGCCAATTCAAATTCAGGTTATTCTAGTTGAATACTGGGTCTCTGCAACTTCTCAGTTCTTTGCCTCCTGCCCCATTCCTTCTCTAGGATGGCTTCTGGGTACGTGGGGAGAGGGAGGGTTTATTTTGTGATCAAGGGGAAGCATGACGGTCTTTACACGCACTGTTTCTCTGTAGAGTTAGGATATTTGTCGCTTCCGAATCTCATGCTGAAATTTGATCCGCAGTGTTGGAGGTGGGCCTGGAGGGAGGTGTTTGGGTCATGGGGACAGACCCCTCATGAATGGCTTGGTGCCCTCCTCCTGGTAATAAGTGAGTTCTTGCTCTATTAGTTCATCTTAGAGCTGGTTGTTTAAAAGAGCATGGCACTTTCCTTCTCTCTCTCCTGCTCCCCTTATTTCTCCACGTGATGCCTGCCCCATCCTCCACCTTCTGCCATGAGTGGAAGCTGCCTCAGGCCCTCACCAGGAGCAGATACTGATGCCATGCTTCTTGTACAGCTTGCAAAACCATGAGCCAGATAAACCTCTATTCTTCATAAATTACCTAGTCTGAGGTGTTCCTTTTTTTTTTTTTGAGATAGAGTTTCGCTCTTGTTGCCCAGGCTGGAGTGCAGTGGCATGATCTTGGCTCACTGCAACCTCCACCTCCTGCGTTGAAGTCATTCTTCTGCCTCAGCTTCCCGAGTGGCTGGGACTACAGGCGCCTGCCACCACCCCTCGCTAATTGTTTTGTATTTTCAGTAGAGACGGGGTTTCACCATGTTGGCCAGGCTGGTCTCGAACTTTTGACCTCGGGTGATCTGCCCGCCTTGGCCTCCCAAAGTGCTGGAATTACAGGTGTGAGGCACCCCGCTCGGCCTGAATTGTTCCTTTATAGCAACACAAAATGGACTAAGACATCCTCTTGCCCTCTGGGCAGTGTCCCTGGCCTGGCTGGCCACTCCTTGCCCTGCTGGCATTCCCAGAAGACATCTGCCATGGGCCTAACTTGGGATCTGACCTCTCAGCTTCCTCAGGGCCCATCTGACCCAGATCTCTATGGCTCATGCTGGCTGCAAACACCTGAGCCTTGGCCACATTCCCCTACCCATCCCAGCCCCAGCTGCAGGCTTCATTCCTGCCCAGGGAAAAGCCATCAACAACTCTTCTGCCTTCCCTCGCCACTTCCCCTTTCCTTCCTATGAGAACCAAGCAGAGGGGCTAATGTACGTGGCCTCCTGCCATGTGGCCACACTAAACCATCAGGTTCATGAGGGTGGGCTTAGGAGGATATAGACACCTGCAGGCAGCTTCATGACACACCCACCGTGGAAAACAGGGGTGTCTTCCGTAGCAAACTCACTATCCAACACATCTCTCCCTCTCTGGGCCAAAATGTTAACTGAGGGCCGGGTGCAGTGGCTCACGCCTGTAATCCCAGCACTCTGGGAGGCCGAGGCAGGTAGATCACTTGAGGTTAGGAGTTCCAGACCAACCTGGCCAACATGGTGAAACTCTGTCTTTACTAAAAATACAAAAATTGACTGGGCAGCGCCTGTAATCCCAGCTACTCAGGAGGCTGAGGCAAGAGAATTACTTGAATCCGGGAGGTGGAGGCTGCAGTGAGGCGAGATGGTGTCACTGCACTCTAGCCTGGGCCAGCGAGACTCTGTCTCAAGGAAAACAAACAAACAAACAAACGAAATGTTACCTGAAAAAAACTGGAGTTCATTTGCCTGAGGATTAACAAATGACTCTCCAGGAGAACGCAGGCTTTGATCAGTAGGTGTTTTATTACTCATCACAAGTAAGGACAGCACTGGGAATATTCTCCAAAGCGGTGTCTCTGGAGGGAAAGTGACAGGAGGGTTTTATGGGGGAATGGAGAGGGGAGAGGGTGCATCAGCACATGTAGAGGAGGGGTCTCAGTGGTGCAGATGCGGAGAGCCATCATGCCATCACCCAGTCACATGGGATGGTAATGGAGCTATAGCACCTCCCAGGGTGGAGCCACCTTTTTTTTTCTTTCTTTCTTTTTTTTTTTTTTTTTGAGACAGATTCTCACTCCGTCACCCAGGCTGGAGTGCAGTGGCACAATCTCAGCTCACTGCAACCTCCACCTCCCAGGTTCAAGCGATTCTCCTGCCTCAGCCTCTCGAGCAGCTGGGATTACAGGTGCTCACCACCACGCCCGGCTAATTTTTGTATTTTTGTTTGTTTTTTTTTTTTAAGTGTAGATGGGGTTTTGCCATGTTGGCCAGGCTGGTCTCGAACTCCTGACCTCAGGTGATTCACCCACCTTGGCCTCCCAAAGTGCTGGGATTACACGTGTGAGCCACTGCGCCCGGCCAGGGTGGAGGCTTCAACATGGTCATGAGGAAGGTTCATTCAGGTTCATCTCTAAGTTGCTGGGGTCTGTCAGGAGCTGGTTCCAGACAACTAGGTAACCACATTTTGCACAGGGCTTGGGAAGAAACAGGCTGCAAGGTAGGAGACTGTAAAATAGGCTGATTGCTGAAATCGATTAAATTCTTATAATTCCTGGAGACTGGAGACTGTCCCTTTCTGCTTCCAGAAACATGTCATCTCTTACCTCTCCCAGCTCCCTGGACCTTCTTTGCTTCCCACAGGACCTTGGGCGGGAAGCTGGGCTTTCCCCTGGAGTGCTCCTTAATGCCTCTGCACACTCAGCTTTAGCTGTGATGACAGGAGAGAGTCCTAAGTGATCCGCCTACCTTGGCCTCCCAAAGTGCTGGTATTACAAGTGTGAGCCACTGCCTTATAGTATTTTCTTAAAAGTAACTTTATTCAGGGGGAAAAAAATCCCCTAAATCTTGTAGTCGTTTCTGAGAAACGGGAATATTTTCTTGAAGAAGCTTGAAATTGCAGAGGCTTAAATCTTAAATTATATGAGGAGGGAGGAGCAGAGGCTGGCAGCCATGAAATTAGAGCTCCATAATTTGTCTACAGCCATTCAAGAGGGGAAGAAATAAGAATGATTTTCTGCTCTGCTTCCAATCCAGATGTTGTCTTCCAGCCCAGTAGAGAAGAACAAGACCAGAGCCTAGGAGACCAATCACTTTAAAAATTATAGTGTAAAAATACTTTTTTTATTATGTATTCATTATAAAATTTATACTGTATCCATTATAAATTTAATATTCACTGTAAAAATCAAAAATACAAAAGATCATTAGATAATCACTGATAATCATAACACCCAACGATAACCATAACCAATGTTAATATTTCATGAGTAGCTTTAATATTTCACATTATTTTTTACTCCTACAAATAATGTAAAATTTATATTTTCATATAAACATTTTGTATGTACATGTTTAAAAGTCAAATATATATTCTACAAGGCTCTACCTACTCTTTAGAGGTACCACTTTATTTATTTACTTATTTATTTTGAGGTGGAGTTTTGCTCTAGTCGCCCAGGCTGGAGTGCAATGGCATGATCTCGGCTCACTGCAACCTCTGCCTCCTGGGTTCAAGTGATTCTTCTGCTTCGACCTCCAGAGTAGCTGGGATTACAGGCATGTGCCACCATGCTCAGCTAATTTTTGTATTTTTAGTAGAGACAGGGTTTCACCACATTGGCCAGGCTGGTCTCGAACTCCTGACCTCAAGTGATCTGTCTGCCTCTGCCTCCCAGAGTGCTGGGATTACAGGCATGAACCACTGCGGCCGACTCTATTCTTTTAAATATGCCTTTTGTTTACCTCTATATCTCTAAATAGTACACTTTAGTCCTACATCATGCATTTTGAGATGTGGGCATTACTTCTTGACTTTGACTATGGGAGACAAGGTATTAACTGTTATTCACTCACCCGCATCCACCTCTCCCGCAAATTCACACACTACTCATTCCTTTGCTGAGGGCTTTTCCCGCCACACCAGCCAAATCTTCAGTTCTCTGATTCTCAACACTGGGTTTCCTACAATTCAATTCAATTATGACACTGATTACCCAGAGTAAGCATTCGAATCCACAGGTTTAAGGGCTCAGTCCCAAAGACTGCTCCCACTTTAGGCACTAGTCATAAATATCAGGTCTCCAGGCTATCCATATTTTTGTCCAACATGGCTACAAATTTGGGGTTTCCCACCACCTCCCTTCAGGTTTGATGATTTGCTAGAATGAATCACAGAGCTCAAGAAAACACTGCGTACTGTTACAGGTTGAGCATCCTAAATTGGAAAATCTGGAATTCAAAATGCCCCAAAATCCAACTTTTTGAGTGTCCACATAATGCTCAAAGGATAATGCTTATTGGGAAGTATTTTGCATTTTCTGACATAGAATGCTCAGTTGGTAAGTATAATGCAAATAATCTAAAATCAAAAAAAAAATCTGAGATTTGCAACATGGGTCTCAAGTGTTTTGGTTAAGGGATACTTGACCTACACCAGTTCATAATAAAAGATGCAACCCCAGAATAGCTGAATGGAAGAAATGTGTGCCCACTCTTACACCACTTATTAATACTTATATTATTATAACTATTTGCATCTGATCCACATGGTATACTTTGGTTATTTTTCCCTTCCCTGCACAGCTTTTTGTTTTTCCTGTATTTAACCATTGCCTTTCTGTTTGTTTCCTTAATTTGTTTTCTATATACTGTTAACTAATTCAGCTACATGCTTTCTACCACTTGTCTGAATTCCCTCTCAGTCCTCTCAGCAACCTTAGATATTCTGTCTGCTTTATTTTCATGAAGAGAGCTCCCCAGGGTGCTATGGCCTCATCCATCAGGACTGGCTGCCCTCTAGCAGTGATCCTGGGATTCCTTTCACTTCTCTTCTGTGTCCCGGATCTCATGCCTTTATCTTTTTTAGCTTATTCTCTCATTTTATTGGTGCATATCTTCAAATAACTATTTTTAGTGCTTGTATGTGTAAAAATGTCTGGATTCTGCCTTCCACTTTGAATGACCTTGGCTTAGAATTTGAAGACAATATTCCATTGTCTTCTTACTTCCAACATGGCTATTGGAGAGTTCAGAGACATTCTGACTCCTAGTTCTTTCAATGTAACTTGTCTCTTTCTCTTTTGAAATTCTTTTATTCTGGGTGCTCTGAAATTTGGTGATGCTGTGTTTTGGAGTATATTTCTTTTTATTCATTGCACTGGCACTCAATAGAACTTTCCATTTGAAATGTGTGTGCATTGTTGATATCCTTACTTCGTGTGTATGTGTGTGTGTGTGTGTGTGTGGTCTCTATTTTTGGAACTCTTTTTGTTTTTGTTTGGGTGTTGAACCATCCTTGTGGACTGTTTCTTTGTTTTTCTTTAATCTCTGATTTTTCATCTTTTATCTTTTGTCTGTATTTCTGGGGTATTTTCTTAACTTTGTTTTTCTAAATTTTCTGTTTCTGCTTTTACATTTTTAATTTTCAAGGGTTCTTTTTGGTTCTTTATCGATCTTTTGCCATAACACTCAGTACTTGTTTTATCAATGCAATATCCTTTCTAATTATCTGAGACTGTGAATGTCATTTTTTCTTGAAAACAAAAGGCATGTATATCTTGCAAACATAATGTTGAATCAGAGAATACAGGCGCAAAAGGA
Source organism: Homo sapiens (assembly GCF_000001405.40). Lineage (NCBI taxonomy): Eukaryota > Metazoa > Chordata > Mammalia > Primates > Hominidae > Homo > Homo sapiens. The sequence goes on from NC_000007.14 coordinate 71,448,735, forward strand.
TGCATTACTATTTGATTCTTTTTATATAAATTTCAATTCCAAACTCATCAAGTTGTATACATTAACTATGTATGGATTTTTGTGTATGAATCATACCTTAATAAATAGTTTAAAAATAAATAAATTATAAAGCCAAGAAAAATTTAGCTGTTATTGGAAGTCAGGTAGCCAGTGGGGGTAATGACTGGGAGAGTGCATAGAAGGGATTTCTAGGACACTGGTTATCTTCTATTTCTTGACTTGGGTGATGGTTTAAACGGATGGATTCCATTTGTTAAAGTTGACAGCTGAACTTCTGAAACTTGTGTACTTCTCTATGTGTTTGCTCTACTTCAGTGAAAAGTTTTAATTAGAAATAACAGCTGCCTATTTTCTTTTTTTTTTTTTTTTTTTTTTGAGGCAGAGTCTCGCTCTGTCTCCCAGGCTGGAGTGCAGTGGCGCGATCTTGGCTCACTGCAGCCCCCACCTACCGGGTTCAAGCAATTCTCCTGCCTTAGTCTCCCGAGTAGTGGGATTATGGGCATATGCCACCACACCTGGCTAATTTTTGTACTTTTAGTAGAGATGGGGTTTCACCATGGCTGGTGTTGAACTCCTGACATCAAATGATCCACCCACCTTGGCCTCCCAAAGTGCTTGATTTTCTTATTTTTGTTTTTACCAGTGGATAATCACATTATGTGATTTTTTTTAATAAGTAAGTAATTTGCCTCTTTATTTCCTATCATTATATGTATATTTTTTACCTTAACTGCAGTCTGCAGAGCAATGTTGAGTATTAATGGTGAGAACAAATCTTTATCTCATTCCTGACTTAATGAAATACCTTGAATGTTTCACCATTATGACTCATATTGGCTGTTTTAAATAGACATCAGATTAGGGACATTTTCTGTCTAATTTACTCTGAGTTTTTCTTGGCGACACATATTGGATGTTTTCATTGCTTTTTTGGCATTTATTAAGGTATTTATATATTTTTCTCTTGATTTATTAATCTTTTGAATTATATTAATCGATTGTCTAACCGGGCGCGGTGGCTCACGCTTGTAATCCCAGCACTTTGGGAGGCTGAGGCAGGCAGATCACCTGAGGTTGGAAGTTCGAGACCAGCCTGACCAACATGGAGAAACCCCATCTCTACTAAAAATACAAAATTAGCCAGTCGTGGTGGCAGGTACCTGTAATCCCAGCTACTCGGGAGGCTGAGGCAGGAGAAATCACTTGAACCCGGGACGCAGAAGTTGTGGTGAGCCGAGATCGTGCCATCGCACTCCAGCCTGGGCAACAAAGAGCGAAACTCCCTCTCAAAAAAAAAAAAAAGATTGTCTAAAATATGACCATATTTGTATTTCTAGAGTAAACACTTCTTGGTCCTGGTTTATTAGTTGTTAGTATTTAAAGATTTTTTTTTTTTTTTTGAGACAGTCTTTCTCTGTCGCCCAGGATGGAGTGCAGTCGCGCGATCTCGGCTCACCGCAAACTCTGCCTCTCGGGCTCAAGAAATTCTCTTGCCTCAGCCTCGCGAGTAGTGGCATTACAGGCATGTGCCACAAGGTCTAGCTAATTTTTGTATTTTTAGTAGAGACGGGGTTTCGCCATGTTGGCCAGGCTGGTCTCGTCGCGACCTCAAGTGATCCACCTGTGTCGGCCTCCCAAAGTGCTGGAATTACAGGCATGAGCCAGTGCACCTGGCTTACTTGAAAATTTTAACCCTCAGTGGATTAGTGGAACTCGTGTACTTTTTCTTTTGTGTGTGCATGTGCTTTTTAAATGAAAAAGACAGCCTTGGTGAGATATAATTCACGTCATATATTTTAAACATTTAAAGTGTATAATTAAATGGTTTTTAGTACGTTCACAGAGTTCTGCAACCATCACTGCAGTTTTAGTATATGTGCTGCACCCTTAAAAGAAACGCCATTCTCATTTCCCTCTAACTCTCCCAGCCCCAGGCAACCACAAATCTATTTTCTGTCTCTTTGGATTTGCCTGTTCTGGATGTTTTACAGAAATGGAATAGGTGGTCTTTTGTGAGTGGCTTCTTTCTGTTAGCATCATGCTTTCAAGGCGTGTGTGCTGGCTTGAGTGCTTTTCTAAGAGCATTATATAAGCTTGGAGAAAATGATAAACTTTTAAATTTTATTTTCTGTTCTAGACTACTTCAGATTGCATGGCGTTTTTCTTTTTTTTATTCTTTTTTTTTTTTATTATACTCTAAGTTCTAGGGTACATGTGCACAATGTGCAGGTTTGCTACATATGTATACATGTGCCATGTTGGTGTGCTGCACCCATTAACTCATCATTCACATTAGGTATATCTCCTAATGCTATCCCTCCCCACTCCCTCCACCCCACAGCAGGCCCTGGTGTGTGATGTTCCCCTTCCTGTGTCCAAGTGTTCTCATTGTTCAATTCCCACCTATGAGTGAGAACATGTGGTGTTTGGTTTTTTGTCCTTGCAATAGTTTGCTGAGAATTGCATGACATTTTTCTAGTCCTCAAAAAATTGACAGAATTTACCTATAATACCCTCTGGGTCTAATGTCTTTCTGGATAGTCATTCTCGACAGCCTTTCCAGGATTTTCAGTGATTAGTCTATGCCAGTTTTCTACTCTGTCGCAGAAAGTTTTCTTGACCATTCTTCTACTCATCATTTAAAAATTTAAAAGCTTCTATATGTTTTTGGTAAGAGTTCTTTGCTCAGATCTAATAGCATTTATCAGTGTTTTTCTCTCCTTTAAAATGAGATTAATTTTAAAATCCTTTCGACGAACTAACTCCTTATTCTCGGTTCCCCTCTTTCCTTATATTTGAATTTTATTAATTCATTTTGTCTGTTCCTCTTTTCTCCTTGGTCTGCTTGCTCTCTTTCTGCCCTTTTGAGTTGAAATCTCAGTTCATTTATTTTCTTTTTGTCTTGCTTAATAGCAAAAGCATTTAATATTATGTATTTCCCTCAAGTATGGATCTTGCTACAGCTCATAAGTTTTTATATGTAGTGTTTGAGTTGTCACTGTTTTCTAGATAGTGTTTAATTCCAGACTTTCTTTCCTCTTTGGTCTAAGAGTTATTTAGAAGTATTTTTAAAAACCAAATCAATTTTTTAAATATAAGCTTCTATTCTTAATTTATTTCACCGAATTGTGGTTTTTTTTGTTTGTTTGTTTTTTTAAGAATTAAAATTTTGATTTGGGCACAGTGGCTCATGCCTGTAATCCCAACACTTTTGGAGGCCAAGGCAGGAGGATCTCTTGAGCCCAAGAGTTCAAGATGAGCCTGGACAATATAGCAAGACCCCAACTCTACAAAAAATGAAATGATAAATAAGTGATACATGATAAATAAATGACAAGAAAAATGATAAATAGGGCGCACACCTGTAGTCCCAGCTTCTTGGGAGTCTGAGATGGGAGGATCACTTGAGCCCAAGACTTTGAGGCTGCAGTGAGGTATGATTTCACCACTGCACTTCAGCCTGGGTGACAGAGTGAGGCTCTCTTTAGAAAAAAAAAAAAGATTTTAGGGCCAGGTGTGGTGGCTTACGCCTGTAATCCCAGCACTTTGGGAGGCTGAGGTGGGAGGATCACTTGAGGTCAGGAGTCCGAGACCAGCATAGCCAACAAGGTGAAACCCTGTCTCTACTAAAAATACAAAAATTAGGCAGGCATGGTGGTGTGCACCTGTAATCCCAGCTACTCAGGAGGCTGAGGCAGGAGAATTGGCTTGAACTTGGGAGGCGGAGGTTGCAGTGAGTCAAGGTCACACCATTGCACCCAGCCTGGGTGACAGAGAGAGACTCCGTCTCAAAAAAATTTAAAAATAAAAAAGGATTTTAGGGAGGCCTAATATATGATCAGTTTTTATAATGGCTGTTGGATAAAAAAGTATTTATTGGGTAGAAAAGTTGGTATGCATTTAAAAAAATCATTTGTATTTGCTTCCTTGGTTTGTTCCTGAGAAGCAGTATGAACTGAGCAGAGCAGGGGGTGACTCTGTCTACTTTCTAGTGCAGTATCTGATAAAAAGGGGCCTCTCTGGTGGATACAGGCCCAGAGGCTCTGGAGCAAGAATTAAGCATCTTGTTTTTTTGTTGTTGTTGTTTTCTGGCCAGTTATGTAAAGTATAGTCAGTGTTTTCTCTGTGCTGAATCATGGGTTGCTTTTTCTCAATTTTTCTCCATCTGCCTTAACATGATTGGTGATTCTACCTAGATCCTGGCCTTAGATTCTGTGTTGCTCTTATTATTCTGACTTCTGCCATCCATCATTTTCTCTGTTCTCTCTGGTGGTTTAGTAAGTCCCAGACCGGAAACTCCAGGAGGGTAAGAGACATGCCAACATTGTTCATTATTGTGTCTCCAGGGCATAAGTACCCTGCCTGGAATAGAGTAAATAAACATTTTTTTTTGCATGAATTTCAGTTGCGAGTGGCTGCCTGGGTAAAGGGGAGTGCTAACCAGATTTCATTTGGAACATCATTCATAATTATATTCCAGGTATCTTTTGTCTAGCATTATAACCCAGTTCACCAGCAAACTTGGTTCCACAGTTGTAGTAGTCTTTTGTCACATTGCTGATAAAGATATAACTGAGACTAGGAAATTTACAAGAGAAAGAGGTTTAATGGGCTCACAGTTGCATGTGGCTGGAGAGGCCTCACAATCATGGTGGAAGGGGAAAGGCACGTCTAACGTGGTGGTAGGCCAGAAAAAAGAATGAGAACCAAGCATAAAAGATTTCCCTTTATAAAACCATCAGATCTCATGAGACTTATTCACTACCATGAGAGCAGGTTGGGGGAAACTTCCCCCATGATTTAATTACCTCCCACTGGGTCCTTCCCACAACACGTGGGAATTATGGGAGCTACAATTCAAGATGAGATTTGGGAGGGGACACAGCCAAGCCATATCAACAATATTCATGGTTGACATTCTTTAATCACTATCCTGTGTATGTCAGATAGCAGATAAGAGGAAAATGTGAATGAGGCTCTGAATTAAGCCACATGTTCAGGATGCTGTCCCAGACTTCCGCTCTTGACTGTCTCATCTCTTTCAGCACCACCTTCTCTCCTTCTCTGCACAAATCCTCAGTGAGTGTTGAATATCTCATCAGGTCTGTTTGAGGACATCAGCAGACACTCCTTTTGGTTCTGGCATTCCAGCTCCCAAATGGGCTTTCCACGTCTTTCTTCCAAGAGCTTTTCTCACTGTGTTCTGGCTCTACTCAATGACTCACTTGCTAATCTCCCATATACCTATTCACACTATGATATCAAAAGCTCATATCACAACTTAATATGTCCCAGGGTATTGTCAACTGAAGAATGATCGGGTTCATACATTTGGAAAGGGGAGCTTTTTTAAAATTTTTAAGTTCCAGGGTACATGTGCAGGTTTGTTACAGAGGTAAACATGTGCCATGGTGGTTTGCTGCACCTAGCAACCCATCACCTAGGTATTAAGCCCAGGATGCATTGTCCCCCAGACTCCACCAACAGGCCCCAGTGTGTGTTGTTCCTCTCCCTGTGTCCATGTATTCTCATTGTTCAGCTCCCACTTACAAGTGAGAACATGTGGTATTTGGTTTTCTGTTCCAGTTTTAGTTTGCTGAGGATAACGGCTTCTGGCTTCATACATGTCACTCCAAAGGACATGATCTGGTTCCTTTGTATTATATTCCATGGTGTATATGTACCACATTTTCTTTATCCAGTCTATCATTGATAGGCATTTGGGTTGATTGGAAAGAAGAACTTTATTTCTCATAAATGGTTGCAGCCTTCCCAGGCCATTCTGACAGCCTGGGAAGTGTAGCCTCTGGTCAGAAGCCAGAAATACTTTGAGAGAAGGTCAAAGGTAACAAGAATTTATGCTGAGTGGGGTGGCTAAATGTATGTATTTAATAAGCTATAGGAGGAGTCATAAATATTTACCAAAGGAGAAATGTGTGCATGAACAATTCAGCTTTATGCCTCTTCATGAGTTGCATGTACAAAAATGGCAGTGTTAGCATGATCTGAGGGTGGAATTTTCAGCTCTCTGACATCAAAAGGTGAAATAGAGGACATGAAACCCCTCACTGCACATCCTCCGTTGAACTATTCCATGGTCAGTGGTCTCTTATCAAGAAGGAATCCTGGGCCAGGCATGATGGCACACACCTATAATCCAAGCACTTTGGGAGGTCAAGGCAGGCAGAATGGCTTGAGCTCGGGAGTTTGAGACCAGCCTGGGCAACATGGTGAAACCCCATTTCTACAAAAAAATACAAAAATTAGCCAGGTGTGGTGGTATGCATCTATAGTGGCAGCTACTCAGGAGGCTGAGATGGGCCCATTACATGAGCCTGGGAGGTCAAGGCTACAGTGAGCCATGACACATCACTGCACTCCAGCCTGGGCAGCAGAGCAAAATCTTGTTTCAAAAAAAAAAAAAAGAAGGAATGCTGGTCAGTTGTTCATGTTGAAACCATCAAAGGGAGGGGCAGCAGTCAGACAGTTGGCTGAAATAGTAGGTGGAGCCTATTGAAAGGGCTGGTTTCTGTTTGGCACCTAGGGTAGAAAGCTTAATGGCAGTTAGGGAGGGGGAGGTATAAAGAGGTGTGTTCAACCTCCCATCCTGTCATGGCTGGAAACTCAGTTTGAAGGTTGCTCTGGGGTCCTCTTTGCCAGGTGGGGTCCAGTCAGTCAGTTGAGGGGTTTTGGATTTTATTATTTCCCAGTATGAATATTTTCCAGGGTTTTGTTTTGTTTTTTGTTTTTGTTTTTTTTTTTGCATTTTAATAAGTCTGTATCCATCTTCTCATTTATTCATTTAGCAAACATTTCTTGAACATCACTATGAGGAAAGCGCTGTGCCAGACCCCAGACCAGACCCTATGGGATGAGCCAACAGTTCTTGTTCCCAGAGAAGGCAGCTCTCTCTCATGCTCATAGTCCACACTCCCCAGCCAGCACGGGGCATAGGGACTTCATCTGAAATCTCAAATCCCATGTGGCAAATATCACAGTGGCTAGGAGATGACTTCTTTGTGAGAGATTTTCCTGTTTGAGTAAGAGAACAAGTTAGGCTTTTGAAACCAAGTAGAGCTGGATCAAACTTTGGTCCCAGTACTTGTCAGTTGTTTGACCTAATGAAAGGCAGGGAACCTTCTGTTCCTATGAGAAGGCTCAGGATACATCACCTACCCCTCAGAGCTCCTGTGAAGATTAGACTGTGAGGCCGGGGACGGTGGCTCACGTCTGTAATCCCAGCACTTTGGGAGGCTGAGGCGGGCAGATCACTTGAGGTCAGGAGTATGAGACCAGTCTGGCCAACATGGTGAAACTCCATCTTTACTTAAAATACAAAAATTATCTGGGCGTGGTGCCACGTGCCTGTAGTCCCAGCTATTCAGGAGGCTGAGGCAGGAGAATTGCTTGAACCTGGGGGGCAGAGGTTGCAGTGAGGCGAGATCGCACCACTGCACGCCAGCCTTGGTAACAGAGTAAAACTCCATCTCAAAAAAAAAAGATTAAGCTTTGAATAGTATGTGAGATGCCAGTGACCTGACCGCCAAGTATATTGCGAGAGTCAGTGAATTGTTAGTTCTTTTTTATAATTCGAAAATCAAGTATTATAAGGCCTGGGAAGGATGCTTATGATATTAAATTCATATTTTAAAATGAGCCTTGGCCGGGCGTAGTGGCTCATGCCTGTAATCCCAGCACTTTGGGAGGCCGAGGCGGGTGGGAGGCCTAGGTGGGTGGATAACCTGAGGTCAGGAGTTTAAGACCAGCCTGGCCAACATAGTGAAACCCTGTCTCTACTAAAAATACAAAACTTAGCCGGGCATGGTGGCATGGTGGCGGACGCCTGTAATCCCAGCTACTCAGGAGGCTATGGCAGGAGAATCGCTTGAACTCTTGGCGGAGGCTGCAGACTCCATAAAAAAAAAAAACAAAGCCTCTCTGTAGAAAGGATCTAATGGCATTCTTGAACCCAAAATATCTGAGACAGATTTCAACCATTTTAGAAAGTTTATTTTGCGAAGGTTCAGGACACACCTGTGACACAGGCTCAGGAGGTCCTGATGACATGTACCCAAGGTGGACGGGGTGCAGCTTACTTTTATACATTTTAGGGAGATGGAGACGTGAGACATCTATCACTATGTGTAAGACAGACATTGGTTCTGTCCAGTAAGGTGGGACAACTCGAAGCGGGGGGTTCCAGGTCACAGGTAGATAAGAGACAGAAGGTTGAATTCTTTTGAGTCCTTGATTAACCTTCCACTGAATACACAATTTAGTCTGGCTCAGTGTGTCTGCATTTTTACAAAAACAATAGAGGCAGAGGAAACAATCAGATATGAATTTGTCTCAGGTGAGCAGAGGGATGACTTTCTGTCCTGCACCTGTGAAGATAAGCTATCCGTTTACATTGTCAGGGTGAAATTCAACAGAACCCTCTGACGGAAAAGATCTTGAGGCCTGCAGGGAATTTCCTTGTGGGCAAATTGCAGGGGAGATATGCACCTCTTTTGTCTTTTAAGCTATCTTATTTAGGAATAAAATAGGAAGCAGGTTTGCCTGATGTAGTTCCCAGCGTGACTTTTCCCTTGGCTTTGTGATTCTGGGGTTATTTTGTTACCGGAAAGGGGTCCTGATCCAGACCCCAAGAGAGAGTTCTTGGATCTTGTGCAAGAAAGAATTCAGGACAAGTCCGTAGAGTAAAGTGAAAGCACGTTTATTAGGAAAGTAAAGGAATAAAAGAATGGCTACTCCATAGCCAGAGCAGCCCCGAAGGCTGCTGGTTGCCCATTTTTATGGTTATTTCTTGATGATATGCTAAACAAGGGGTGGATTATTCATGCCTCCCCTTTTTACACCATATAGGGTAATTTGCTGTCATTACCATGGCATTTGTAAACTGCAGTGGTGCTGGTGGGAGCATAGCGGTGAAAATGACCAGAGGTCACTCTCGTCTCCATCTTGGTTTTGGTGGGTTTTAACCAGTGTCTTTACCACAACTTGTTTTTGATCAACAAAGTTTTTATGACCTGTATCTTGTGCCGACCTCTTATCTCATTCTGTGACTTAGAGCGCCTTAACTGTCTGGGAATCCAGCCCAGTAGGTTCCAGCCTTATTTTACCCAGCTCCTTTTCAAGATGGAGTTGCTCTGTTTCAAACAGCTCTGACATTTTTACACATTTTATCCAGAACAGCAGGCATCTCCAGAAGGCAGGGACACCACTGCCCACCCTTCCTTTCCTCTACCACTCTTTGAAGCCACGCTGTGTTTCCCAGTAGGGCGCTCTGTTCTCTCCAATCCCCACACTGTCAAAGACAGCCACAAGCAGAGATCTGTGTGAGGGGTCACCTGCTGCCAGGGCTCAGGCAGCAGGCTTGGCCAGTCCTTTTCCAGCATTCAGCCTGTGTATGGAAGGATTCTATCCTGTGCATTAGCAGAATAACATCTAATTGGTCTTTGTTTGCTCCAGAACATAGAAAGTAGAGCTTTTTCATTGCATTAACAACTACATCGAAACAGGAGACTTCTCTCACCCCCCTTGCAGGATGTGCTGCAGGGGCATGGCTTGTCTGTTCGCCACCCTTAATAGGACGGGGAGCAAGTAAACAGTCAGGTGCAGGAGCGGGGGCGAGTGCTTTTGGGCTGCAGCCCCACGGTAGCATCTAAGATGGGTGCCTGTGGCTGCCAAAGCCCTATTGGGCATGTTGCATTTATACGTTTGTACTCAGATACATTTAGCTCAGTTGCAGTGCTCCTTTAGCTCTGCTACCTACAGATGGCTTAAATGTTAACCAGCTCAGTGCCCTGTTGGTGCCTGGGTTCTTGCCTGGTGTCCAGGAAGAATCAGGTCACACATGGACTTGAAGGATGGTGAATGCAGGGGTTTTACTGAGTGTTGGAGGTGGTTCTCAGCAGGATGGATGGGAACGTGGAAAGGTGATGGAGTGGGAAGAGGATCTTCCCCTGGAGTTTGGCTGTCCAGCGGCTCACCTCCTCTCCAACCGTCCCCAGCTGAACTCCTCTCCATGTTCAGACGCTCCTTCTTTTCTCTCATTCTCTGCTGCCCTGTTCAGCGGGTCTTCTGTTCGTCTGCTCCGGGAGCTGGGGGTTCGGGGTTTATATGGGTACAGGGTAGGGGGCGTGGCGGGCCAAAAGGCAATGTTTGGGTGTGAAAACAGGAATGGCTGTTCCCATTTAGGGCCACAGGTTTCCAGGCTTGAGGGTGGGGCCTTTGCTGGGGAACCGCCCTCTTCTACCCAGTATTTTCCTGTCTCCTGTCCATATCAACATGAAGTAGTACATGGGCAGAACGGATATACAGGTAGGGTTGGATATTGCTTAAAAAAAAAACACCTTTCGGCAAATTAAATTTAACAGAGTCTAATTGTGCAAAGAACAATTCACAAATCAGACAGCCTACAGAAGAAGAATAGGTTCAGAATGACTCTGGGGCTACCACATGGGCAGATAACATAACATTTATGGACAGAAAAAGGAAAGCAGAATACAGAAAAAAAAAGTGACAGACAGAAACAGCTGGGCTGATTACAGCTGGGCATTTGCCTTATTTGAACCTGCTTTGAACAGTTGGTTGCCTGTGGTTGGCTGAGACTCAGTTATTTGTTACAAGAGCAGGTTACAGTCTGTTTACACATTAAGATAAGTTACAGTTTACTATGTATGGAGAAAATTTCAGGCTGAGGACTAAGCTCTAATTTTTTCTTGTCTTGCCCAAATATCTAAGAGACCTGGGGAGTCATGCCTTATAAATCATAGTCTCATCACATGGGTTTTATTTAACCCTATAGATCGTGACTTACTTTCCAGTCTGACTCTGGCATAACACAACATGACAAAGAAGAAAGTCAAAATATTTTATCCCAAAACATGTTTCTTGGCCATATTTTGAAATGGTCCTGCAAAGCCATTCATTGTGGGGGGGAAAATTGCATCTGTAAAGAATCTCTGTTTACATAGCTAGATCTTTTTCTCTAGGCCCTCCCTATCCTGAAGAGATTACCTGACAGTCTAGCACCTTTTAAAGGTCTGAATAAAACATTCGTCATCTACTGTCTCTAAGGGCAGCTGCTATGAGACTTCAAAAGAACCTTGGTCTCCACAATGTTTTATTTTAACATGAACATTTCCTTTCTATTAACCCCAGGTCTTTAGACACACTCAACCAGTTGTCAACTAGAAAGTGTTTAAATTCACCTTATAGCCTGGAAGCCCGCAGCTTCGAATTGTCCTGCCTTTATGGACCAAACCAATGTAGTTCTCTAATGTATTTGAGTGATGTCTCATGCCTCCCTAAAATATATAAAGCCAAGCTGTACCCCGACCACCTTGGGCACATGTTCTTAGGACCCCCTGAGGGCTGTGTCACGGGCCATGGTCACTCATATTTGGCTCAGAATAAATCTCTTCAAGTGTTTTACAGAGTTCAACTCTGTTCATCAACAAGGCCAAACTTAACACAACAATATGTCTATGAAATAGACAAGGATGGCAGCATTGGACCATAGGAGTGGGAGGGAAAAGTAAGCTACCAACTGTGAGATTCTTATTACCTAAATAAAATTTTTGGTGAAAAACGATAAAAATAAATACTAAATCACCACCATCTCAAAAAACAAAACAAAACACTACAAGCAGGGCAGTCATTTTTGTGGTCACTGCCCACCTGCAATTGGTCTGTGTGATGGACCTTTTGAAGGATAAGTAGATCTCACACCATATAATGGAGTTTGAGACCAAAATATAAGAAGTAGTAGTGTTACCAGAAAGGGGTCCTGATTCAGACCCCAAGAGAGGGTTCTTGGATCTCATGCAAGAAAGAATTTAAGGCGAGTCCATAGAGTAAAGTGAAAGCAAGTTTATTAAGAGAGTGGAGGAATAAAATAATGGCTACTCCCTATGCAGAACAGCCCTGAGGGCTGCTGGTTGCCCATTTTTATGGTTATTTCTTGATGATACGCTAAACAAGGGGGTGGATCATTCATGCCTCCCCTTTTTAGGCCATATAGAGTAACTTCTTGATGTTGCCATGGCATTTGTAAACTGTCATGGCGCTGGTGGGAGTGTAGCAGTGAGGATGACCAGAGGTCACTCCCGTCGCCATTTTGGTTTTGGTGGGTTTTGGCCGGCTTCTTTACTGCAACCTATTTTTATCAGCAAGGTCTTTATGACCTGTATCTTGTGCCAACCTCTTATCTCATCCTGTGACTTAGAATGCTTAACCATCTGAGAATGCAGCCCAGTAGGTCTCAGCCTTATTTTACCAAGCCCTTATTCAAGATGGAGCCGCTCTAGTTCAGATGCCTCTGACAGTAGGGGAAAGGAGAGACATAAAACTTCACATTCCTGAAGACTTTCTCATGCTTTTGATTGAAACTCAAGCCATTGAAGAATATTTCAGCCAGAGTATGCAGCAACCCATTTTTCTAGGTCCAGTAGTTGACACCGTAGACTTGTCAAGGGAAAGCCAAATGCACACATCACTGTGAACATTGGAAATACTATCTCCAGGATGTTAGAAAACACTTTTAAAAATGACTTGAAGGAAAAGTCGGAAGGAGAACATAGGAAAGGGCCTTTCATTTCTCTTAAGCAGGAGTGTTAAAGCAATTATTGACCTACTGTACTTTGTTCTCATTAAGAAACCAAGTACCTTTTTAATGACTTCTATGGGAAGTATTCTAAATACAGAAGTGATAATAGAAGGATTTCTTGGAAGCAGAGGATAGCACTCTTTCATCCAAAAGAACTTAGAGGAGCATTTGAAGAGGGATTGCTGAAGGCTGTGGTTTTCTTTCCTGTGCACATTAATTCAATGTCCTTTTTACTCAGTAGGGTGTAAACATACATCATTTAAATTAACATAAAAAGTCAGAAATGAGACCTCCATTAACATATCCGCAGGGGAGGAATGAGGCAGTCCCACGTGACTTCTTGCTGCTGTTGCCTCCCAGGAGTGGGGCTGCCAGGCGGGTCCTCCTGCTGACCCCCTCCTCCTCTGCCTTTTCCTGTCCGGTTCTGCAGTGTCACTCCCAGCAGGTCGGCTCATCTTGGCGCTCTCGGCCACAGATGTCTCGACAGGTCCGAGTTACTTATGTAATTGCTATCAACTTGCTGTGCAACCCTCTGGGGCAGGACATGATGCCTATCTTTAACCTCTGGATCAATTGAAAACTGGCTTAATTGGCTCAGTGTCCAGCAGTGCCATTATTTGACTCCCCTGTCTGGCCTCTTACTCTTCAAGGATGCAGAGGTCTGGGAAGGCAGAGCAGACCTGCCCCTACTCTGCGATGGTGGGAGTGGGAGCTGCTCTGGGCTAGATTCAGAGGATTCTCCAGCTACTCAGCCACCCAGAGTCCTCCCTGGAGCCCTTGCCTGGTGGGGCACTGTGGGGTGCAGTGCATGCTTCTCCCCTGTAGTGGAGAGCCTGAAATTCTGGCCCTTTCATCCTCTTTTCAAGATTATTCATTCCTCACCCTCAGCCATTCGTTCCCTCCACTCAGAGCCTGACACTTATTAAAATACTAAGGAAGACTTTATTCAAGACTATTGCAATAGACGTTGACTCTGTTGCAATAGAGGAGAGAGATTGGGGTCAACTCTGAATACAACAAGACAAGTGGGATTTATAGCTAAGTAGCAGAGTGACAGGGTTGTAGCTGTGAACCCCCCAAATTTGGGACAGGTCTCAGTTAATTTAGAAAGTTTATTTTGCCAGGGTTGAGGACTCACACCCCTAACACAGCCTCAGGAAGTGCTGACGGCATGTGCCCAAGGTGGTCGGGGCACAGCTTGGTTTTATACATTCTAGGGAGACGTGAGACATCAATCAATATATGTTAAAAGTACATTGGTTTGGTCTGCAAAGGTGGGACAACTTGAAACAAAGGCGGGAAGACTTGAAGTGGGAGGGAGTGTCCAGGTCCCAGATAGGTGAGAGACAAATGGTTGCTTTCTTTTGAGTTTCTGTTGAGCCTTTCCAAAGGAGGCAATCAGATATGCATCTATCTCAGTGAGCAGAGAGATAACTTTGAATAGAATGGGAGGCAGGTTTGCCGCAAGCAGTTTCCACCTTGAGTTTTCCCTTTAGCTTAGTGATTTTGGGTACCCAAGATATATTTTCCTTTCACATGGCTGTAATATGTCTGTTGCTGGATCCCTATGGCAAGTGGATGCACTGAGACAGCAGATTGCAGCAGACAAAAAGGTTTAATTGTTGGGCCACTGAACAAGTAGATGGGAGGAAACCTCAAATCCATCGCCTCAAGGAATTGGTGGTTAGGGGTTTTGAGGGTTCTGGAATGGGCTGAAGTGTGGAGATTGTTGATTGGTGGAAGAGTGCAGGGTGAAGTCACAGGACAGGGAGGGGAAGCATCTCTATATTCTCAGGCTGATCCCATTCCTCTGTGAGGGTCTTAAAACTGGTTGCTAGAATTTGGGGTCTAAAAAACATCTTAAGTGATCCTTAAACAAAAGCCGTAGGATTCTAACATCAGAGACCTTATATATAGAAACAATGGGGTTGCAAATCAATTCTTAAACAGTCTGAGGGCCCTAATATCAGAGATCCTATCTGCACATGGGCAGTGTCTAGTGCTACAGGACTTTCAGCAACAAGGAAGTGGGCCAGAGTGCAGCCTGATTAATGCTTATGTTACCAGAAAGGGGTCCCAATCCAGACCTCAAGAGAGGGTTCTTGGATCTCACGCAAGAAACAGTCCAAGGTGAGTCCATAGGGTGAAGTGAAAGCAAGTGTATTAAGAAAGTAAAGGAATGAAAAAAAGGCTACTCCATAGGCAGAGCAGTGGCATGGGCTGCTAGACTGAATATAGTTATAGTTATTTCTTGATGATATGCTAAACCAGGGGTGAATTACTCATGAGTTTTCTGGGAAAGGGGTAGGCAATTCCCAGAACTGAGGGTTCCTCCCCTTTTTAGACCACATAGGGTAACTTCCGGGCATTGCCATGGCATTTGTAAACTGTCATGGAGCTGGTAGGAGTGTCTCTTAGCATGCTAATGCATTATAGTTAGCATATAATGAGCAGTGAGGACAACCAGACGTCACTTTCATTGCCATCTTGGTTTTGGTGGGATTTGGCAGGCTTCTTTACTGCAACCCGTTTTATCAGCAAGGTCTTTGTGACCTGTATCTTGTGCCCATCCCTTATCTCATCCTGTGACTAGGAGGCCTGACCTCCTGGGAATGCAGCCAGTAGGTCTCAGCCTTATTTCACCCAGCCCCTATTCAAGATGGAGTTGCTCTGATTCGAATGCCTCTGACACTTAATTATAACTATATTTCTGTTCCGAACCCAACCTCCAAGTCTTTTCAACCCTATTGGGATGGTTTCAGTGTCAGTGGGTGGAAGACTACTAATAAGAGACATTAAGCGTGGGGGATTCTTGTTAAATGGACCTAACAGGATTCTTGCTAAAGGCAGGCCAAGGGCTCAGACAGCAAGGGTATGGGGTGTTGAACTTGATCAGGTATCAAATTAGGGGATTTTCTCAAACCTGATTTTGCAGGATTCTTACTAAAACTGGACTTGGCATGGACAGACACAGAAGGCCAAGTTCAAGGCCTAGTAGATAAGTGGGATCAGAGGAGCCTAACCAAGGATTGGTCAAGGAGAGCATCTTTGCCAAGAACACGCTCCTGGTCCCCTTCCCCTTTGCAGCTTTGATGAACCCAACCTCTCAACAAGAGTGGGGTTGGGGAAAGGCTCTCTTTTGGGACTCCCCTGAAACAGAAAGAAGCTGTCATACTGTCCCCCCATCTTCCCTCCCTCAGCACAACCTTTAGACCACAGATATTTGCTGGGAAAGTGATCTTTTCATTCTTTCCTGTTTCCTTTGACAAACAGAAAGGGCACGGGTTTGAATGCCAGTTGATAATCCTTCCATGTTGCTAGTCTCAGGCTCCCCACTTGGTCCGTGGACAGGATCAAGACTCCAAAAACCTTGGTGCTCTGGGGCTGAGGAGAGACAGACATGAGAAGAGACTGCTTTCTCTTTTGTCTGTTTCCCTTGTCTAGTCTTGTTCTCCCCAGCATCCTCAATACACATTAGTTCCAGAGTTACAATTGCAGCTGAGTTCAAACTTGCACTGCTCAGTGCAGGACAGCCAATAAGTAAAGAGACAAGGTGTTGGGGCAAGGAAGACAAATTTATTTTGGAGATCCAGCAAACTGAGAAGATGGTGGACTAGCATTCTAAAGAACCATCTTAATACGAACTTAAGTTAATATGAGCCTTAAGTTAATAGGGCTCCTTTTATGCTAGGGGAAAGGGGAAGAGAAAAGGGGTTGAGATCAAGAGGTGACCAATGGCCACAGACATCTAGGTGGCAGCAAGGGTACAAGGATGTTGTGAAAATTCTTTTTCCTTGGTCAGATCACAATGCTCCTATAAATGTTTCACATAACATGCTTACTTGTGGGTATACCCTCCTTATCTCCTCAGGGGCTAATTTTGGGAAGGGACTACTGTCCTTACTTTAAAGTTAAATATAAACTAAATTCCTTCCCTAGTTAGCTCAGCCTACGTGCAGAGATAAGCAAAAGTAGTTAACCTAAAAGATATCACCCTTTGGGGGGTGTCAGAGGCAAAATAGAGTCAGTCATGCTAAGCTCCCCTCCACTGTTACACAACATAATTTAAAGAAGAAAAGCTTTATGATAACTTTATTCAACCTACTTAAGCATCACTCTCTTGAGCAAGACGTTGCCAAATGTAATTTTCTACATGCGTGTTTCTATAGACTTTGATCTCTCCAGGATAACTGCATGGGAAGCCACAGAAGAATGTGGCGGAAGCTTCCCTCCCAGCCCGATCTCCTCCTACTGTGTCCAAACCTTTGGCCCCTCTGAAAGTTGATTGAAAAATCAACTCACAAGAGGCAGATTCATGGAAAAGGCATACAGATTTATTTAACATGTATACATGGGAGCCTTCAGAGTGGAGAGCCAATCCACCAACGAGGTTCCGAAGCTTATATACTGTCTTGAGGTTATAGAAAGGATGCATGGCCAAAAACAGGTTATGGTGGTAAGTCAGCTTTTATTGGAAGGACAGTTTATGGTGGCGGGAGAAAGAAAGAGGCTTGGCTAGCAAAGGTGGCCTTGTTATGTAGATGAAGTCTCACATGGTAGCAGCCCTCAGAGAGAATGGATGTTAAATATCTCTTTTCAGACTTTTAAAGGTGTCAGACTCTCAATCTCTCCTGGATCTAGGAAAGGTCTAGAAAGGGAAGGCCTGGCTGCATGAATGGAGATTCTTTACAGATGCAAATTTCCGCCACAAAAGATAGCTTTGCAAGGCCACTTCTGTCAGCTGACCCTGCAGTGGCCGTTTCAAAATACATCAAAGTCACGTACTTTGGGGAAATATTTTGATTTTGCAAATCAAAAATAAAAGTCCTCCTGCTGACTAAATGGACCACCCTCTTGGCCAAGGGTATCCCAAGGAAACCTGAAAAACTAGTTCAGACCATGACTGGAAGTTGAGGGGTCAGATATGCCTCATTGTACCCTCTCCCTTGGAGTGTAGATACAAATGACCAGCATTGGTGTTAAAATAGAGATCATAAGACTGACAAAACAGACTCTTTGTAGCAATAAGGTACCAACTTCCAACTTCACTCTGGTATAGTATCACATGACAGAGAGCAGACCTGGAAAGAAATCAAAGTGTTTTACCCAAAAATGTATTTCTCTGACATATTTTGAAATGTCTCTGCAAAGCTGTTTCTTGTGGGGGAAATTTGCATTCTGTAGAGAATTCCCTTCCCTTCCTAGGTCTTTCCTGGAGAGTCTGACACTTTTTGTGGTCCAAAGAGAGATATTTACCATCTATTCTCTCTGATGCCTGCTACCTGGAGGCTTCATCTACATAACAAGAGCTTTGGCTTCCACAGTCCTCATCTTGACTCAAGCATTTCTTTATGCTGACTTGAAACTCCGCAGACAAAATTTAGCTCTTTTAACAGATTGCCAATCAAGAAATCTACGAATCCATCTACAACCTGGAAACACCCGTTTTGAGATGTCCCACCTTTCTGGGATGAATCAATGTATACCTTCCATACAGTGATTTATGTTTTTGCCTGTAACTTATCTCTCCCTAAAATGCATAAAACCATGTGCCCAAGGTGGCTGTAACCCCTCCACCTTGGGCACATGTGCTCAAGACCTCCTGAGGCTGTCACGGGCCATGGCCCTTAACCTGGGCAAAACAAACCTCTAAACTGATTAAGACATGTCTTGGGTAATTTTTGATTTACGATTTTCTTCATGGCCTCTGACATTGGTGGGAATGAAGTTCCTAAATAGCTTCTTTTATCTCAAGGTTGCTTAGTAGAAGCACTGACCCCTGCTTTGTCTTTTCCCTAAGTCTAGTTCCTCTTTCAAGTTATGCCTGGGAACATTTCTTGGAGACACAGCAGTCGTAGCTCTGGGATATCTACAAAGGAGGAACCTAGGGACAGCTCTCTGGTTGGAAGGAAGTGAGGCCAGGCCACATGTCTCTGTTTCATTTTCATGCAATGTATACCATGTTATAGATCAATAGATTCAGCTGTGTTTTCCAAATATGGTTTTATGCCCATCAGGCTCACAGGAGATGGAGTAAATATCAGTTGTCTGTACTACCGAAACATGACTATTTAAAAACAATTGGGCTACTTCAGGGGAGTGGGGCAAAGTCATGCCTGGGAGATTGTGGTCTTCAAGGGACAATTGCAAAAGCAAGGAGTCTTATTTTTCAAAGTTAGGAACATCTCACTTTCTGTGACATGTGTTCTTACCAAAAAAAAAAAATGACATTTGGAGTAATTTCTGCATGTGAATCCTGCTTATCTGACCCCTTCCTCATGGCAGGACTTTGGCTGCTGAGCTACCAGCTTCGTCCCAGAAGGAAGGTTTGGGACTCTGAGGGCCTGAGACTTATGCATGGAGTTCTGCTCTAGACAACAGGGAACATGGAAAGGCAAAAAAAAACAAACAAAAAAACCCTCAAAATCTGCAGGGAAACCTGAATTTCAAATCCAGGAAAACTGTCCATGGATGACAGCTGTGGTGGGGATCAAGGGGTCTCAGAGCCAAGGTGTATTGGCTAGTGTCTCCATAGACTGCCAAAATTACACGGGCATCCTGGGTGAGAACCTCTACACCAGCCAGGCCTTGCACCTGGATTTTATGAATGCATGTGGGAAAGACTATGGTATGGTCTAGGGCATTCTTTTCTCGTTATTTTAATTTCTTAAATTTTAGAGACAGGGTCTTGCTCTGTCACCCAGGCTGGAGTGCAAAGGCGTGACTGTACCTCACTGCAGCCTCAAACTCCTGGGCTCAAGTCATCCTCCTGCCGCAGTCTATAGTGTAGTTGGGACTGCAGATGCTCACCACCACACCTGGCTAGTTTTTAAAATTTTCTTGTAGAGATAGAGTCTCACTTTATTGCCCAGGCTGGTCTCCAGCTCCTTGCCTGAAGCAATCCTCCTGTATCATCCTCCCAAAGTGCTGGGATTACAGGTAGGAGCCATCACACCCAGTCTTTTCTAGGGCATTCTTCATATGATAGATGAGATTGCCCAAAATCCCACTGGCCCAAACTCCTCCCATCTTTTTATTTTATTTTATTTATTATTTTTTTTAATTGGAGACAGAGTCTCATTCTGTTGCCCAGGCTGGAGTGCAGTGGTGCCACCTCGGATCACTGCAGCCTCCATCTCCCAGGTTCAAGTGATTGTCCTGCCTCAGCCTCCTGAGCAGCTGGGATTATGGATGCCCACCACCATGCCTGGCTAATTTTTTTGTTTTTAGTAGAGCCATAGTTTCACCATGTTAGCCAGGATGATCTCAAACTCCTGACCTCAGGTGATCCTGCTACCTAGGCCTCCCAAAGTGCTGGGATTACAGGTGTGAGCCACTGTGCCCGGCCCTAGGCTCCTCCCATCTTGACCTGGGTGTTTGCGATGGTGTCTGGTGCTACACGGTGCATTTTAGGTTCTCCATCTGGGACTGCTTTTGTTCTTTCATTCCTTCTTCTTGTAGAGTATAATGCATTCATTCATTCATCTATTTGCTCAATAAAAAATTTGTTAAACTCTTATTATTTGTTGAGTTCAGGGTCATGATCATAAATCCCAACAGAAGCTCTTGCCTCTGGAAGGAGCTCAGAGATTGGTGGGGGACAGAAACGTTTATCACATCCTTAAACTGATGAGCTCACAATGACAAAGTGACATGCGTGCTCTGATGGTAGAGAGCACGGTGTTGGGAGAAGGTGGTTGGAGTGGAGATATGGTGTATATAGGAGTCCGGTAAGTGAAGGCACAGCAGAGGAGGGAAGGTGTTCTGGCTTCAGGAAAGGGTGGGGTATGTGAAGGTTCTAAGGTGGAAGGCCAATGACTGCAAGGAAGTCATTGTTGCTGAAGAGAAGGGATAGGTAATGGTGTAAAAGAAAGTTCTGGAGTCCCAAAGATCTGAGTTCAAATGATGGCTCTGCTGTGTCACCGTGTGCAAGTTATTTAAACTTTATAACCCTCAAATTCCTCATTTGTGAATTAACAGTATTCCTGTGGCCTAGGACTGGTCACGGAAAAACCTTCGACACATTAAATTACACAGAGTTTAACTGAGCAAAGAACGATTTACAAACCGGGCAACCCCTGAACCAGAATAGGTTCAGAGAGACTCTGTCGCAGCTGCATTGTGGAAGTAGATTTGTGGACAGAAAAAGGAAAATAACACACAGAAAATGGAAGTGAGGTATAGAAACAGCGTGATTGGGTACAAACGAAGATTGCTTAGCGCTTGCCTTATTTGAACATGGTTGGAACACTTGACCACTGTTGATTGGCCAAAACTCGGTGACTGGCAGAAGAGTAGGTGACCATCTGTTTATACATCCAGTTCTGTTACAGCTCACTATGGACAGAGAAACCTTCAGGGTGAATTTAAAATATGTAAGGAGGTAGCTTTAGGCTAAACTTAATTGAATAGGATTTAGTAATTCCCTCATTCTTTGAAGACTGACATCAGGGACCAGAGGAAAATATGACTTTTTCACACAATTAGAGATATTGTTCACTGGATTAAAATGTTGGTCTCAAGATATATAGTACCCTTACATTTAAGATTGTAGTCCAGGCCAGGTGCAGTGGCTCACGCCTATAATCCCAACACTTTGGGAGGCTGAGGCGGACGGATAACCTGAGGTCAGGAGTTCAAGACCAGCCTAGCCAACATGGTGAAACCCTGTCTCTACTAAAAATAAAAAACGTAGCCGTGCATGGTGGCAGATGTCCATAATCCCAGCTACTCAGGTGGCTGAGGCATGAGAATCACTTGAACCTGGGAGGCAGAGGCTGCAGTGAGCCAAGATCACACCACTGCACTGCAGCCTAGAAGACAGAGCGAGACTCCCTCTCAAAAAACAACAACAACAATAAAAGCAAACATAAGGTTGTAGTCCAGTTAGAAATTAACAGCAATGATACATTATAAAAGGTAAGAGACACAATGTGTCTTAAATACATATTTAAGTTTTGGAGGATGTTTGGTTGGTGGGTTGGTTCCTGGTATCTCCTGTGGTACAGAGGAGAAACAGCAGAAGCCAACTTGAACGGAGCACTTGAAATCGACAGGTCCTTGGCTTCGGTCATGCCTCTTCCCAGTGCTTCCTGTGTAAAGGATGTTTAGGTCTTTCCATTACTCATACACAGACCCAGATTCAGAAAGGAAAAACTCTTTGTAAACTGCTCACTTTTAGAAATGAAAAGATTGATCCAAGTGGAAGGAGGGAGACGATGTGATATAAAAACTGCAACCTAGGCAGGGATTTAAAATGAATCAGAAAACGAACAGACCAGAGAACGTGCTTAATTCAAAGACACCCAGGGGACCCTCAAGTTCTAAAAACAAGTGACTAGGAATCAAAGTCAGCTGTTTGATTTTTGTATTTTAGAGAGTGAGGGTGGGTGTTTTGCATATGAATAATATTTTGAATGCTATTGGATTTTTTTAATACAGTGGGATCATTGCTTTTCCCTATGTCCTTTTTTAAAAACTCTTTTTCATGCAAATTCATTAAATTTGAGATGCAGTAATATACTGGAATCTTGCCCATCTGATTCCCCAAACCACAGTTAATCCTTGGCACATTTTGAAAAGTATACATGTAGTTTTAAAATGGAATTATGTGTGACCCAAATGTGACGGCAGCCCTGTGGACATCCTTTCTTCTTAGCCTGCATTCTTCTAAAAGTAGAGCTCAGCATTTTTTTTCCTCTTTTTTCTGTTTTTGTTTTTTTTCTTTTCCCCAGTGTCTCACTCTATTGTCCAGGCTGGAGTGCAGCAATGTGATCTTGGCTGACTGCAACTTCAGGCTCCAGGCTCAAGTGATTCTCTCATCTCAGCCTCCCAAGTAGCTGGGACTACAGACAGGTGCCACCATATCCAGCTAATTTTTGTACTTGTCGTAGAGAAAGGGTTTCCCCATGTTGCCCAGGCTGGTCTCCGAACTGCTGGACTCAGGGGATCCGCCTACTTCAGCCTCCCAAAGTGCTGAGATTACAGGCAGGAGCCACTGGACCTGGCTGAGCTCAGCATTTTTTTTTTCCAAAAAAAAAAAAAAACAAAAAAAACCAAAAACCATATTTGGCTCTACAAAGCATATTTTGTGTAAAATAGATTCTATAGGCAATTAATGCAAGAGATCCTAGGGAAGGCTGTGTCACAAGCCACTGTAAAACTTAACAAAATTGCAATCACAGACCTAATTCTACCTTCCAAAGTCCTCATGGGCCACTGGTTATCCCCTCCTCCTCCTTGTCCTAGATCCTTCTCTTCTCCTTTTTTTATGCTAAGCAGGTTATCTCTTAGCTTTTTCAGTCTGAATTCTCAAGCTCAGAATCTCTTTTAGCAAACAAGAGCCTTCCAGCAATCCATCCTTTGCAGTTGAGGATTATAAACAACCAAGACCATTTTTTTCCCATCAGAGATATTTGTTTTTCAGTTTGCATGTGTGTATTGGCTGAATCCTAATATTTGCATTTCATGATTGTGTTCTGAACTGGGAGAAAAATAACCCAAATTTCCCTAAGCAGGTACATTATCCTGTCTGCCCTCAGAAAGCCTAATCTGTGTCTCATTTTTTTTTTTTTAATGTAGGTTGTTATCTTACTCATTTTGGGCTGCTGTAACAAAATAACATATACCGGGTGGCTTATAAACAACAAAAATTTATTTCCCACAGTTCTGGAGGCTGGGAAGTCCAACATCAAGGTGCTGGCAGATTCAGCATCTGGCAAGGGCCCATTTCCCGGTTAATACATGGCCCCTTCTCCCTGTATCATCACATAGTGGAAAGAGACAAGAGAGCTCTCTAGGGTCCCTTTTCTAAGGCATGGATCCCACTCATGAGAACTCCATCCTCATGACCTCATCACTTCCCGAAGGCTCCACCTCCTAAAACCATTGAGAGAATAACATTGGAGGTTAGGGTTTCAACATGAGAGTTTGGAGGGGACACAAACATTTAGCTCATAATGGTTATTGTGGAAGATGTTTACTGAACTTCTGAAGCAAATGACAAAGCTAGCTTAATGAGACATTAAAAGTTATTTAGGGCTGGGCGCGGTGGCTCATGCCTGTAATCCTGGCACTTTGGGAGACCAAGGCAGGCTGATCAAATGGTCAAGAGGTCAAGACCATACTGGCCAACATGGTGAAACCCCGTGTCTACTAAAATAAAAAAATTAGCTGGGTGTGATGGCGTGCGCCTGTAATCCCAGCTAGTCGGGAGGCAGAGGCAGGAGAATTGCTGGAACCCAGGAGGCAGAGGTTTCAGTGAGCCGAGATCGTGTCACTGCCCTCCAGCCTGGGGACAGAGTGAGACTTTGTCTCAAAAACTAAACTAAACTAAACTAAACTAAAATAAATAAAAATTAAAAAGTCATTTAGTCTGGATATCATATTATAACAGTGTTGCACAATGGACCCTCAGTCCAAATAATCCTTCTTAAATGTAGGACCTTGTGACCTTTGTTGACCAAAACAAAAACGAAAACCAACCCCACAAAGCCCAAACTGTGAAGTCTTGAAAGAGGTTTCTTCTGAGCCAATATGAGTGACCATAACCTGGGGAATGAGAGGTCCCAAGAAAGTGTGCCCAAGGTTGTCAGGTTACAGGTTGGCTTTATACAATTTATGAGACAAGAATTGTAGGTAAAATCATGAATCAGTACATGGAAAGTATACATTGGCTCAGCGTAAAGAGGCAGGATATCTTGAAGTGTGAGGGAGTTGGGGCTGGTATGAGGCCATTGGTGAATTCAAAGATTTTCTGATTGTCAGTTGGTTAAAAGAGTTAAGCTTTGTCTAAAGACTTGAAGTCAGTAGAAAGAAATGCTTGAGTTAAGAAAAGGGGAGCTGTGGAGACCAAAGTTCTTGTTATGTAGATGAAGCCTCCAGGTGGCAGGCTTCAGAGAGAATAGATGTTAAATATCTCTTTTCGGACCTTAATTTAGTGTCAGACTCTTAGCTAATCCCTTCTAGACCTGGTAAAGGCCTGGTTGGTTTAATAGAGATTCTCTGCAGATACACATTTTCCTCAGAAAAGACAGCTTTGCAAAGCCATTTCAAAATAAGTCAAAGCAATATATTTTGGGGTAAAACATTTGGATTTCCTTCAGGGTCTGGCATGTGACACTATACCAGAGTCAGGTTGCAATTTGGTATCTTACTGCCACAGTGAGTCTGTTTTCTCAGTCTTATGATCTCTATTTTAATGTTAATGCTGGTCAGTTGTGCCTAAACTCCAAAAGGGGTGGGGCATAATGAGGCTTGTCCATCCTTTCTTCTCTTCATGGCCAGGAATCCAATGTTTCAGGTTTCTCTGGGGTCCTTTTGGCCCAGAGGGGCTTCATTCAGTCAGTGGGGTGGCCTAGGCTTTTATTTTTGCCTTACACTTTGGACAAGTCTCCTAACCTGTCAGGGACTCAATTTTATAATCTGTAAAATGGGGACAAATATCAGTGCTTATTGTTACCAGAAAAAGTTCACGATCCAGATCCCAAGAGAGGGTTCTTGGATCTCACAAAAGAAAGAATTCGGTGCAAGTCCAAGGAGTAAAGTAAAAGCAAGTTTATTCAGAAAGTAAAGGAATAAAGAATGGCTACTCCATAGGCAGAGTAGCAGTTTGGGCTGCTGGACTAAGGATACTTATAGTTATTTCTTGATTATATGCTAAACAAGGTGTGGATTACTTATGAGTTTTCCAGGAAAGGGGTGGGCAATTCCTGGAACTGAGGGTTTCTCCTCTCTTTAGCCATATAGGGTAACTTCTGGATATTGCCATGGCATTCGTAAACTGTCATGGTGCTGGTGGGCATGTCTTTAGCATGCTAATGCATTATATTTAGCATATAATGAGCTGTGAGGATGACCAGACGTCACTTTTGCCACCATCTTGGTTTTCATGGATTTGGGCAAGGCTTCTTTACCGCAGCCTGTTTTATCAGCAAAATTTTTTTTGACCTGTATCTTGTGCTCACCTCCCATCTCATCCTGTGACTAAGAATGCCTCACTTCCTGGCAATGCAGCCCAATAGGTCTCAGCCTTATTTTACCCAGCCCCTATTCAAGATGGAGTTGCTCTGGTTTGGACGCCCCTGACATTGTGTCACAGGCTTGTTGTGAGCATGAATGAGTTACTATCAGTAAAGTCTAACATCCAGAAAGGTAAAATTATGCCTCAATATAAAATGAAAATGAGGAACATATTTTATTCAACTTATTAATTCATGGGAGAATCAATAAGGTGTTAAGTCCAGTTCAAATGAGAATTTAACTTACAGAGGTGTATATTCTCCACCAGAAAAAAAATCATTACAAGAGTCATTTGCGGTGCTGTTAGTTTCCTACAACTTTGCAGCTATCCCTACAGCAATGGGCTGAAAAATGCCTTCCACCCAAGATACCCACATTCCAATCCTAGAACCTGTGAATGTTACTTCATGTGGCAAAAATACGACTTTACAGTTGTGATTCATTCACTCCACAACAGTCTCCAGATGGGGAGATTATACTGGATTTTCCAGGTGGCCCTAGAAGGAGAGAGGCAGAGGAAGATTTGACCCAGACAGGAGATTAGAAGGTGGTGTGACCACAGAGACAGAGACTGAAGGGATGCAGCCGCAAGCCAAGGAATGCCGGCAGCCACCAGATGCTGGAAGAGGCAATGAATGGCCTCTCCCCTGGAGCATTCAGAGGGAACATGATCCTGCTGACACCTTGATTTTGTTCCCCAGTGAAACTGATTTCAGACTTCTTGCCTCCAGAATGTGAGAGAATCAATTTCTGTTGCTTTAAGCCAGTGGTCCCCAACCATGTTGGCACCAGGGACTGGCTTCATGGAAGATAGTTTTTCCACAGACCAAGGGTGAGGATGATTTCGGGATGATTCAAGCACATTCCATTGATTGTACACTTTGTTTTTATTATTATTACATTGTAATATATAATGAAAGAATTATACAACTCACCATAATGTAGAATCAGGGGGAGCCCTGAGCTTGTTTTCCTGCAACTAAACGGTCCCTTCTGGGGGTGATGGGAGACAGTAACAGATCATCAGGCATTAGATTCTCATAAGGAGCGTGCAACCTAGATCCCTCGCATGCACAGTTCACAATAGGGTTTCTGCGTCCATAAGAATCTAATGCCGCTGCTGATCTGACAGCAGGTGGAGCTCAATCAGTAATGGGAGTGGTGGGGAGCAGCTGTAAATGCAGATGAAGCTTCGCTGGCTCGCCCACCACTCACCTCCTGCTATGTGGCCAGGTTCCTAACAGGCTGCAGACCAGTACCTGTCTGCGGCCCTGGGGTTGGGGTCCCCTGCTTTAAGCCACCTAGTTTGTAGTCATTTCTTACAGTTGCCACAGGAAATTGCCTACAAAGTCGCAAAGAGCTTTCTCAACAGAAAGTTAATCAAAGATGCATACTCTATAGAAACAGGTATCCCCAGTGAGTCTGCTAGATGATACTCAGCACCTCACTTAAAAGACACCCAGGAATCTCCTACCCATTCCTAAGTTTGGACAGTTTTTCCTGACAATTTTAGTCTACAAAATGCTTGGAATATATATAAAGTAATTCATAGAAAGTAAGCATTACTATATAAATTTTAGTGATACTACTACTCCTCCTACTAATTATAATAATTATCATCATCATCATCATCAACCACCATCATTATTCTCTTTTATCTTCTTGGCTTGTTCTTTTCACTTGATGGGTTGTTTTGAGTGGGAACCATGATTCTCTTGACTGACAGGCTTCCAGACCCAGTGGAAGAGAATAACGGGATTATGAGTGGGAACTCCTTGGGAACACCCAGGAGTTCAAGGCTGCAGTGAACCATGATTGTGCCACAGAGGTTGGTGTTTTCACTGTTAGCTGTGAGAGTGCGAAGGCACAAGATGTTAGCAGTGGAAGACCAAGGTGTCAGTGATAGGCTTGGGGTTACCCTGCCCTTCCAGCTGGATATCTTGAGCTGCTGTGGAGATGCAAACAGCATAAAGGACAATTGAATGGAAAGATGTGTGGTTTTCAGTGAACGAATATCCCGGAGAGCGTGATGAGGGTGAAAAAATACTTACTCACAAATCCCCTGAACAGGGGAAGCAAAGGTGGTATTGCCAAGTGAAAATATTTTGTTTAAAAAAAAAAAAAAAGAGTGAAGTGAAGAAAACCTATAGGTTGACTAATTGTTGAAGGTATGGAGTGTGGCATTCAGCAGCATTTTAAGTTAATCTAGGCCAGTGGTTTTCAAGGGGGTAGGTGGATTTTGTCATCCAGGGGATATGTGGCAAGTCTGGAGACATTTTTGGTCATCGCAGCGGGGAGTGCTATTGATGTCTAGTTGGTAGAGAGCAGGACTGCCACTAAAGATCTTAACAATGCACAGGGCAGTTTCTTACAACAAAGAATTATCTGGCCCCAGGTGTCACTAATGCTGAGGCCAGGAAACTCAGCTTTAGGGTGAGAATTCCAGACTCACAGAATCAGAGTCCTGTAAGGGACCTTAGCAAGTGTGAGGTTCTGTGATTTTCAAAGGACATCTTTCAGATCCCACAGGGTAGGGGGAGGCGCCAGGAGCCCAGGGACCAGAGAGGCAGTGGAGGGTGTGGAGGGTGGATCTCGTGGTGTTACCACATCACCGGCATCTCTCTCCTCTGCAATGGGTGTTGGTGCAAGGATGAGTATTTCTGCTGACAGAAATATATAAAGTAACTATTCATAGTAAGCATTACTATGTAAGTTTTAGTGATACTACTACTACTAATAATTAATTATCATCATCATCATTATCATCAATCACCATCATCATTCCCTTTTATGTACTTGGCTGGTTCTCTTAACTTGGTGGGTTGTGTTGAGTGGGAACCAATGATTATCTTGACTGACAGGCTTCCCTGCCCAGTGGAAGAGAATAATGGGATTATGAGTGGGAACTCCTCAGAACATCCAGGAGTTCAAGGCAGTGAGCCATGATTGTGCCACGGAGGTTGGTGTTTTCACCGTTAGCTGTGAGAGTGCAAAGGCATAAGATGTTAGCAGTGGAAGACCAAGGTGTCACTGATCGTTTCGAGGTTACCCTACCCCTCCAGCTGGCTGTCTTCAGCAGTTGAGGAGACGCAAACTGCACAGAGGACAATGAAATGGAAAAATGTGTGGTTTTCAATGAGCAAATATCATGGAGGGCAGTACCTAGAGCCGGGCATAGTGACTGGCACCTACAGTCTCAGCTACTCAAGAGGATTGCTGGAGCCCAGACGTTCGAGGCTGCAGTGAGCTATGATCGCATCACTGCACTCCGGCCTGGGCAACAGGCCAAGATCCTGTATCTAAAAAAACAAAAAAAAAGGTTGAAAATAACTAGTGTGTTTTTATTTTGTGTTGAGGAATAAAAAATTAACAGATGTGGTCACTAATAGTACCGGGAATCCTGGCTGCCTCTGGTGCCTAAGCCCACCCTTCCCAATGTCTATTCAGACCTTGTTAGAAAAACCTATGGGGTTTCCAACCCCATTTCTGCAAATCTTGCCGACATGCGACATGAGCTGGTTTAATTTCTGACCATAAAAACACATTAAACAGGATACAATAAAAAGAGTCCTTTCTTTGTTAAGAATCTTATTGATACAATTTACTAAGGCATTTACCGTGTCTACCCTGTACATGGCTGTGAACATTTAGAGGGTGTAGGATTTAGGGCTAAAATTATCCCATCTCCGATATATATTCTGGACACTGGAGTTTTAGATAAATCCGTAACTTATGTTTACGTCTCTTCTAAACATAGATGGTGGGAACTGGAACCAGCGTGCTTGTAGCTGGGGGAGAAAAATAAAGGCACACTGGCTGTGGGAACATTTATCCTTCCTGGTGGCTATGGCAAACCTGTGATCCTATGATCACTCTCCTTATGTTTGGAGGAGTTTCCACCCTCTGAGCCCCACCTTTGTTTGTTTTGGGTTTTTTGTTCTGAGACAGTGTCTCACTCTGTTACCCGAGCTAGAGTGCAGTGTGGCATGATCATGGCTCACTGCAGCCTGGAACTCACAGGCTCAAGCAATCCTCCCCCCTCAGCCTCCCAAGTAGCTGGAACCATAGGCGTGCCCCACCATGCCCGGCTAATTTTTGAATTTTTCTATAGCAATGGGGTCTCCCTATGGTTGCCCAAGCTGGTCTCAAACTCCTGGGCTCAACCTATCCTCCCACCTCAACCTCCCAAAGTGCTGGGTTATCAGGGGTGAGCCACCGCACCCAGCCTGAGTCCTGCCTTTCCAAGATCAAAGTAAAAACCAGCTTCACTGCCTCCCTTGTAGCTAGACCATGTCCTGGGAGCCAGGCTTCTCCAGTCAGACCCACAGGAAGGGTGGCTTCACAGACAAAGGTCTGTGAAGATAGGGGTAGGAGGAGGATGAAAATGTATCATGCAAAACCCATCCTGATGACAAGAAGGAGAGACATTTAACTTTGAAAGGCAAAAATTGTACCAGTGTTAATGGCGGCATCTCATTTCCTGTGTGGACAAAGTGGCAGCTGGATTTAGGAACCCTCTTTTGATAAATCCCTTTTCTCTGAAACTAGCTCAATTTGGTTCTGGAGACCATAAGTAAAATCACTGCCTGATACAGCAGGAGAAATGTTACTGTGGAAATATCTCAGAGACCAAATCACTTGGCACTTCGCAGTTTTGTGAAATACTAACTGTCACCATCAGACAAACCTTCACTGCTCCCACCTCCTCAGCATTGCCTGCCCTAATTAGGTGGGTTTTGGAAGAACTCACTAGCAACCATAACCTTTAAATAGACCAGAAATTGTCTTTTACAGTGGATTCAGAATCAGTAGCTTTATAAGAAGGGCTTTGCTCAGTTCATGATGACTCTATGCATGATTGACTCCATCTCTGTACCTGAATTACAAAAAAAAAAAATGTGGCAAGTAAAGAAAAGGCAAAATGTTATTTTTTTCCCCACTCAGTTTTGCACTGGGGCTCAGCACGTATGGTTTCAGGTAGGCTCTGCCTTAACATATTCCTGGAATAAGCTTCAGAAAAGAGGCTGTGACAGGTGGAGACAGCTTCCTTGATTATAGCTCAGCATGGTTCAAAGGACACTCTGGTAGTTAATTGATTCAGGCAAGATAATTTGTGGGCAATAAACAGCACAGACCTTTTATTTTCAACTGGTCAGTTAGAACGAAGTTTCTCTAATTCAGTCTTAGAGAATGACTTTTTTTTTTTCCTGTGCTGGAACTCATTCATTTGCATATAGAAAGATGTTTAAACCTCTGTAGAAATGCCCAGAGATTGTAAAATCTAACATTATGTTTGCAAAGATGGCATCAAGCTCCTTCCTCCTCAGACATAAGAAAATTGCATTTGAACAGGCCGGGTCTTGAAAACCAGCTGATGGTGTCTGAGTCAAAGATGGAGCTGATATTCTCAGGCAATGGGTCCACTTTGGGGCCACTCCAGCTGTTTTTCTAGGAAATCTTCCAAAGCAAACACCACAGTGGTGCTATTCCTGTGAAATGGTGGCACGTCTTCTTCTGTGATCATGGCCAGAGACAACTTCTTTCTTTGAAATACATGCAAAAGGTTTTGCTCAGCCTCTGGAGTAAACCCCATCTCAACAGAGCAGCTCTATCCTTTGAGAATATGATTTTGACATCTGATGGACTCCCAATATTTGATGCTTGTTTTCAAGGCCACACTAACCCCAGTTGGGCTGAGATTAAAATGAGGTCCATAGTAACAGTCACGGGTCCACAGCTCTTGGAGACCCCCTCTTTTTTTGGAGTCTTTTTTTTTTTTTTTTTTTTTTTTTTTTGAGACAGAGGCTCTCTCTGTCACTCAGGCTGGAGTGCAATGGTGCAATCTCAGCTCACTTCAACTTCTGCCTCCTGGGTTCAAGCGATTCTCCTGTCTCAGCCTCCCGAGTAACTGTGATTATAGGTGTGCCCCACCACACCTGGCTAATGCCCTCTGCGGACTCTTGCACAGTCCTGGCCATGCCTCTCCTGGGCAGGGTCTCTGCAGTCAGTCCTCTTGTCCACCAGCTTCATGCTTTCCATTTTCCTCTCCTACTCATACGTGGCATCCTCTGCAATGCCTCGAACAGCCAGTGCAGTGCATGGTGACTTGGTGACACATTACTGACCAGAGACACTACTGAGCTCTGTCGCTCATGTCACCCAGGCTGGAGTGCAATGGCACGATCTTGGCTCACTGCAACCTCTGCCTTCCAGGTTCAAGCGATTCACCTGCCTCAGCCTCCCGAGTAGCTGGGATTACAGGCATGTACCACCACACCCAGCAAATTTTTATATTTTTAATAGAGAAAGGGTTTCAACATGTTGGCCGGGCTGGTCTCGAACTCCTGGCCTCAAGTGATCCACCCACCTGGGCCTCCCAAAGCACTGGGATTACAGGCATGAGCCACCATGCCCAGCTAAAGCCACTGATTTCTGAAGTCAAGGATGTTGTCTTTCATCATTGCCAAAGTGGCTGGTGCCAACCCCATGGAGGCCTTGTGCTTTCAAACCTACTAGAGATTTTCTTGAATGAGCCCTTTCATGACAGCCCAGGCAACACAGAGCTACAGAGGGAGGGAACCTCTGCCACCAGCCTGTGACCATAATAAGACAAACAGACCACATCCTGCACTGGCTGGCACCTCTCTTCTCTAAGTCTGGTCCCTGGCTTTGCCCCAAACTGGTGCATTTTTCCCAGGAGGCAGCTTGGAATCCCTTACAAAAGGCCATTTGACAAGTCCTCTGGAAAGACTGACCTTAGATGAAAGCTGGGTGTGGGCCGGGCACAGTGGCTCACGCCTGTAATCCCAGTACTTTGGGAGGCTGAGGCAGGCAGATCACTTGAGGTCAGGAATTCGAGACCAGCCTGGCCAACATGGTGAAACCTCATCTCTAGTCAAAAAAATACAAAAATTAGTC
Source organism: Homo sapiens (assembly GCF_000001405.40). NCBI lineage: Eukaryota > Metazoa > Chordata > Mammalia > Primates > Hominidae > Homo > Homo sapiens. Next base: position 71,481,307 of record NC_000007.14, read on the forward strand.
AGGGGTGGTGGGTGCACATGTGTAATCCCAACTACTGGGGAGGCTGAGGCAGGAGAATCGCTTGAACCCGGGAGGCAGAGCTGCAGTGAGCGGAGATCGCACCACTGCACTCCAGCCTGGGCGACAGAGCGAGACACTGTCTCAAAAAAAAGAAAAAGGCTGCATGTGGTGGGTGGCCTGGCCATATGTGTGCTGGGCCTGGCTGAACTACACTTCCCAGAATTCTCTTCCTTGTGTGTTTTCCAGTAGAGTGGACTGCAAGAGGGATACCTATGGGAGATGTGGAAGGTGCAGGGGGAAACAGCAGCCGCTTTGTAGCTCACCCACATTACTGCTCATCTGCTGCCTCCACTTGTTGGCTGGGCCTGCTGCAACTCCACCTGCCCCTGGAGCCCCTCCAGGTTCTCCCACAGCTGGACTTTGTGTGGCTGTTGGCTCCACCGTGAAGGGCCCTGGCTTCTGCCTGACACGAAACCCAAGGTCAGAGGCAATAAGGCACTTCGACAAGTTTCATTCGTACTCCTGGGCTCCAGCTTAAGTTTGTGGGTTTCAGCTTGTTCTTGCTTGCTTAGGTTATAGCCGTCATTTCCCCTTCCTGGCTGTCTTCCCTGTGGACTGCAGCTGCCAGCATCAGAAGGAAAGGAAAGAAGGAAAGACAAAGTCAGTTCTAGAGACTGCTTAACCAGCTCCCACAGTTGCATGAGGTCAAATCCTTGCAAAAAGTCATAAAAGTGATATATATGTGCATTGATGTATAGGTATACATATATGTATATGTGTGTGTGTGTGTGTGTGTGTGTGTGTGTGTATGTATGGTCATGCATTGCATAATGACAAGGATACATTTTTTTTTTTTTTTTTGAGACGGAGTCTCGCTCTGTCACCCGGTCTGGAGTGCAGTGGTGCGATCTCGGCTCACTGCAACCTCTGCCTCCCGGGTTCAAGTGATTCTCCTGCCTCAGCCTCCAGAGTAGCTGGGATTACAGGCACCTGCCACCACGCCAGGTGATTTTTTGTATTTTTAGTAGACACAGGGTTTTGCCATGTTGGCCAGGCTGGCCTCCAACGCCTGACCTCATGTGATCTGCCTGCCTCGGCCTCACAAAGTACTGGGATTACAGGTGTGAGCCACTGCACCTGCCGACAGGGATACATTCAAAGAAATGCATCATTAGGCAATTTCATCATTGAGCAAACATTATAGAGTGCACTTATACAACCCTAAGTGGCCTAGCCTATTACACTCCTAGCCTGTATGGTAAAGCGTGTTGCTCCTAGAACAAGAACCTGTAGAGCACGTTGCTGTACTGAATACTGTAGGCAATTGTAACACAATGCTAAGTATTTGTGTACCTAAGCATACCTAAACATAGACAGGGTACAGTGAAAACATGGTATAAAGCAGCAGCCCCCAATCTTTTTAGCACTAGGGGCCGGTTTTGTGAAAGTCAGTTTTTCCAGGGCTGCAGGGAAGGGTGGGGAGGTGTCAGGATGAAACTGTTCCACCTTAGATCATGAGGCATTACTTAGATTATCAGAAGGAGCATGCACCCTAGATCCTGCACATGCGTAGTTCACAAGAGTGTTCATGCTCCTATGAGAATCTAATGTCACTGCTGATCTGACAGGAGGCAGAGCTCGGTGGGTAAGGCGAGTGATGGGGAGTGGCTGTAAATACAGATGAAGCTTTGCTCGCCTGCGGGCCGCTCACCTCCTGCTGTGCAGCCTGGTTCCTGAAAGGTCACAGATCAGTACTGGTCCAAGGCCTGGGGGATTGGGGACCTCTGGTATAAAAGACTAATCATGCACCTGTCTAAGGCACTTACCATGAATGGAGCTCACAGCACTGAAAGTTGCTCTGGGTGAGTCAGTGAGTGAGTGGTGAGAAAATGAGTGGTTCATGCCTGTAATCCCAGCACTTTGGGAGGCCAAGGCAGGCGGATCACCTGAGGTCAGGAGTTCAAGACCAGCCTGGGCAGCGTGGCCAAACTCTGTCTCTATTAAAAATAAAAAATCAGCCTGGCGTGGTGGCAGGTGCCTGTAATCCCAGCTACTCTGGAGGCTGAGGCAGGAGAATTGCTTGAACCCGGGAGGTGGAGGTTGCAGTGAGCTGAGATTGTACCACTGCACTCCAGCCTGGGCAACAGAGTGAGACTCCTTCCAAAAATAAAAAAGGAAAGAAAGAAAATGTGAAGGCCTAGAACATTACTGCACACTACTGGAGGTAGACTTTGTAAACACTGTATGGTTAGGCTACGCTATTTTTTTTGAGACATTGTCTCACTCTGTCACCCAGGCTAGAGTGCAGTGGCATTATCTGCTCACTGCAACCTCCACCTCCTGGGTTCAAGCAATTCTTATACTAATTTATTCTTTTTAAAATCCCTTCTTCAGTGACAAATTAACCTTTGCTTACTGTAACTTTGTAACTTTATAAAGGTTCTAATTTTTTGTAAATTTTTGGACACTCTGACAATAATCACTTAGCTTAAAACACATTGTACAGCTGTACAAAAATATTTTCTTTCTTTATAGCTTTAATCTATAAACTTTTTCCAACTAATTTTTTTTTCTCTTTACTCCCTAAAAACGAAGACACGAACACACACATTAGCCTAGGCCTACACAGGGTCAGGATCGTCAATATCACCATCTTCCACCTTCTTGTCTTGTCCCACTGGTAGGTCTTCAGGGGCAATAACACACGCATGGAGCTGTCATCTCCTATGATAACAATGTATTTTTCTTGAATCCCTCCTGAAGGACTTGCCTGAGGCTGTTTTACAGTTACTTTTTGTATAAATAGAAGGAACACACTCTAAAATAATGATGAAAGTATAGTGTAGTAAATACAGAAACCATTAGGTCTTTTACTATGATTGTCAAGTATTATATACCGGGCCAGATGCGGTGGCTCATGCCTATAATCCCAACACTTTGGGAGACTGAGGCGGGCGGATCACTTGAGGTCAGGAGTTCAAGACCAGCCTGGGCAACATGGCGAAACCTCGTCTCTACTAAAAATGCAAAAATTAGCTGGGTGTGGTGGCATGCACCTGTAATCCCAGCTACTCGGGTGGCTGAGGCAGGAGAATGGCTTGAACTCAGGAGGCAGAGGCTGCAGTGAGATGAGATCGTACTACTGCACTCCAGTCTGGGTGACAGAGTGAGACTCTGCCTCAAAAAAAACTAGTATGTATTGGACATAATTGTATGTGTGATACTTTTATGACTGGCTGATGAGTAGCATCACCAGCATTGCCACAAACATGTGAGTAATGCATTGTGCTATGATGTTATGGCAGCTACGACATCATTAGGTGATAGGCATTCTTCAGCTACATTATAATCCTGTGGGCCCACTGTCCTACATGCAATCTGTCATTAACCCAAACTTCATTATGTGGTGCATGACTGCATATATAGGTTTCCTATTGGTTTTATTTCTCAGGTTGAACCCAGACTGATACACTGGGAACCCAGCATCAGGATTTTTTTTTTTTTTTTTTTTGACAGAGTCTTACTCTTGTTGCTCAGGCTGGAGTGCAATGGTGCAATCTCGGCTCACTGCAACCTCCACCTCCTGGGTTCAAGCAGTTCTCCTACCTCAACCTCCCAAGTAGCTGGGATTACAGGCATGGGCCACCACACCTGGCTTTTTTTTTTTTTTTTTTTTTTTTTTAGTAGAGGCAAGGTTTCACCATGTTGGTCAAGCTGGTCTTGAACTCTTGACCTCAGGTGATCCACCCACTTCAGCTTCCCAAAGTGCTGGGATTACAGGTGTGAGCCACCATGCCCAGCCAGGATTTTTTTTTTTAAGACAGGATCTTGCTCTGTTGCTCAGGCTGGAGTGCAGTGGCACCATCATAGCTCACTGCAGCTTCAACCTCCTGGGCTCAAGCGATCCTCCTGCCTCAGCCTCCCAAATAGCTGGAACTACAGGCATGCAACACCATGCCCAGCTAATTTTTGCAGAGATGGGGTTTTGCTGTGTTGCCCAGGCTGGTCTTGAACTCTTGGGCTCAAGCAATCATCCCGCCTTGGCGTCCCAAAGTGCTGGGATTACAGGTGTGAGCCACCACACTTGGCATTGTCAGGCATTTTTGTTCTTCTAGTCTTAGGTCTTACTTGGCCTGTGCTTTCGATTCTATCCCAGGAGTGCCAGTCCTAGCTTCTGACTGCCCATCCTGGCTCAGAGTTCATTCTTTAGAAAGTGTCTCATGGCAGGTCCTTGACCTGTGGTGCCATCACTGAGAGATCACCTGGCCACCTTTCACCCAGACACTCCCACAGCTTAGTGCAGATGGTTTTGAGGATATCCACTGTATCTATTCCAATTTTCTGCTCAAGAAATACCTCTTATTCTACACAGTTAAGGAGCAAGACAGCTAAGACATGGTTTATGGCCTTGTCATTCGCCATCATTGTAGCGCCCTCAGACCTCCTGTGGGTTCTGACATTTAAAAAATTCAGTTGTAATCCATCCTCTGAAATCCATCAGTCTGAAAAGGCTGGATGAATATTTTCTTTGTCAACCAGAAATTGTGTAAGCTATATAGTCAGATACAAGGAGGCAGTGCCCTTTTCTTAAGGAATTCATAATCTAATTGTTACGTTTCTCTGATTGGAGCAAAATGGTGTTTTACTGACCCAGATTTTATGTTATTCAAACAAATAAAGCTCCAGCTACCAATTTCAAAAGAGCCACTGGACTTAATGGGCATTTAATATATTTCCTCGGCCAGGCACAGTGGCTCATGCCTATAATCCCAGCACTTTGGGAGACTGGGGCAGGGCGGATTACTTGAGGTCAGGAGTTCAAGACCAACCTGGGCAACATGGCAAAATCCCATTTCTACTAAAAATGCAAAAATTTGCCGGGCGTGGTGGCACATGCCTGTAATCCCAGCTACTTGGGAGGCTGATGAGGCAGGAGAATCACTTGAACCTGGGAGGTGGAGTTTGCAGTGAGCTGTGATCACACCACTGCACTCCCAGCCTGAGTGACAGGGCAAGAGCCTGTCTGAAAATAATAATAATAATAATAATAATAATAATAATAATAATAATAATAATAATAATAGTAAATAATATATTTCCTCCCTGGTCTTGACTTCATTTGCAGTGACAGATTCTCATGACTTCCTGGATTGTTGAGACTTTCCCATGTGAACCATAGTTCATTGCTTCTCACAACAGCAGACAGCTCTTGGTGCTCCACAGTGCTGTAGGGGCGCTGTGACACATGCCGAAGAGCCTCTCTCTTCTGGACCAAGGTACTCAGGCCAGGCATGATGGTTCACACCTACAATCAAAAGGCAGGCGGATTGCTTGAGCCCAGCAGTTCAAGACCAGCCTGGGCAACATAGTGAGATCCCATCTCTACAATAAGTCAATTAAAAAAAAAAAAGCCAAGCATGGTGATATGTGCCTGTAAGTCCACCTACTCAGGAGGCTGAGGTGGGAGGATTCCCGAAGCCCAGGAGGTCGAGGCTGCAGTGAGCTGTAATGGTGCCATTGCACTTCAACCTGGGCAACAGGGTAAGACCCTGTCCAAAAAAAAAAAACAAAAAAAAACGCACTTCTTGCTCCTGCTGGTGGATTGTTGCCTGTTGACAGCTCACAGCCAAGTTCCTCCCTAAGTATTGAGATGACTGCAGGGTGCTGCCCTGCCTGGGATGATGCACTTCCCAATTATGTCCCTCCTCCCTTGACTTTTCAGTGTGGGACACGAAGCTTCAGCAACCCTGCCTGATTCAGGACATCTCTGCAGGGCAGCTGTGCGTCAGAGCTCCCCGAGGAACTGGCTGAGGCATCTGTTGGAATTGCATCATTTTTCAGTGTCTCCTCTGATCAGTCTGCTTCCCTCACTCCCTGTACCCAAATCTCCATTTCAGAGCTTGCTGCCAGGGATGGGGCCTATGACAAGTGTCTCCATGAGGGTAGTGATGTTTCTCCTCCTTTGTTATTTCCCAGGGTTTTGCTAAGTTGTCTGGAGGAGGAAAAACATGGGTTTGTTCTTAATCCTTCCTCGGCTTACTTGATATAGAATGGAGAAGACCAGGAGCAACTGGAAGCTGGAAACAAGAGCAGATGAGTCAGAAGTTTGGAGACAGGCACCAAAAAGTCCATCCAGCGTCCAGGGAATAGTTGAGAGTTAAACACCAAGAAGAGTCAAGCCAAGCCTGGATGAGTCAGGTCATGCCTATAATCCCTGCACTTTGGGAGGCCATGGTGGGAAGATTGCATGAACCCAGGAGTTTGAGACCAGTGTGGGCAACATAGTGAGACCCCATCTCTATAAAAGAATTAAAAATAAAAATTAGCTGGGTGTGGTAGTGCATACCTGCAGTCTCAGCTACTCAGGAGGCTGAGACGGGAAGCAGAATATTACAGAATTATAGTAGTATTAAAAATAATGGCAAAACCCACAGTTACTTTTGCACCAACCTAATAGTAGTGATAACAGGGTCAGGAAGTGAGAGAAGCCAGAACCATATGACATCCTGGTCCAGGTACTGGCCTAGTTGTGAAATTGCCCCACATATAGGTGGCCAGCCATCAAGATCCCAGTTTTGGAGCCGGGCATGGTAGCTCACACCTATAATTCCAGTGATTCAGGAGGCTGGGGCAGGAGGATCACTTGAGGCCAGGAGTTTGAGACCAGCCTAGACAACATAGCAAGAGACCCTGTCTGTATAACAAGTTTAAAAATTAACTGGGCGTGGTGGTGCATGATGGTAGTCCCAGCTACTCGGGAGACCAAGGCGGAAGGATCGCTTGAGTCCAGATTCCAAGCTGCAGTGAGCTATGATTTTGTCACTACACTCCAGCCTGGGCAACAGAGCAAGACCCTATCTCTTAAAAAAAAAAAAAAAAAAAACAGCCAAGGTAAGAGGCAAGCCTTAGACAGTGCGCCCAAGAACCAATGAGATAAGGAGCCCAGGGATAGACTTGGTGGAGATTATGGGATGTCTGGGCAGGCAAGCTAATGAGGGCTCATAGCAGAGAGCAAGGCCCAGCATCCCATCTGCCTGGAGTACAGCGTAGTCCTTCCAGTCTTTGCTGTGGGGAATTGTCAAGGAACTTCCTGGACAAAAATCACCTTCTGCACAGTGAGCAGAATGGGACCCCGTTGCTCATTAGAAACACAACCTGGAGTGGAGTTTCTTAAATGGGAATGGCATCAGGATTGTCTGGAGGGCTTCTAACACAATCCCAGCTCCACCCCCAGATATTCCCACTGGGCAAGCCAGGACTTGCCCTTCTTTTTTTTTTTTTTTTTTTTTTGGAGACAGAGTTTTACTGTATTGCCCAAGCTGGAGTGCAGTGGCAGGATCTTGGCTCACTGCAACCTCTGCCTCCTAGGTTCAAGCAATTCTCTTGCCTCAGCCTGTGAGTAGCTTGGGACTACAGGCGAGCACCACCACACCCCGCTAATTTTTTTGTATTTTTAGTAGAGACGGGGTTTCACTATGTTGGCCAGGCTGGTCTCGAATTCCTGGCCTCAAGTGATCCACCTGCCTCAACCTCCCAAAGTGCTGGGATTACAGGCATGAGCCACCGCGCCCAGCCAGGTTTCCTTTTTTTTTTTTTTTTTTTTTTTTGAGACAGTCTTGCTTTGTTGCCCAGGCCAGAGTGTAGTGGTAAGACCTTAGCTCACTGCAGTCTCTGCCTCCCAGATTCAAGCGATTCTCCTGCCTCAGCCTCCCAAGTACCTGGGACTACAGGCGAGCACCACCACACCTCGCAAATTTTTGTATTTTTAGGAGAGACAGGGTTTCACTATGTTGGTCAGGCTGGTCTTGAACTCCTGGCCTCAAGTGATCTGCCTGCCTCGACCTCCCAAAGTGTTGGGATTACAGGCATGAGCCACTGCACCCAACCAGGTTTGTCTCATAATCAAATTCTCAAGTAGTGCAGATACTGTGGCTCTAGGGGCCACACTCTAAGAACCTTCAGATGGGTCAGCCGGACACCTACACCTGACTATCGTCTTAAAATGCTTCATTCACACCCAGCTCTTATAGGGGAGGACAGATTTAGGCCTGGAAACCTGAGAGAAGATCAGGAGATTCAGACACAACACAAATTGATAATGATCAACAGGCTTTGGCCTCAGCTATTTGCCATGGTAAGTGACTTAACTGTTCTGAGCCTGTGTCTTCATCTGTAAAAAGAGGATAAGAAAGCTATCACATAGGATTGTTGTAAGGATTGGATAAGAGATCAAGTGTGGAAGGTGTTAGCTGATGTGAGACTGTTGTGCTGAACCCCTATTAACCTCAGAAGGGAGAGCCCCAGGCTCAAGAGCCTGAAGGAGAGACCCAGCACCAGCCAACGAGACATGGGATTTTACTAGAGGCTTACATACAGGGGAGAGAGTCCATTGGCGGCGGGCTGGGCAGGAAAACTGCAACCGCCTGCAAACATCATGTAGCTTATACAGCATTTTCACTTAACACCCTTCCCTCAATGACCTCCACCTGACAACGTTCATTTAACCCCAAATTCAGGGCCTCAATCTCCTGTATGGCTGGGGGCTCAGATGTTCATCATAGATAAGGAATGAATCTCTGCATTGGCCACGCTGTGTAATCCCAGCACTTTGGGAGGCCAAGGCGGGAGGATCTTTTGAGACTAGGAGTCCAAGACCAGCCTGTGCAACATGGTGAGACTCCATCTCTACTACTGCAATCCCAGCACTTTGGGAGGCCGAGGCGGGCAGATCACGAGGTCAGGAGTTTGAGACCAGCCTGGCCAACATGGTGAAATGCCATCTCTACTAAAAATACAAAAAAATTTAGCTGGGCGTGGTGGCGGCACCTGTAATCCCAGCTACTCGGAGGCTGAGGCAGGAGAATCATTTGAACCTGGGAGGCAGAGGTTGCAGTGAGCTGAGATTGAGCCATTGCACTCTAGCCTGGGTGATAGGGCGAGACTCTGTCTCAAAAAAAAAAAAAAGAAGCATGATCTGGAACAGTACTCATGGCCTGGTGATCTCTGTGCCTGTTTTCGTCTCTTTCTTCACCCCGGCTCTGAACATAGATTCAGGTGCATCTGCCATACAGGGTCATTCTTAGGGTATGCTCAAGTTATTCCTATCAGGGGCATTTAGCCTACAGAGACCCCCTTAAGTGTTTGTTGTGCATGGTGGGGACACACACAGGCAGTGGGGAACAGCTCTAGCAAGTGAGGCCAGACTAGTTGGTGTTCTCTGGGCAAGGGCACTTTGGGAGGCTGAGGCAGAAGGGTCCCTTGAGGCCTGGGCAACATAGCCAGATGCCATCTCTACAAAATATAAACAAATTAGCCAGGCAAGGTGGCATGTGCCTATACTCACAGTACTTCGGGAGGCTGAGGCAGGAGAATCCCTTGAGGCCAGGAGTTTGAGACCAGCCTGGGCAATACAGCAAGCCCCCATCTCTACAAAATATAAACAAATTAGCCAGGCAAGGTGGCATGTGCCTGTACTCCCAGTACTTTGGAAGGCTGAGGCAGGAGGATCTCTTGAGCCCAGGAGTTCGAGGCAGCAGTGAGCTATGATCGCACCACTGCACTCCAGCCTAGGTAGCAGACCCTGTCTCTTTAAAAAAAGGAAAAATGACTGGGCGTGGTGGCTCATGCCTGTAATCCCAGCACTTTGGGAGGCCGAGGCAGGCGGATCACCTGAGGTTGGGAATTCGAGACCAGCCTGACCAATATGGAGAAACCCCCGTCTCTACTAAAAATACAAAATTAGCCGGGTAGGGTGGCACATGCCCGTAATCCCAGCTACTAGGGAGGCTGAGGCAGGAGAATCACTTGAACCCAGGAGGCAGAGGTTGCAGTGAGCCGAGATTGTACCATTGCACTCCAGCCTGGGCAACAAGAGCGAAAATCCGTCTCAGAAAAAAACAAAAAAAAGAAAAGAAAAACACAACATTTTGCCCTTCTGGTGCTCTGGGTTCTGTCTCCTGCTCATGCTCCCTGGGTCTTCATGGCACTATTGAGTAGCTGGCAGTGACGGGGTAGGAGTGGTGGTACCAGCAGCCTTCATTTTTTCCTAGACAGGAATGTAAGAAGCAGGCACGACGCCTTCTCTCCAACAGTTGCATTTTACAGCTTATGATTTATAGCGAGGTCCATCATGGCAGGGAAGCACACACCATTATTTATGTGTTTGTACCCTGCCTTGTTCCAAGGAAGATTTAAGGCAGCTGCAGACCCCGGTAAATTAATCCACTATCTGTGCAGTGGAGAGAGGCAGGGTTCCCATATCAGCCCGGATAGGTTAGCTTGCTGAAGTGGCCTTAGCGGCAGACTCCAGTCCATCCTGATGCAATCAGAAGAGAATTTGGATCTAAACCAGCTGTTCTCAAACTTAAGTGAGCATTGGAGTGACCTGGGGAACTTGTTCAGCACAGATTGGTCAGTTTCTGATTCCCTAGGTCAGGAGCAGGCCTGAGAATCTGCATTTCTAGCAAGTACCAGGTGGTGCTGATGCTGCTGGCCTGGGAGTCTCACTTTGAGATGCACTGTCCTACGGAAATTCATGCTGTGATTGTCCTTCTGGAAGCGTGAACTTGGGCCAGGCTCAGTGGCTCACACCTGTAATCCCAGCACTTTGGAGGCCAAGGTGGGAGGATCGCTTGAGCCCAGGAATTCAAGACCAGCCTGGGTAACATGGCGAGAGTCCATCTCAAATAAAATAGGCTGGGCACAGTGGTTCACACCTGTAATCCCAGCACTTTGGGAGGCCAAGGTGGGCAGATCATGAGGTCAGGAGATCGAGACCATCCTGGCCAACATGGTGAAACCCCGTCTCTACTAAAAATACAAAATTAGTCGGGCGTGGTGGCACATGCCTGTAATCCCAGCTACTCGGGAGGCTGAGATAGGAGAATCACTTGAACCAGGGAGTCGGAGGTTGCAGTGAGCCGAGATCACGCCACTGCCCTCCAGCCTGGAGACAGAGCAAGACTCCGTCTCAAAATAAATAAATAAATTAATTAAATTAAATATGAATAAAATGGAGGCATGATTTGGAATAGTGTTCATGTGTTCATGCCCAGTGATCTCTGTGCCTGTTTTAGGTTCTCTCTTCACCCCTAGAGCTGCTAGGAGCCTCTCACTTACACCCACCTTCCTGAGATGCATCCTGTGCTAGAATGTGCCAGACTTGGCACCCATGGAAATGCTCTTTTCTTTGGCTGTCACTCTCATGGTCTTGCAAGGAGCCACTATCCTCATTCAACCATAATCTAACTAAGGCATCTAATGGGTGGCTTTCCCTGGTGGAGGAGAAGAGAGAAGCTTAGGTGGCAGGTGGACTTGAGTTCAAAAGTAAATTGGCCAAAGTACTCATGTGAAAGTGAGCACGTCACTCCAGTTCTCTCAGTTTATTAATCTGTCAAATGGAGACAGTACACTTTCGTAGAACCGTTGTGAGAATGCAGTTGGACAATAGAGTGTTTGACGTATCGCTGTTCTCCATCATTATTCCCTTTTCCTTTCGAAATACATTCTCATGGATCCTTGTCTTGAAGGAGTGACCTGGATGGAGAGTTTGGGGGTGGATTATGATGGACCAGAGAAGTAGCTGTGGAAGATTTGGGGGCCAGGGGATCCGCTATTTAGCATTCTTTAATTCACATGCTATGAATGGTCCCTCTCAGCCCTTAGATTTCTACTTGTATTCAAATAAATTGCACAGCTAAAATAAAGAACTATTTTAGTCAAAATGGTCAGTTTTCAGAATAAATAGTTTTGATGTATGCTACAGCTCATGCATAAATTCAGACAGGTAGTAGACTGTCAGGCTGGGGACACAGAGATGAATGGAGCATCACCTTGTCTTTGAAGAGCTCACAGTCTAATGCTCAAATCCAGCCAGTGCCTTTCAAGGCTCTCCTGGGTTTTTCCTCCAGGACAGTGAGTGTAGGCATGGGCTCCTCTACCCAGCGTGGTTCTGCCAGGCATCTGTGATGTTGCCCCAGTTATCTGGATGTTCTTGACTGGGCCCCAGTTCACCTTCATATTGAAGAATCACGCTCCCTGGTAAAGAGAAGGAAATGAGTTTTGATTGGTGCCTGTGTTAGTCCATTTTCACACTGCTGACAAAGACATACTTAAGACTGGGTAATTTATAAAGAAAAAGAAGTTTAATGGACTCACAGTTCTACGTGGCTGGAGAGGCCTCACAATCACGGTGGAAGGTGAAAGGCACGTCTTACAGGGCAGCAGACAAGAGAGAATGGGAGCCACATGAAAGGGAAACCCCTTATACAACCATCAGATCTTGTGAGACTTGTTCACTATCATGAGAACAGTATGGGGAAACCACCCCTATGATCCAATGATCTCCCCCAGGGATGGTCCCTCCCACAACATGTGAGAATGATGGGAGCTTCAATTCAAGATGAGATTTGGGTAGAAATGCAGCCAGACCCTATCAGTGCCTTTTCTTCCCTTCTGTCCCCTCCACTTCTCCATCCTTCTCCTCATCATCCCATCTCCTTGCCTGTCTTTACCTGTCCTCTCTGAACAATGCAAATATTTCCATTTAAATCTATTATATGTTCTCTTTCTCTCTCTAATAAACATACTTTACTGTTGATGGGATTGATAGATGTTTCAGGTTACTTACTTGCAGAGAAGAAGGAAGTCTATCAGCTTTTATAAAGTTTTTTTTTAAGAGGCAGGGTGTATTAGTCCATTTTCACACTACTCTAAAGAAATACCCGAGACTGGGTAACTTGCAAAGGAAAGAGGTTTAATTGACTCACAGTTCCACTTGGCTGGGGAGGCCTCAGGAAACTTATGATCATGGCAGAAGGTGAAGGGGAAGCAAACTTGGGACTTCTCAGATGGTGGGAGGAGAGACAGTATGTGTGTGAAGGAGAAACTGTCAAACTCTTAGAAAACCATCATATCACATGAAACTGTCACAAGAACTGCATAGGGGAAATCACCCCATGATCCAATCACCTCCCACCAGGCCCCTCCATCAACACGTGGGGATTATGGGGATTATAATTCGATAAGAGATTTGGGTGGAGACACAGAGCCAAGTCATATCACAGGGTCTTGCTCTGTCACCCAGGCTGGAGTGCAGTGGTGTGATCATAGCTCACTGCAGCCTCAACCTCTGTGGTTCATACGATCCTCCTGCCTCAGCCTCCCAAGTAGCTGGGACTACAGGTGTGCACTAGCACACCTGGCTAATTTTTGTATTTTTTGTTTGTTTGTTTTGTAGAAATGGGGCCTCACTGTATTACCCAGTCTGGTCTTGAATTCCTGGGCTCAAGTAACTCTCCTGCCTTGGCCTCCCAAACTATTGGGAGTACAGGTCTGAGCTACTGTGCCTCACTTGTCAGCTTTGTGATAAAGCAGAGAGAAGCTGTATTAGTCTGTTCTCATACTGCTAATAAAGACATACCTGAGACTGGGCAATTTATAAAGGAAAGAGGTTTAATTGACTCAGTTCCACGTGGCTGGGGAGGCCTCACAATCACGGCTGAAGGCAAATGAGCAAAGTCACGTCTTACATGGCAGCAGGCAGGAAAGCTTGTGCGGGGGAACTCCCGTTTATACAACCATCAGATCGCGTGAGACTTACTCACTACCACAAGAACAGTATGGAGGCAACTGCCCCCATGATTCAATTGTCTCCACCTGGTACAAATCAAGGTGAGATTTGGGGCCAGGTGCAGTGGCTCATGCCTGTAATCCCATCACTTTGGGAGACTGAGGCAGGTAGATCACCTGAGGTCAGGAATTTGAGACCAGCCTGGCTAACACATAGTGAAACCCTGTCTCTACTAAAAAAAATACAGAAACTAGCTGGGCATGGTGGTGCACACCTGTAGTCCCAGCTACTTGGGAAGCTGAGGCAGGAGAAATGCTTGAACCCAGGAGGCAGAGGCTGCAGTGAGCTGAGACTGTGCCACTGCACTCCAGCCTGGGTGACAGAGCAAGACACCATCTCAAAAAAAAAAGAAAAGAAAAGGTGAGGTTTGGGTGGGGACACAGCCAAGCCATATCAGAAGACAAGCAAAGACACTGTACTCCATATTCTGTGATAATAGCAATGACAACCATAGCAGTTTTCTTTTTTGAGCACTTAATGTGTGCCAGGCATTGTGCTGCTAACATCTGTCTATGGATTAGTAACATAATTAATCAAAATAACCTCGGTGGGGAGGCATTATTATTATCATTATTTTTATTTTACAAGTCAGGCAGAAAGAGGTTAAGATAGCATGCCCAGGACTAGTAGGCAACAGAGCTGAATTTAAGTGCAGGGCCGAGGTCTGATCCCCAGTGGCCAGGCCCCTAATGACTGATCTCCTGACCCGGCCTGGAATGGGAGCACTATACCTTGGCTCATTCCCAGTAACTGGAGGATGCTTGATGGTCACATGTAGAGGCTGATCATTCCTCTGCTTGAATTGGGCATCGTAATAATGCCTTTCCTACATATCATGGCCACTTTCCCTTCCTGTCTCCAATTGTATAGGGAATTGCAGGGTAGGGAAGAGAGGACTCCAGGAGTATCTGATTTTGGTCTAGAGACTGATAAAAATGGGAAGTCCAGGGATCAGCAGGTGCCACCAGGGCAGATGTAAATGATGTCCTTGAGAAGCAAAGAATATTGAGAGTCCAGCCTGCCAAGGTTCGTGATGTCCGCTGCTGCCCACCCCTGCTGTTGCTGATATTGAATGGCAAGGCCAGAAGGCATGGGAACACCATCTGTGGGGGCTCCAGCAGGAAGAGAAAGCACTGGGAACCCATGTGCTCTTTTCGTCCTACAGATGGTCGAGACTTAGAGAGACAAGAACAGCCCCAATGTACTATTATTTTAGTTGCCCTGTCTTAGTTGCACAGGGAAGAGGACTTCAGCAGCTCCCAGGACTTGAATGTGAAGGACCCTGCAGTGGGGAGGCCGGGGGATCAAGGGAATCCCCAGGTGGCAGAAGGGGCCAGCAGCTGGGAGCCAGGCCCCAGAGTTTGTGCTGGCTCAAAGCATCAGTGGGCCAGTTGGAGACCGGGCTGTCTTACTCTGGTGGGGGTGGGGAGACATCTTTAGCATTTGAGGGGAGCATCTTTCTAGAGAAACAGCAGGGCATAGGACCTGTTTGGTGGACCTCACGTATTGGTGAGGTCACTAGCCACAGGTTGAACCAAAGGAAGTCAAAATGAGGACAGAGACCCCTCTCCGCACAGACATCGTCCAGTGACATAGAAATGATCTCCGCCTTCCTTTCCACCTGCCCTCCTTCCCCGAAGCCCAACCTGAAAGGAGTGGAGGAGAGAGACCATGAGGGAGGGTGAGGAGGAAGGCACTACAGAAACAGACAGCACCCTCTTTCCTGTCCTAAGCCCCCAGCTGCCCTGAGGAAGCATAAGAGCCATGAAAACAGAGTGAGTTCAGTGTTCTCAATTGAACCGGCCTAAATATCAATCACTGAAAATGACCTGGGCCGGATGGGGTGGGGTGGGGAGCGGGGGGCGGAGCACTTACACCTGTAATCCTAGCACTTTGGGCGGCCAAGGCAGGAGGATTGCTCGAGGCCAGGAGTCTGAGACCAGCCTGGGCAAAGTAGCGAGACCATGTCTATACAAAAATTAAAAAAAAAAAATAACCAAGTATGATGGCATGCACCTGTAGTCCCAGCTACTCAGGAGGCTGAGGCAGGAGGATCACTTGAGCCCAGGACTTTGAGGCTGCAGTGAGCTATGATCAAGCCACTGGTGACACAGTGAGACCCTGAATCTCTCTCTCTAAAAGAAGAAAATGATCTGAAAGTTAGGAAAATGATCTGAAAGTTAGGAAATTTGTCTAGGGAGGGAGATGTGGGTCCTCATCCTCTAACTGGGAGCCAGGACTGGATACATTTGACATTTGTATCTGCAATGAGCTGACCTTCTTCTGTGCACTAATCCACTAATGCTGCCATAACACACATTGTGCAAACTGTGTGCCATAGCATAGATTAAGTGGTTTAAACAAGAAACATTTATTTTTTCACAACTCTGGAGGCCAGAAATCCGAGATGAGCATGCAAGCAGCGTTGGTTCTTTCTGAGGCCTCTCTCCTTGGCTTGTCGAAGGCTGTCTTCTCTCTGGGGCCTCACAGTCTTTCCTCAGTCACATTCTGGGTGTGTCTCTGTCCATTTCCTCTTCTTTTAAGGACAGTGAGCACACCGAATTACGGCCCACTCTAATACCCTCATTTTAACTTAATTATCTTTTTAAAGACCCTTTCTCCAAATACAATCACATTCCAGGGTACTGGGGGTTAGGATGTCAACATATGAATGTGGTTACAGGGGACAGGATTTAGCCCATGACAGTCCATTAAATGTAAGTCCACTGTGTGCTTACATGGGGAAGTGTGCTATTTTCCTGGAGCACATGCTGCGTGCAGCCTGCCAAGGTTCATGACGTCCACTGCTGCCCACTCCTGCTGTTGTTGCTGATATTGAATGGCAAGGCCAGAAGGCATGGGAACACCATCTGTGGGGGCTCCAGCAGGAACAGGAAGCACTGGGAACCCAGGTGCTCTTTTTGTCTTACAGATGGCTGAAACTTAGAGAAACAAGAACATCCACAATGTACTATTATTCCATGAAAAGGGCAGTTTGCAAAACCGAAAGTACAGCATGATTGGATTTTAAAAGAATGTTTTTCAAAAAAGAAAAAGAATATGTGTATGCACATGCGTGTGGGATCATGCCTTTTCTCTGTGCAAGCAGAGAATTCAGACGTGAATGTCCGCAGTGGGGTAGCAGAGGTTATTCCTGAAGGCGGGAAGATGGGTGACTACCATTTTAACAATTTATTGTATTTGCTACATTTGCTACAATGAATTTGTTACTTTTGTGATATAAAAGAGAGAAAGAGGGCTGGGCACAGTGTCTCATACCTGTAATCCCAGCACTTTGGTAGGCTGAGGTGGGCGGATCACTTGAGATCAGGAGTTAGAGACCAGCCTGGGCAACATGGTGAGACCCCCGTCTCTACTAAAAATACAAAAATTAGCCGGGTCTGGCGGTTCACGTCTGTAATCCCAGCTGCTTGGGAGGCTGAGGTAGGAGAATCACTTGAGCCTGGTGGAGGTTGCAGTGAGCTGAGATCATACCACTCCACAACAGAGTGAGACTCTGTCTCAAAAAAATAAATAAAAGCAACAACGAAAGAGAGAAAGGGCTATGTAATATTGGAAAGAAACAGGAGGTGAATGTTTAGCGTCATAGTTGGAGTCAGTGAATGGAATTTGGATTTCTGAGCCAGGATTTAAAATGTCAGATTCATGGGTTTGGGAGTACTGAAGAGAATCAAGTGTACAAGGAGGAGATGAACATTTGCCCAGAGTCAAGATGGCTGGAATCAGAAGATCTGAATATGACTGGGGACTGGGGAGTAGAGGACGCTTTGTTGTGTCTGTGAAGCATCACATTAAGAGCAACTGGGCTGCCTCTGAAAACCCTGGAGAAGAATGTTCTTGCAGAAGCCAGATAACTCCATCAAAGAGATGAATAGGGTTGAAATAGATGACATTTAAGGTCCTTCCTAACTCTGAGATTCTGTGGTTTTGTGAAAATGTAGAAGCTCTGAGTTAAGCTACCTTTGAGGACATGGTGACATTTAATGCTAAAAGCATCTGTTGATGTTTTCTTTGAAATCTGCATTGTGCCAACTCCACCTGTAAGGATGACCTGCAGGACATTGGAATATTTTGTGAATCTCCATAGCAACTCTTTCAGCAGAAGTATTTTCTTTGGATGATCTGAAGACACAGGACAGCGAAGCATTTTTTTTTTTAAATCTCCATACCTCATGTCCAAGTTAACTGCTATTTAATTGAATGGCATTTCATTCTCAGACCGTCATCCCCTTACCTGAATGTTAATATTCTTACCTGCAACAAGGCCCCTATTGGGGCAGGGTTGGGGAGTGGAGTGGAGTCATGATTTACTGGTATTTTGCATGAACCAATAACATTTCCAAATCCCATCACTTTGAGAGGCTGAGATGGGAGGATCATATCACTTGAGGCCAGGAGTTCCAGACCAGCCTGGGCAACATAGCGAGACCTCCATGTCTACAAAAAGTAAAAATAAAATCACATTTCTAATCTCAGATGATGTTGATTTGTAGACATTATTGTAAGTGGGAGAGACTCAGTGTAACCTGAACCTAGTACAGTAAAGTGTAGGCTCAGATCACAGTGAGAGGAAATACCACATATAGCAGCATTTTCATTAATGATACGATTGTTTTATAATGAGTGCTCCAAAGATTCCAGGGAAATGCTTCCTTACACTCAGAATGTGTTGCAAAGAAGACTGTTTTCTCTGGCCTCCATCTGCCTGAAATGCACTCCCGATTTCTCTTCATCTATACAGATTTTACCTGCTCCTCCGGAGCCATTTCTAATCCACATTCTTCCTCCATCAAGCCAACACTGACTCACTGATATGGTTTGGCTGTGTCCCCCCACAAATCTCATCTTAAATTGTAGTTCCCATGATCCCTACATATCCTGGGAGGGACCCAGTGGGAGATAATTGGATCATGGGGGTGGTTACCCCCATGCTGCTGTTCTCATGATAGTGAGTTATCACGAAATCTGATGGTTTTATAAGGAGCTTTTCCTCCTTTTGCTTAGCACTTCTCCTGCTATCCTGTGAAGAAGAATGTGTTTGCTTCTCCTTCTACCATCATTGTAAGTTTCCTGAAGCCTCTCCAGCCATGCGGAGCTGTGAGTCAATTAAACCTCTTTCCTTTGTAAATTACCCAGTCTCAGGCAGTCCTTTATAGCAGTGTAAGAATGGACTAATACACTCGTCCATCCCAATTGATTGCTTTTGCCTATAAATTTCCTAGAGCAATTATTGACAATTAATTGCACCGCCTTGCCCTGTCTCCCTTATTACAGTCTTGAATGACTATTAATGTCTATTCTGTATGTTTGTGTCCTCCCATAGTGTTTAGCGAAGGGCTCCAAAAACAGCAGGCACTCAATAAAGGTTCTCTGATTTATTCAGAAGACCACTGTTTGTTGACTGCACGATGATTTTGAACTCAGCTGAGGCAGACCCTATTCGTGGTCCTCCTTGATCCTCCACCTACCACCATCATGAGTGACTTTGGTGTCTACAAAGATGTTCCTTCTAACACACTGGTCTCCCCAGGTCTCAACTTCCTCCTCTCTGTTGGCCTCCTGCATTTGTTCTCAGCCATCCAATCTTATGGCTACACCTCCAGAGCTTGTCATTACCTGCAAAGCAGTAACTCAGACACTCACCCCCTGCCACTTCCTTGCTTGTCCCACTGGCTGTCCTCCAAGCATCCTTTGCTGGCATCAGAACCTGCAGCACATTACTACTCTTTCTTCCAGGGCTCTTTCCTTTCATCACTTTCCCCTTATCTTTTAGATTCCGGGGACCCTCACTGCAGGGAAGATGGGCTCTGATCACCAACCCCAAGTGGCCGTTCACCATGTGGCCATGGTTAAGACAATTCCTACCACCATAGTAAGAGCCGTAGTTTAGCCACTCCTCCAAACCCCTGTCCTCTCTTCTCCCCCTTTACCATATCGATCTAGTTTAGATTCCAGGGCTCATCATTTCAATCATTCCTGTGCTCAATGCTCTTGTTCCACTGTCTTTTTAGTTTATTTATTTATTTTTTTGAGACAGATTCTTACTCCATTACCCAGGCTGGAGTGCAGTGGTGTGATCTTAGCTCACTGCAACTTCTGCCTCCTGGATTCAAGCGATTCCCCTGCCTCAGCCTCCTGAGTAGCTGGGATTACACGCGCTACCACCATGCTCAGCTAATTTTTGTATTTTTAGTAGAGGCAGGGTTTTCTCATGTTGGCCAGGCTGGTCTTGAACTCCTGGCCTCAAATGATCCATCCTCCTCAGCCTCCCAAAGTACTGGGATTACAGGTGTGAGCCACCGCGCCCAGCCTAGTTTAATTTTTTGAGACAGGGTCTCTTTCTGTCATCCATGCTGGAGTGCAGTGCTGTGACCATGGCTCACTGCAGCCTCAAACTCCTGGCCTCAAGTGATCCTCCAGCCTCAGCCTCCCGAGTAGCTGGGACTACAGGCATCTGCCACCATGCCTGGCTAACTTTAAAAAAAAGATGTGTGCAGATGGGGTTTTGCTATGTTGCCCAGGCTGGTCTCAAATTTCTGGCCTCAAGTGATCCTCCGGCCATAACCTTCCAAAGTGGTGGGATGAGAGGTGTGCACCATCATGGCTTCCCTCCTCTGTCTTTTTGTTGTATACAAATGGCAGGATCTCAACCCTAGATGGGTCTTCTCTGGCCAAAACCCATGTCCTGAGTGTTGATAGGGACTCTTAGTGCAGGGCAGACAGGCTCTGATCAACACCCCAAGCAGCCCTGCCCTCCACTCTGGCCATGGTTAAGGAAATGTTTACAGTCATATAGAGTGTCACACAGTTTTGCTACTCCCCCAAACATCTGTCCTTCCTTCTCCCTCTTTCTCACAACAAATGGCTGCATCTTCCATTGCACAGAGGAAGCAGGAGCCATCTCTCAGGAATCTGCTTGTCCTCAGGGTGGCAAAGACAAACTTAAAGATTACCATCCTCCCCTTCTTCCCTCCCATTTCACTAGAGAAGCCCTGTCTCCTCCTAAGCCCGACCCTTCAGCTGCACTCAGATTCCATTCCATGTCTTTGTAGTTTTGCACTGTTTATGGATAATCCCTTAACTCTCCTGTTTATTCAACCTTTCCCTCTCAAATGAATCTCTCCCACTGGCCTTTCAACATACGCAGGCTCTTGCATTAAAATCAAAGCAAAAAGAAGCAAATTAATTTCATATTTGCCAGCATCTACTCTCTTGCCCCTTATGACCAATCTTCACAACCTGTGCTGTGTCTATTCCTCACCACCCATTGATTTTTGCAGCAAATTCTTTTCCAAAGTTAATCACATTAGTATATCCCATCTTTCACAGTCTTGTTACGTGTGATGTTGACACTTTCTCCACTGAGAGATGGGGTCACATTCATCGGAATTGGGAGAATCTTTGTTATCTCAGCCAATGGAATATGGTGGAATGAGGTGGTTGCTGCCTGACCTTCTGGGTTTAGGTCATCCTTTAACATCTGTCAGATATGTCCTTCTTCACATGATGGCAGGAAGGAGAAGCACTGAGCAATACGGTGTGTGTATGTCTCTCTCTCCCTCCATGCATCTTGGGAGCCTTGAGCCAACATGTATGAAGGATGGCTTCCTCAAAGCCACCATGCTGGGAAGACCATGTGAACAGGAACTATAGACACAGAAAATGATGCCCAAGGAGCTCCTGGTGTTTCACCCTCACTGTTTCAATCTTCCCAGTGTCAACCACGGATGTGAAGAATACCTTAGATGATGCCAGCACCCAGCCTTGGAGTCACCCATCTCAGACTGAGTAGAACAGAGACAACCATCCTTACTGAGCTTGACCCCCAATTGTAGATTTGTGAACAAATATATTGTTTTCATAAACTAAGTTTACAATAATGTGTTCCACAGCATGAAGTTGCCGAAACAGCCTCTGACTTCACCCCAGGATATCAGTTTGCCCCATCAAGTGCTTGAGATGGCTCTTAATAGGCACACCGTGTTACTAAGTCAGACATTGTTGAAATGTCTGCTTTCTTGGTCATTAGCCCCCTGCACTGTTGATCACCCACCCTGAAATACTGATTCCTTGGTATCCACTGTATTACCCTCATCTGGACTTTTTCAGCATTCTTCTTACTTGTTGGGCTACTTTTTTCCCCATGATTCTGTCCACAGCTATTAAATGCTGAAATCCTTCAAGACTCACACCTAGACTTCCTTGTCTTCTCACTCCAAGCTTTCTCCCTAGGCAATTCCCTACACGATCACATGTCAATGATCACTTCTATGCATGAGTCATAATTTACATCACTTTTCTGAGCCAGGGTCTCGCTCTGTCACCCAGGCTGGAGTGCAGTGGCGTGATCTCAGCTCACTGCAACCTCTGCCTCCCAGGTTCAAGCTATTCTCCTGCCTCAGCCTCCCGAGTAGCTGGGACTACAGGCACACACCACCATGCCTAATTTTTGTATTTTTAGTAGAGACAGGGCTTTGACATGTTGACCAGGCTGGTCTTGAACTACTGACCTCAAGCGATCTGCCCACCCCGGCCTCCCAAAGTGCTAGAATTACAGGCATGAACCAGTGTGCCTGGCCTATATCACTTTTCTGAGCTCCTGACCCATAGATCCAGTTTCCTACTGGGAATTATCTCTTGGGAATGTCAAAGGTACCTGAAATTCAATGTAGCCAAGATTTCAGTACTGTATTCCTCTTTCTACCTGGTCTGCCTTGCAGGTTCATGAGAGTGTGTTATTGTCCAGGGGTAATTCTACCCAGTGTTTTAGTGAGACAGATGATGTTCCTGCCTTCCTGGAGCTTTTATTCTAGGTACTTAGAACAGATAGTCAAAATACATAAATACGTTAATAAGGGCTGGGCACCGTGGCTCACGCTTGTAATCCCAGCACTTTGAGAGGCTGAGGCGGGCAGATCACGAGGTCAGGAGTTTGAGACCAGCCTGGCCAATACAGTGAAACCCCGTCTCTACTAAAAATACAAAAAATGGCCAGGCGCGGTGGCTCACGCCTATAATCCCAGCACTTTGGGAGGCCGAGGCGGGCGGATCATGAGGTTAGGAGATTGAGCCCATCCTGGCTAACACAGTAAAACCCCATCTCTACCAAAAATACAAAAAATTATCCGGGCATGGTGGCGGGAACCTGTAGTCCCAGCTACTCGGGAGGCTGAGGCAGGAGAATGGTGTGAACCCAGGAGGCGGAGCTGCAGTGAGCCGAGATTGTGCCACTGCACTCCAGCCTGGGTGACAGAGCGAGACTCCATCTCAAAAAAAAAAAAAAAAATTAGCTGGGCTTGGTGGCAGACGTCTGTAATCCCAGCTACTCTCGGGAGGCTGAGGCAGGAGAATTGCTTGAACCTGGGTTGCGGAGGTTGCAGTGAGCCGAGATCGTACCGCTGCACCCTGGGCGACAGAGCTAGACTCCGTCTCAATAAATAAATAAATAAATAAATAAATAAGTGAACTAAAAGAGGGTGACAAACAGCAGACAGTGAATTAGACAAAGGTAATTTGTCAAATTTGCTGTCTGCTATTTATCACTCTCTTTTGGTTTACTTATTTACATATTTTACATAGTTTACTTGCATATTTTAATTAGTTTACTTATTTACATATTTTGCAGTTTATTTACATTTTTTTACCTAGTTTACTTATTTACATATTTTGCATAGTTTACTTATTTACATAGTTTACTTATTTACCTAGTTTACTTATTTACATATTTTACTTATTTACAAATTACCTTTGTCAAATTTGCTGTCTGGTATTTTTCAGTCTTTCAGTTTACTTATTGGGCCTGGCATGGATTCAGGGCAGTGTCAGAAAATACCCTGAATTCTGCCCTCTCTCTGTGGCCCGTCACCTCTCAATGCTACGTCCTGAATAGCTCTCAGATCTCTCTATGCACCTCTGCTGCAGCTACCCGAGGTCATACCATTGTCATCTCTCCCCTGGGTCTCTCTGCTGTAGCCTTTGAACTGGTTTGCTTTCATCCCCTCCTGACATTCTCCAGCATATATCCCACACTGCAATCTTAGGGCAAGTTGGATCACACCCCACACGCTGTTGTGTGCATACACTGCATCATGTAGTGGCCCCTCCTTGCTTTATAGGATTAAAAGTCTGATCTCTTACTTGACCCACAGAACCCAGTGTGCTCTGGTCTTTTCTTTCTCTTTATCCCCAATTTGAACAGTTTCGCTTCTCTTCCACCTCGTGGCCTTCCTCCTCTTCTTCCTGCCACATCTTCCCCAGGCCACAGGACCTTTGCACGTGCTAGTCCCACTGTTGGCATCTCATATCTTCCCTCTCCTGCCAGTGAATTACTTCTCATCCCTCAGAAGTCAGCTCTCCTGGGGCCAGGCACAGTGGCTCACACCTGTAATTCTAATACCTTGGGTGGCTAAGGTGGGAGGATCACTTGAGGCCAAGAGTTCAAGACCAGCCTGAGCAACATAGTGAGACCCCATCTCTACAAAAAAATATAAACATTAGCCATATGGGGTGGCACATACTTGTTGTCCCAGCTACTTACGAGGCTGAAGTGGGAGGATTGCTTGAGCCTGGGAGTTCAGGGCTGCAGTGAGCCATGATCTTGCCACTGCTCTCCAGCCTGGGTGACAGCGTGAGATTCTGTCTCAGAAAAAGAAGTCAGCTCTCCTGGAGAACCTCCTCGGCATTCCTGAAGAGGTCCCATTACCCCATTATGTGCTCTTGGAAGGCCATGTGCTTCTCCTGCCATGTCCAGCTTCAGTGATTCTGCTGTTAACTATGTGAATATTTGAGTATATTTTCCCCTTCAACACAAGCCCTTGGCAGGCTCTTTATAAGTGCCTCCCCTCAGAGAACTTATTTAAAAAGGTGAGAACAGAAAGAGAAGTAATTACTTCTGCTTTTGGGGCACCAAGCATTTAGCTCTCTGATTGTCCAGCCCAACATTTCTCTTAGCTCCATAATAAGCTTCATATACACTTGAGATTCAGAAGCCACAGGCCCCATTGTGTTGATCTCTCTTTCTCTGCCTCTTGGCTACAGCAAAACCAAGACTCAAAACCAAGGGAGAAGTATTTCTTTGATACACAAGTTTCTTTCCTTTGGATAAATACCTAGTAGTAGTGGCATTGGTGGGTGGTATGGTAGTTCTGACCATTACACCTTCTATGCATGTAACAAAATATCACTAGGACTCCATATGTATTTGCAAATATTATGTATCCATAAAAAATAAAATTGGAATTCACAGTTCTAAAATCAAACAGGAGGACACTAGCTGGGGCATAGAAGGAATTTTTATTTTATTTTATTTTATTTTATTTATTTATTTTGAGATGGAGTCTTGCTCTGTCGCCCAGGCTGGAGTGCAGTGGTGCAATCTTGGCTCACTGCAGCCTCCGCCTTCTGGGTTCAAGAGATTCTCCTGCCTCAGCCTCCCGAGTAGCTGGGATTACAGGCACCTGCCCCCACGCCAGTCTAATTTTTGTATTTTTAGTAGAGACTGGGTTTCACCATATTGGCCAGGCTGGTCTCAAACACCTAACCTCAGGTGATCTGCCCACCTCGGCCTCCCAAAGTGCTGGGATTACAGGCGTGAGCTACCCTACCTGGACTTAGGAATATTAATTTTTTACATATAATTTTATGTTTTAATTAACAAATAATAATTGTATATATGTATGGGGTACATAGAGATGTTTCAATACATGCAATATGTAGTAATCAAATCAGGGTAGTTAGCGTGTCTATCATCTCAAACATTTGTCATTTCTTTGTGTTGTACTGGTACATGCAATATTTTCCTTCCAGCTATTTGAGACTATATATTATTGTTCCCTGTAGTCATCTTCCAGTGCTATAGAACACTAGAACTTATTCTTCCCATCTGTTAGGTTGGTGGCAAAGTAATTGCCATTGAAAGTAATGGCAAAACCGCAGTTACTTTTGCAGCAACCTAATAGTTGTAATTTCAAAGGAAGGATTTTTAAAAGCACATTCAGGCCAGGTGCAGAGGCTCACGCCTATAATCCCAGCGTTTTGGGAGGCTGAGGTGGGACGATCGCTTGAGGCCAGGAGTTCCAGGCCAGCCTGGACAACATAGTGAGACCCCATATTTACAAAACAACTAAAAATTAGCTGGGCATAGTGGTGCACACCTGTACTCCCAGTTACTTGGAAGCTGAGGCAAGAGGATCACTGGAGCCCAGGAGGTCGAGGCTGCAGTGAGCCATGATTACACCACAGCACTCCAGCCAGGATGACAAGAGTAAAACCCTGTCTCTAAATAAATAAATAAGTAAATAAAATAAAAGGCACATTCAACGCACCAAAAAGTCTACTGTTAAGCCTTCAGCCTGCTTCATCCCTCCCTTGTCTTGACATACAGTTTTGAGCCTGAAGTTATTTGGCAATTTATTTTTTTATATACAATGAAAATTAAATTCAGCTAAAATGAGGAAAACACTTGGTATGTATCTATACAATCTAGGTGATTTCTGATTTCTGGAGAAAACCTTGTCACAGGTCCAGAATAATTAGGAGATAGTTCTGCTGGAACAGCTGCCTGGCAGTCAGCACTCACCCTGGGTCCGCCTTTGACCCCTTGAGTTTGAATTTTTTTGGCCAGCCTTGGCACACTAAGAAAATTAAACCTGCCTGTGTCTATAGACGCCACTGGGCCCTGAGCCAATGCGTTGGTTAATCTTCGAGCCGTGTCCCTTTAATGCAGCATGAATTTGCATCTTCTGATTACCTGTTTATTACCTGTCAGGTAAAAGAGTGATCTAGAACACTGCACACTTGCCCAGAGTTGGGAAGGAACTGGGAGGTGTTTGCATGCAGGATGAAGAAGGAAGCTCCTCTCTCAAATGATAAGCCTAATTGTTTTAAGCAGGAGGATTTCAAGTTCCCCACGCCTCAGATCAGCATGCAGCTCACAGGCTTTGTTAAGCTTGTGTGACAGAATAATCTCCTTTGTTCAATGCCCGAGGAGGATATTTTCTGCATTATTAGACAAGTCAATGAAGATAAAACAAAATATTAAGTATTTTAAGCTGCGCCAGTCCACCCCGAAGAAATTAAGCCCCCTCATTCTAATTGTGCCTAGTTTCCTTGCCGTAATGAGATGGAGGCTGAGCTGCTGGAATGAGGGGCTTCCTGCAGGCCTGCATGCCCCCCAGTCATTGGAGTGAACCTCTCCTTTCCTCTGCTTAGTTTCTTTCCCTGGGGGAATTTTTAGAGCCAGAGACCTGGTCTCCAGGCGAGGCAAGAAATAAACGCAACCTCCACCGTAAGCGTGTGACATTGATCAGCATATTTTTAAAAAGGTTTCCATGTCTGTTGCAATTACGTGAAACCAGCTAATCCTGGATCTAAGCTTTGGCAGCTTGGAAATATTAGAGCAATTTGGCATCCAGATTCCATCATGCAAAGATTTGTGGTCTTGTGTTTGTATCTGTGACACTGTATAATTTCCAATTGGCTTTTAAGAGACAGAAACCTGGATGCCGTTGGCTAAACAGTGAGAGCATTTGCCTGCCTTTCTGCCTCCTTGGAAGCTAGAGCAGTCATTAAAAACTAGAGAAGTGAGCACACGCAGCACCCCCCGGCCCATGGGTGGTTAGCAGACTCTCGGGGTGTTACTGGAGCTGCTATCATTGTGGGTGTAGGAGATGATTGCAGGTCCTCGCCGGCACCAGCTCTGAGGAACCCAGGTGCTCCAAGTCCCCAGCCTTCATGCCCGGGCTGTGGGGGCCAAAGGGACCCTGGAGGGCGTTTTACTATCTCCCTGCTTCACTTCCCTCCAGAAAACTGTGTTCCTTCCCCAGTGACAGACTTCACACCCAGGAGCTCCCTGGTTGTGGGGCCGCTGGTTTTGCAGTTTGCTTAGAGTCTTTTGCCAGGTTCTGGAGCTTCAGAAGTTCCCAGGAAGGTACCCTGGACACGTTCTTGTGCGTGCGCTCGTGTGCATGTGTCTGTGTGTGTATGCGTGTGCATGCCCGTTCCCGTGTGTCTGCGTACATACAGCCTCTCACCTGCTTTCTCTTCCAGCCACTCCACCATAAAAACAGTTTCCGACTTAAAAATTGTTTGCCTTACGATGGTTCGACTTAACGATTTTCCCACTTTGCAAGGGTGTGAAAGCAATACACATTCAGTAGAATCCGTACTTCGAGTACCCATCCAACCATTTCTGTTTTTCGCTTTCAATACAGTATTCAATAAATTACATGAGATATGCAACACTTTATTATAAAATAGTCTGTGTTAGATGATTTTCCCCGACAGCCGGCTAATGTAAGTGTTCTGAGCACATGTAATATAGCCTAGGCTAAGCTGTGATATTCTGGAGATTAAGTACAGGAAGTGCATTTTCCACTTAGGTGTTCCAAGTCCCCACCCTTCAGCTTAGGATGGGTGTATGGGGATGTAACCCCAAGCATAAGTGGAGGAGTGTCTGTATACTCAAGCTAACCCCTATCTCTGTTAATACTTGTGCTCAGCCCCATTCTGGGTATTTATAATTTGCTATCTCATTTAATCCTCACAAGTATGTTGACCAAGTGGGTATAATTATCTCTGTTGTGTAGCTAGGGAAACACTTGGCTTTCCTGAGCCTTAAACTTGCCCGTAGTCACATAGCTCATAAGTTTGTCACAGGAGCTAGGATTCAAACTAGAGCCTGTATCTTTTTTGGGATGCTCCCAAAGAGCCTGAGGCTAGGATCTGGGCATGCAATTCCTTTGGGAGCTGATCCCAGAAAGCACTGTCAGGGGAAGGGAGGCAGGACATGGGAACAGAGAGATGGAGGCTTAATTGGGTCACTGCTATGGGCAGCTGGGGTTCAACCTGCCGGAGATCCCCAGAGAAACGGGATGCAGCATCCTTCAACACTGCCCCAAGAGAGAAGAGGACACTGGGGGTCTTTTGTTTTTCTTAATTAGCTTTATTGAGATATAATGTACATGACATGCAATTCTCCATTTAAAGTGTACAATTTTTTTTTTCTTTAGACAGGTTCTCTGTCTCTCATTCAACCTGGAGTACAGTGGTGCAATCATAGCTCACTGCAGCCTTGAACTCCTGGGCTCAAGCAATCCTCCTGCCTTGGTCTCCCGAGTAGCTGGGGCTACAGGTGTGCACCACTGCGCCTGGCTAATGTTTTTTAATATTTTGTAGAGATGGGGCCTTGCTCTATTGCCCAGGCTGGTCTCAAACTCCTGGCCTCAAGTGATCCTCCCACTTTGGCCTCCCAAAGTGTTGGGATTACAGGCATGAGCCACTGCACCTGGCCCCTGAAATGTAAAATGTAATGGCTTTTAGAATATTCACAGAATTGTGTGTCCATCAACACAATCCATTTTAGACCATTTTCATTACCTCAGAAAGAGACCCCATACTTCTTAGCTATCATCTCTCAGCCCCTCCATCCCTCCCAGCCCTAGACAATCACTAATGTACTGCCTGTCTGTAGATTTGCTGAGGTTTTTGTCCACCCAAATTTTGTCCTCCATCAGTTGGGTCATGCCTGGGTGCTAATTTCCTGCCACTTCCAACTTGCCTCAGAGTGCAGACTCATAGGCCAAGGTCATAATCGCTGGGAGAACACGGAATCCACCCAGATCAAAAGGCCCTGGAAGCCAAGGGCTTCAGCAGGTGTAGGGAGACCTCAGGGATGCAGGCCAGGTCCTGACAGTGTCTCCTTACCAGGCTTCCTCTCCATTCTTCTCATTCAGGGGTCTCTTTTGCATCCTTCTCTTTAAATTGTGCCTTTTATTCTTAAGCTCCAGGGAGGCTGTTATGAAAAGCCTGTCCTCATGATGTTCATTCTATTGATTGCATCCTCTTCCCAGGTAGGAAGGGAATGTTGGTTTGGAGAAGAAGGTCAGGGTATGCCTGTCTGAACTGAGACCTGCAAGATGAGGTTGGACCAGCCGAGGCTGGATGCAGTGCCTCACACCTGTAATCCTAGTACTTTGGGAGGCCGA
Organism: Homo sapiens; assembly: GCF_000001405.40. NCBI lineage: Eukaryota > Metazoa > Chordata > Mammalia > Primates > Hominidae > Homo > Homo sapiens. Next base: position 71,510,941 of record NC_000007.14, read on the forward strand.
GGCAGAAGGATCCCTTGAAGCCAGGAGTTCCAGATCAGCCTGGGCAACATAGTAAGACCCCATCTTCACAAATAATAATAATAATGATAGAATTAGCCAGGCATGGTGGTGCACACCTGTAGTCCCAGCTACTCAGGAGGCTGAGGCAGGAGGATCACTTGATCCCGGGAGGTCAAGGCTGCCGTGAGCCATGATCATGCACCATACTCCAGCCTGGGTGACAGAGGAAGACCCTGTCTCTAAAAAAGAGAGAGAGATGGACCCAGCTTAGCAGGACAGGGCCGAGCATCTCAAGCAGTGGGTTCGAATGCACAGACAAGGAAGTGGGAATGGGCTTGGATTTGGCAAGGATCAGATAGGAAACCAGGGTGCCTGGAGTGTGGGTAATAGGGGTTGAGGGGCAGAATGAGGTTAGGGGAGAGCGTGAGAGCAGCAGATCCTGCAAGCAACCCTCGTGGCCCTAGGCAATTTTATTGCAACAGCAATGGGAAGCCTTTTGAAGACTTTCACGCAGTGGCACAGCCTGATCTGATTTCCTGTTGAGACCTAGTTCATTTGCCTAGGACTTCATCCCTTTAGCAATGGATTCCTGCAAGGCTTCTCCAGCCCCATGTGGCCCTTGTCCAGCCATTAAACTCCAGTCCTAGGACATGGGCCCTGTCACTAGCACCCCTGCTAGCCTAAGTATCACTTTATGCAAATTAGGCAAAAGTACCCTTTTTGAAGACCCTTTCCTGCCATCTACTGGAAAACCATCATCATTAATAAATAAGTCTACCATAGTGCCCCCTATAGTTGGGCAGTGCACAACCTCCACAACCTTAGGTGGCAGTCCTGCATATCACCCACAACAGACATCTCTGATGCTGTTGCTTGGATTGCCCAGGGGTCCCTTCTCTTGTCATATTTCCCAGAGTTGTGCTTCTGCTAGACATTTCTGGTAGTCACTGCCATGTACCACAGTACTCTTAGGACACATGTCCCATCTGCCAGGATCAAAAGGAATTTTTCCTTCTATCTGCAGTTAAGTCTCAACACTAACCCTATGTCAATGTACTAATTTGGGTTCCAGCCTTTTTTTTTTTTTTTTTGAGACAGAGTTTCACTCTTGTTAACCCAGGCTGATGTACTGACTCACTGCAACATCCTCCTCCCAGGTGTAAGCGATTCTCCCGCCTCAGCCTCCCAAGTAGCAGGGACTACAGGTGTGTGCCACCATGCCTCCTAGCTAATTTTGTATTTTTAGTAGAGACAGGGTTTCACCTTGTTACGCAGGCTGGTCTCAAACTCCTGACCTCAAGTGATCCGCCCGCCTCACTCCTCCCAAAGTGCTGGGATTATAAGTATGAGCCACTGTGCCCGGCCCTGGGTTGCAGCCTTCTGACATCATGGAAGTTCCCCTTCTTTGCTCTCTGTGTCGTGACACGTGACAGTGAGAGGTAGCCCAGGGTAGCTGTTCTTCTGTCTGGGTGGACATGCCCTGACTTCCAGCTCCTTAGGAAAGCCTAGCTGTCTCTGACTCATAAAAGACCTCCAAGTCGTCCACCAGCCTTCTGGGAAGATGTTCTTTGAAAAACCGCTTCAGTCAGCTTGGGCCATGAGCAGAAATGTTCAAGACGGCAACGTTGCTTCTCAGCTCTTTCTGTTTCTCTGCTCTGATGCCCCTTCAGAGATGAACGTGAGAGACCATTGAGGCTGGAGCTATTTTTCAGGGCTCTCTGGTCCACCCCCTGGGAAGTGGCCCACTTTGGCTGTGCCCCAGTTATTCTGGTAATGAACTGTGCCCAGGTACTGCCCTAGGCATTGTTCCCTCTCTCTGTTCTGACAACCAGGCACAAACTTGTCTCCTTGTATGCAAGGGGAAGGCAGTGGTGGAGTGGGGAGAATGAGGAGAATCAGGCCTGAGGCCCAGGTCGGCTGTCAAGGGAAACATTTCATGATTGTCAAATGGGCCAAGATTCCTTTAGCTCCAACCTGGCCTCCTCTTTTTTGAGCACTGAAATTTCTCAAAATGGCAAATGGAAACTGAAACACTACATTAAATAGCATTTCTGTGCAATTAAAACACATTAAAATGGCAATTAAGTTTCACAAACAGCCTTTTCTGTGTTCTCGGGTTGATTAAGCTGTTTGTGTTGTTTTTCAGGGATGGTTGTTGTAACTAAAGGCTGAGCTGTCTTTTATGGATTGGGCCGTTCCCTAGGAGTCAAGGAACCCTGAATTCCAACTTTTATTCCTCTCTTGGCAATTTCACTTTATTTTCATTTGCAGCTCTTTATTAGTCTGTGAGAACAGACTAATACACCACTCCACGATTGGAAAATTTACACATATACAAAAGTAGAGAGAAAAATATAACAAACTTCCCTGCACCCATCACCCAGCTTGAACGATTATCAACTCATGGCCAATCTTCCCTTGGTGTTTTTTTTTGTTTTTTTGTTTTTTTGTTTTTTGGTTTTTGAGACTGAGTCCTGCTGTGTCGCCCAGGCTGGAGTGCAGTGGCACCATCTTGGCTCACTGCAACCTCCGCCTCCCCAGTTCAAGCGATTCTCCTGCCTCAGCCTCCCGAGTAGCTGTGACTACAGGCATGCTCCACCATGCCTGGCTAAGTTTTGTATTTTGAGTAGAGACAGAGTTTCACCATGTTGGCCAGGCTCGTCTCTAACTCCTGGCCTCAAGTGATTCGCCCACTTCGGCCTCCCAAAGTGCTGAGTCTACAGGTGTGAGCCACTGCTCCCGGCCCCTTGGCTATTTTTTTTTTTAATCCTTTAAGGTACTAGTTAACTTTTCCTAGGAGAAAAAGTATGTAGGAAAATTTAGTAAGAGAAATTGACATGGAAGAAAGGCTTTCTGTATCCTGGGACTGTGGGTTCAATGATAATTGAGACAAATGGCACTGCTGCTCTGTAGAGTGTAAGGTCTGGTTGGGAAAACAGATGAGTCAATTACAGGAATTCACAGTGGAGAGCTGGGCATGGTGGCTTATGCCGGTCATCCCAGCACTTTGCAGGGCCGAGGCAGGAGGATCATTTGAGACCAGGAGTTTGAGACCAGCCTGGGCAATACAGCAAGACTGTCTCTACAAAAGCAAAATTTAAAAATTTAGCCGGGCATGGTGGCATGTATCTGTAGTCCTAGCAATTCAGGAGGCTGAAGCAGGAGGATTGCTTGAGCCCAGGAGGTCAAGGATGCAGTGAGCTATGATCATGCTACCACACTCCAGCCTAGGTGATAGAGCAAGACCCTATCTCAAAAAGCAACACCACCAACAAAAAACTGCATGATGGGGTAGGTGATATGACTCTAAGAGGCATTATGGGAGCACACTGGCGCAGCTGGGAACGATCAAGGATGGCACTGTGGTCTAACCTGACCCAAAGAGGTAGACGCTAGCCAGGTGAAAGGTAAGGTACCCTTACCAGGTGAAAGGTAAATGAACCCTATTGAGCTCATAAACAGTGGGGGGTGGAGGGCCCTTTTTGGGACCTGGGGTACTGCTGTCCCCAGTGCCTTCCTTGAGATGTAGGCACTGAGTCCTGATGGATCTACTATTGTAAATCTCTACCATCTGTCTTTCTTTTCTCCAGCCCATCCTCATCCAATACCCATCTCATCATCCATCTCTTTTGGTAAAAATCTCCTAACGGGCCCCAGGACCTCCATGCCTGTCTAGCCTGTCACTGGAAATCTAGTTTGTCTTTCTGAAATGTGTTCTAATCTTAATTCCTTGCTCAGCCTGACTCTGTCTCTAATGGCTTCATTTCTCTAAGGTATACATTCAAACTTCTTGGTTTGCAGTTGCCAAAATTACTGTCTTGCTTTGATCAGTTTCAGTTGGGCAGTGAATCATCCCTCACCAGAGCCTGACCACCTGATATGGTTTGGCTGTGTCCCCACCCAAATCTCATCTTGAATTGTAGCTCCCGTAATTCCCACGTGTTGTGGGAGGGACCTGGTGGGAGATAATTCAATCATGGAGGCAGTTTCTCCCATACTGTTCTTGTGATAGTGCATAAATCTCACGAGATCTGATGGTTTTATAAGGGGTTTCCCTTTTCGCTTGGCTTTCATTCTCTCTTGCCTCCTGCCATGTAAGATGTGCCTTTGCTCCTCCTTCACCTTTTGCTGTGATTGTGAGGCTACCCCAGCCATGTGGAACTGTGAGTCCGTTAAACCTCTTTTTCTTTATAAATTACCCAGTTTTAGGTATGTCCTTATAGCAGTGTTAGAACAGACTAATACACCACTCCATGATTGGTTCACAAAGGATACAAAGAGAGAGAAATGCCTTAGGAGCTGGGGAGAGGCTCGGGTTGGCATTGCATTTCTGGGACTACACATCTCCCTCAACCCTGAGTCCACTGGACTGTGCGTCTGCCAGGAGATTCCTGCTAGTGGAATGCAGCTGGAAGGGGATGGAGGGGACAGTCCTGTGTCTACATTACTAGTCTTGTACTGAAGCTTCTTAATTATGTAACAAGCTACATCACCTAAGTTTCTCTCTGTCTTTTACTTTCTCCTGAGTGGGCTTTGTGGTCAAGAAAGGACTTCATCAGACGCAGTGATAGTGTCTTTCGAGGTTGGGCTTCTAAGGAGCACTCCCTGAGGTTCTGATTAGACCCTGGATAGCACCCGCACTCCCTACTCATGGATACAGGCCCTCTTTAAATTGGCTCATCTTTCTTTAAATCTCTGTTCCTTTCCCCATGGGGAGAGGAGAATTATCACCTTCCTCATTCAGATAATTGAGGAATTTAGTACTTGCTTATGTAAACCAAAAAGTATCTGAGACAGGTCTCAATCAATTTAGAGGTTTATTTTGCCAAGGGTGAGGATGCGCCCAGATAAAAAGAGACAAAAATTACAGTAGGATCTGGGACCTGTGTTTTTTCCAAAGAGGGTTTTGAGGACTTCAATATTTGAAGGGGAAAGAGCGGCAGGGTGGGAAGGAGGAAAGAGAAAGAAAGGGAAGGTAGGTAGTGAGATAAGTAGTCACTTTCTCGTGAGGCTTTCATTAGCACTCACTGGATCCACGTGTTGCATATCAAAGGAGGGAGGGGATAGAGGAGCAGCCGATTATGCATTTATCTTGCAATCGGTCAACTGCATTTTGCATAAGATGAACATATGGTAGAGGAAGAAGTGAGATACGCATTGGACTCTTGGTGGACAGAGGGATGATTTCTAGTTTTGTCTTTCTCCAGAATCTGTAAAGGTAGGATTTTAATTTATGTTGTCAGGGTGAAGGAGGCCATTTGGGGAGATAAGTAACCTATCTTGCAGCTTTCCATTTAGGAAAAAAAAAGGGAGGCAGTTTTTGCATGATTCACTTTCCAAGCTTAACTTTCCCCTTTGGCATAGTGAGAATGTATTTTCCTTTCCCGCTCAGAATCTACCATGATTAGTAGCAGACAAAGATTAGGACTTGAGTCACACTTTTTCGGAGGAGTGATGGAGCAGCCCTTGGTACGTGATGATGGGATCAGCAGTAGAACCCCTTAATTCCAGAACTGGAGTGGAGGAGTTGATTGCAGTACACCTGGACATCTAAGGGATAGAGAAATAGCCCTTCTTCTATGCTTTCTCTCCTGTCTCCTGGGTAGCTTGCTGTAGATCTTAGGGTCTACTTCAGAATGCAGGAGGGGTGCAGGTATACATCTTGTGCTCTGCAGGTGTATAGGGTTCCTTGAAGAAAATAGGAACTTGCAGGGGTGATTTGAGTGACTTGAGATCAGCCCAAGGGCTGGGCAGGTGCTTTTCTTCCAGAGCAGCTCTGCCTACCAAGCCTGTGCCATGGATGCTCTCCATTTCTCCCCATTCTGCCCATGCTCCCTGTCACCTGGAGCAGCATCTCTGCTCTAACTCAAGATTTCTACCTCCAAGATAACTACTTTTATCCTTCGTGGCTAAACTTCCTATGTTTGACCTACCAAGAAAACAATTACAGCCTCCCAGGGTCATGCTTGGTTTCTCTGCACTCAGAGCACACAACACCCTCAGTGGAATCTCCTGAGCCACCTGGGATAAATGTCTTCCTGGCCAACATTTATATTCTATTTCTTGTCGCCATTGCTCAGAGCTTGAAGTCACCCCAGGGGCTCCTTTACAGTAATGTGGGGATGTCAAAGTTCTCATGTCTTAGCTTAGGCGACCGTAACAAAAATACCATGGACTAGGCAGCTTAAACAACAGACATTTATTTCTCACAGTTCTGAGGCTGGGACATTCAAGGTCAGGGCACCAGCATGGTCATTTTCTGATGGCGCTCTCTTCTTGGTTTGCAGCAGCATACCTTCTGGCTGTGTCCTCACATGGTGGGAAGAGGGAGGGCTCCAGTCCTTTCTTCTTCTTACAGGATACTAATTTCATCATTGGGGCCCCACTCACATCACCACTTTGAAACCTAATCACCTCCCAAAGTCCTGACCTGCCACTACCATTATACTGGGTGTTAGCACTTCAATATAGGAATTTTGGAGCACACAAACACTCACTCCATAACATCTTTGGGAGAGGGCCAGTGTTTCCCCTGCTGTTTTAGCCCACCTTACCTTGATTTTACTGTGTAGCTTTTTAAAATATAGGAATGACAGAACTTTGGAGTGTCCTTCTAGCCAGCATTTTTTAAATTTAATTTGCAATCATATGGTGGTTGCTTTTCCTATTAGATTAGACATCACTACTATATAAGACTCCAAGAAGGATATAGGATAATGGAGTTCAAGCATTTAATAAAAAATATTCACTGACTGTCAGCTCTTTGCCAGGGGCTGTTCTAGGTTTAGAGAAATTGGTGGTGATCAATACAGGGAATAACCTTTTTTCCATGGCACTTACACACTACAGTAGGGAGATAGACATGGAAGCATCTAACTCCCAAGTAAACAAAAACAGAAAACCTGAGCCTGTGATGAAAGTTATGCAGAAAGTTGGATATGGTGTCATAAGTGTGACACATGGGGACCACTGCAGGTGCAAATGACAGGAACAATGAGCTGTGGGGAACAGGTTTGGGTGACGAATTCTTATCTCAGAGGGAGCAGCTCATGAAAGGCCCCTGGGGGAGACAGCATATGTCCCTGGTCTGGGAACTAGATGCCATCCAGGGTGGCTGGAGCAAGTGAGAGGAGAAGAAAAAGAGGACAGGGCCAGGTCATGCATTCCTTCCTTGCCAGGACATGGAAGCAGCATTTTATTCTTAGCTCAAGGGAGACATCTTCAGAGGGTTTTAAGCAGGAGCATGGCATGATCTGATCTAATTTATAAAAATAGAAATACCGTGTGAGAATGCTCATCAGTAATTTCTACCTCAGGCATCTTCTTTCTTATTTTCTACTGAGTCTGTACATTTCCTGTTTCCCTTGGTTTCTAAAGAAAACAATTATCTTCATATCATCATTTCTACTTGTTCTTTCCTTTGGGATCCAGGATCTAATCTGAAAATTGCTTTCCCCAAGGAACTCTGGATGGCTGATGTACCATCACTTCAAGCCATCAGTATGTGCTATGCTTTGACTGTGGTGTTTCTTAGAGTCCTGGATAAACTGTGCGATTTAAGCAGGATGCCATTAATCACGCAAGAGACACGAGTCCAGCAGCAGTTACTAAAATCAATATGGCTTGAGATTGTGATTTCCAGAATATCTCCTCACTTAGTGAGTCACTAGGAAACTTCAGAATAGCCGTATAGATTTTAAAGCAGCTTTCTCTAAACAGGATTTGGATATACTCCCACATTTCTCCTTGGGCGGAGGGAGAAAGGATGGATGTTCTGAACAACACATGTTTTAAAAAACCCACTGCCAGGCAAGATTAAAACCTTTGCCTGGAAGGGAGTCGGAAGATTCTCTGGGTTCCAGTAAATGGTCTCATGCCTATTTTTCCCAGTCTCTTGCTTGGATTAGGTAAAGGGTTTAATCAGTAAGAATTGGCCAATTAATTTCTCCCTTCTCACATTCATTCATTTTGTAACCAGACATTCTGCCAGCTGTCCTGGAAGGTAGTGAGAGGAGAAAGACGTCATTTCTTCCTTCCAGAAAGCCACAGGATACATCAGTGTCATGGTTGAGGATTATTTAGGCATATTTCCATTTTCCAAGTTAATGTGTTACCCTCAGGCTTGGGTGGCTTCAGAGCAGAAAAGAACAGGTGAGACCAGGTACAAGTCCAGCTGGCTCAGGGACTGTGACAAGGAGAGAAGTGTGATCTGGAACTGGGCTCAGCAGTGTTCCAAGTAGGCATGTGTAACTACCAGATAAACACAGGGATGCAGGATTCGAGAGGGGTAGGGAGGAGAGAGAGCAGAAAGGAACAGGGTCCATTATCTTATGGAAGTCAGCAGCAGTATTCATTAATTCATCCAATCATTCATTTATTGAACACTTATTTCTATCTAACTGTAATCTCTCTTCAGTCCTTTCACCTACACCACAAGTATCATTTCCTTTGCCTTACTAGTTACTAAATTCTGTACGTCTGTCCCTTCCTCCAATCTCTGAGCTCTACTGCATTTTTCCTTTAGAATTTTTTTGGTTTTTTGAGATGGAGTCTCATTCTGTCACCCAGGCTGGAGTGCAGTGGCATGATCTCAGCTCACTGCAACCTCCACCTCCCAGGTTCAAGTGATTCTTGTGCCTCACCCTCCCGAGTAGCTGAGACTACAGGTGTGCACCACCACGCCCAGGTAATTTTTGCATTTTTAGTAGAGATGAGATTTTACCGTATTGGCCAGGCTGGTCTCAAACTCCTGACCTCAGATGACGCACCTGCCTCGGCCTCCCAAAGTGCTGGGATTACAGGTGTGAGCCACCGTGCCCAGCCTAGTATTTTAAGTTAGACTTTTGTCCTCCCTTTTTGTGTCCAGTCAGTATTGCACCTAGAAGGCATTCAGTCCATTGTTGTTTTAATAATTACGATCGTTAATGTAGCTATTCAATAAAATGAATGAATGAAGTTAATTCAGGATATATGAAAACGTCTCCAATAAAATAATAAGAGAGAAAGAAGGTCTAAAGAAATCAGCATGATATATAAAAATCATGCAGAAAAACCATTATACTGATTACTTACTATGTGCTGAGCTTCACAGAGGCTCTGAGAAACCAGCAAGAGGCAGTCCCAGCCCTCAAAGAGCTCACAGTCTATGAAGGAGACCTCCATACAGATATGTAATTGTAACACAGTGGGTTAGAATAGCCCATTGTATGTATGGCGTCTCATGGGGGCCTAGAGTTGGAGACTTCTGATCTTTCGTGGGCTCTCCAAGGATGCTTCCTAAATAAAATGTGCTAGAATTCTATGTTAAAAAGGTGGGCTCATGCCTGTAATTCCAGCACTTTGGGAGGCCGAGGTGAGCGGATCACCTGAGGTCAGGAGTTTGAGACTAGCCTGGCCAAGATAGTGAAACCTTGTCTCTACTAAAAACACAAAATTAGCTGGGTGTGGTGGTGCAGACCTGTAATCCCAGCTACTCAGGAGGCAGAGGCAGGAGAATTGCTTGAACCCAGGAGGCGGAGGTTGTAGTGAGCTGAGATCGCGCCACTGCACTCCAGCCTGGGCAACAGAGTGAGACTCCGTCTCAAAAAAAAAAGAAAAAACAGAAGGTGGAATGAGACCTCTGGGCAGAGAGACCAGCATGGGCAGGCAAAGGAGGTAGGAAGCTGCATGGTGTGTGTGGAGGTTGGAAAACATACTTCCATGGATGATGGCAAAGGCAGTAGATGGAGGGGCCATCCTGCCTGGCCCTGGAATCCCGGCAAACTCTTTATTCTCCATCAGTGTGGTCGTTGGAAAGATTACTAGGCTTGAGGTGGGAGGGCAGATGGGTTTAGGAGGCGGGAGCAAGCATATGGCAGGAGGGGATGGGGCCACGAGATGCATAGACCCAGCAAAAGCACTATCAGGAGGAGAGACTAGGAGAGGAGGGACAGGAGTAACCAGGGGCTAAACTTGGCTTGAGTTTTATTGAGTGGCAAATGATGTCACTCCCTTCTGATTCACCTGTAGTAGAATTTGATAAGGGATCAGTTCAGTCTTCAGACACTGTCAGAAGTGCAAAGCTGATCTCCAGGTAGGCGAGGGAGGAGAATGAAAGCTGCCCATGGAAGATGCCATGTGGGTCCTGGGAGCCACAGAAAATTCTGGATGTGTGTGCCATGTATTTTCATTGAACACGTGTGTGCACATGCACATATGTTTGGTATTGGATGCTGCAATTCCAGCTTGGCATGTACACTTCTTTGTAGCTCAGAAGGGCTAAGGCATGGATGCTCAGATAGATCCCAAATCTTTTTTTTTTTTTCCCCAAATCAGGTTCTAGGGCTGTGTGCTGGTGAGTTAGGCCAAGACCAGGCTTAGCACATCTGTCCCCAGGTGGACACAGCAGCCAGGTCTGCCCAATCTAAAGGCCACCTTACCTTTGACCACCTCCTTTCCCAGCAGGAAGACGCCCTTTCCTTCATCTACCATTCGTGTCCATCTGTCCTGGACTACAAAAGATTTGCAGAACCTGCCTGGAGACACGTCTTTGTATTAACTATTGCAATTCACACCTTCTCTGTTGAAGGGCTTGGAGCCTCCTTGTGCTAATGTGGCAGCCTTTCTGCCTCCTGTGGGTAAGGACTGCAGTGAAATCAGATCACCGTGACTGAACGCAGTTCTGAGCCAGCTGTCGACTTACACTGCTCAGTTCTGTTTTTTCTTCCTGGCCTTCTCACGCCCAGGCCCTGAGCCCAGTGGATTTCACCATGCTGGGTTGCTCATAAAAAATGGTTTCTTCCTGATGCTTTTGGTGGCAGACTGAATATCATCAATCATGCTGCAAGAAGGAAACACAGATTCCCAGCTGATGGCATTGTCATGTTTATGACACATCCGAAACAGTAACAGATGGTCTGTATTAAAAGTGTAACTGGTGAGTGAGTGCTTTCATAATCATAGAGATATTTTTTATTCCCCTAAAGTTTTGGTTCTAGAAGGAGTCACAGAACGTTAGATCATAAGGGCCCCTGGAAAGCTTCTTGTCCACATGTCTCATTTTTACAAACAAAAATATCAAAGTACAGTGAGATTAAGGGATTTGCCAAGGTCATTGAGCTAATTAGCGATGAGACCGAGAACAAAACCCAGGCCCCTAATGTTCCATCTAATGCTCTTTGTGCAATACTGTGGAGCCTGCGGATCCACACTTTGTCTTCTCTTGGAGAAGAAAACAGACCGTGCTGGAAACGCACAGGGCTTCTGTGAGTTCCTTGGCATGGTGTCAATGTTGGATGCAGAGAGTCCTCAAACCCTCTTGAGCATGGTTGGCCCTTCCTGAGAAGGTGCAGAAAATGCAGGTTTTTATTCTCAGGGCTTCTGTTGGTGTGGACAGACTGTATTAGTTCATTTTAATGCTACTGATAAAGACATACCGAAGACTGGACAATTTACAAAAGAAATAGGTTTAATTGGACTTAAAGTTCCATGTGGCTGGGGAAGCCTCACAATCATGGTGGAAGTCAAGGAGGAGCAAGTCACGTTTTACATGGATGGCAGCAGGCAAAGAGAGAATGAATGCCATGCAAAACAGGTTTCCCCTTATCAAACCATCAGATCTTGTGAGACTTATTCACTACCATGAGAACAGTATGGGAAAGACCCTCCCCCATAATTCAGTCATCTCCCACTGGGTCCCTCCCATAACATGTGGGAATTATGGGAGCTACAAGATGAGATTTGGGTGGGGACATAGAGCCAAACCGCATCACAGACCACATCCACCAGCGCTGCAATGCAAGGCTTGGTTTTCAAGCCAGTGAGGTGGCAACAGAAACTGGATCTCTTATCTGATGGAATCCAGTTTCACCTGGGTTCATTTCTTGATTGATCTGAGGATGTTCGGATCAGTAGGAATAAACCAACTAGCCAATGGTTCTCAAAATATGCTTCCTGAACCACAGCAGAAGCATCCCCTGGGAACTTCTTAGAAATGCAGATTCTTAGTTGGGTGCAGGAGCTCATGGCTGCCATCCCAGGATGTCGGGAGGTGGAGACAGGAGGATCACTAGAGCCCAGGAGTTCAAGACCATCCTGGGCAATGTAGCGAGACCTCGTCTCTATGGTACATAAAAAGCTAAAACTTAGCCAAACTGGTGGCACACACCTGTAGTCCCACACAATTCTGTGAACATTCTAAAAGCCATTAAATTTTACATTTTAGGAGCCAGGTGCAGTGGCTCATGCGTGTAATCCCAACACTTTGGGAGGCCAAGGTGGGAGAATAGTTGAGGCCAAGAATTTGAGACCAGCCTGGGCAACATAGCAAGACCCCATCTCTACAAAATAATTTTTAAAAATTTAGTCAGGCGTGGTGGCGCACGCCTGTGGCCCCAGCTACTCAGGAAGCTGAGGTGGGAGAATTGCTTGAGCCCAGGAGGCAGAGGCTGTGGTGAGCTGAGACTGTGCCACTGCACTCCAGCATGGGTGACAGAGCGAGACCCTGTCTCAAAAAAGAGAAAAGAACAGAGAAAGAAATGCAGATTCTTGGCCAGGCACAGTGAGTGGGCTCATGCCTGAAATCCCAGCTGTTTGGGAGGCTGAGGCAGGCAGATAACTTGAGGCCAGGAGTTTGAGATCAGCCTGGACATGATAACAAGATCACGTCTCCACAAAAACTTTAAAAATTAGTGGGGTGCGGTGGCCCCCACTATTTGAGAAGCTGAAGGAGGAGGATCTCTTGAACTCAGGAGTTCAAGCCTGCAGAGAGCTATGATTGTGCCACTGCAATCCAGCCTTGGCAACAGAGCAAGACCCTGTCTCAAAAAATAAATAAATAAATAAATAAATAAATAAATAAATAAATAATAAAGAAAAGAAAGAAATACACATCCTCAGCCCCCAGATTAAGAAACTCTGGGCTGGGTGCTGTGGCTCATGCCTGTAATCCCAGCACTTTGGAAGGCCGAGGTGGGCAGATCACGAGGTCAGGAGATCGAGACCATCCTGGCCAACATGGTGAAACCCCATCTCTACTAAAAATTCAAAAACTAGCCAGATGTGGTGGCACAGGCCTGTAATCCCAGCTACTCGGGAGGCTGAGGCAGGAGAATCGCTTGAACCCAGGAGTCAGAGGTTGCAGTGAGCTGAGATCACACCATTGCGCTTCAGCCTGGTGACAGAGCGAGAATGTGTCTCAAAGAAAAAGAAAAAGAAAGAAACTCTGGGCATAAGGCCAAGTTGTTTAATAGTTTTAGTTCTATTACTATTAACTAGTAATAGTAACTAGTTATTAACTATTATTATATTATATTATATATATAATAATAATATATATTATATTATATATAATTATATATTATCATATTAGTATATTGATATTAACTATTACTATAACTAGTACTATTAACTAGTAATATTATTATTAAATAGTAATATACTATTACTATTAAATAGTTTTACTTCTATTTTTTGTGTGTGTCTGTTTTCCCGCGTTCCCCAGTTGGTTCTGATGCTACTCAAGTTTGAAAACCACTGATCTAAACTGTCCCCAGTACATCAAACTCTGACAAAACTCTACCCAAAGCCTACACATGGCTTCAGTCTTGAACTGGTTGAATCGATGGCCACGGTATGCCAGAAGCATTCCCTAAAACATTTGGAAATTGTCTTTGAAGGAGGATGTTCAAGAAAGTGAAGTCACTGTTCTTGAGAGTATAACTTTTCTGTGTTAGTTTTATAAAAAGTGGTGAGAATGACTTACTGTAGGTCTCTGATTTTTATAGGTGTAGCAAGTGCTGAATTTCATCTTCCTGAAATTAACATGGCCTTATTTTCTTAGTGTTTGCTTTTGCCCATCTTTTTAACCTTTCTGTGTCATTTTGATTTGAGTGTGTTGCTTGTGAGAAGTATGTGGATGGATTCTGTTTTTAAACTCAGTTTTGGAGTCTTCACATTGTAGCATAGAAGCCTGAACTGTGTTAACTGTGTTCATTGTCAGAGCTAATAACCACTGTCCTCACTCCAGTCCTAGTTTACATCTCCTATTTGCATCCTTCCTTGCCCCTTGTTTTGTTTTTCTCCGATACTTCTTTTATTGGTTTTTATCTTCTCTGGTGATTTGGAAAAGATACATTTTATTAAGTTGGTGCAAAAGTGACTGTGGCTTTTACCATTAAAAGTCATGGCAAAAACTGCAATTACTTTTGCACCAACTCAATAGTTTTAGTTCTATTACTTTTGTGTGTGTGTGTTTTGTTTGTTTGTTTGTTTCGAGATGGAGTCTCGTTTTGTCTCCCAAGCTGGAGAGCGCACTGGTGTGATCGCTGCTCACTGCAACCTCCGCCTCCCGGGTTCAAGTGATTCTCCTGCCTCAGCCTCCCAAATAGCTGGGACTACAGGCTGTACAGGCCCGCCACCATGCCCGGCTAATTTTTTTGTTTGTTTTTGTTTTTGTTTTTTGTATTTTTAGTAGAGACGGGGTTTCACTGTGTTAGCCAGGATGGTCTCCATCTCCCAACCTCATGATCTGCCCTCCTCGGCCTCCCAAAGTGCTGGGATTACAAGCGTGAGCCACCGCACCCGGCCAACTGTTCTTGTGGTAATGAGTAAGTCTCATGAGATCTGATGGTTTTATGAGGGGCTTCTCCTTTCGTTTAGTTCTCATTCTCTCTCTTGTCTGCCACCATGTAAGATGTGCCTTTTGCCTTCTGTCATAATCATGAGGTCTCCCCAGTCATGTGGAACTGTGAGTCCATTAAATGCCTTTTTTTTTTTTAATAAATTACTGAAATTACTCAGTCTTGGGTATGTCTTTTCTTTTTTTTTTTTTTTTTTTTTGAGATGGTGTCTTGCTCTATCGCCCAGGCTGGAGTGCAGTGGCATGATCTTGGCTCACTGCAGCCTCCACCTTCCAGGTTCAAGTGATTCTCCTGCCTCATCTTCCTGACTGCTTGGGACTACAGGTGTGCACCACCACACCCACTTAATTTTTGTATTTTTAGTAGAAACAGGATTTTGCCATGTTGGCCAGGCTCATCTTGAACTCCTGACCTCAAGTGATCCACCTGCCTCGGCCTCCCAAAGTGCTGGGATTACAGGTGCCAGCCACCACGCCCGGCCTCGAGTATGTCGTTATCAGCAGCATGAAAACAGACCAATGCACACACCTATAATGATTATTAGACTTAACTGTTAGAGATTTTTAGTGCCAGCCACAAGTTCTTTTTAGTCAAAAATGTTCTCACTTATCTTTCTTCATTTTCATTCTTGGTAGGATGTTAGACTTTTTTCCTGGAAGAGAGTTGATGTGACTGCCGCTTACGCACAGGACCAGGAATAGAAACAGTACCTAGGCTATTTCCATTTCCTTTTCTCTGTCAAAAACCAATTTCTTTTCCAGAATCCACAGCCAATTCCTCACAAAGTGGTTGAGCCTAGTCGCAAAATCAGACAAGACTTCTCACACTGAAATGCGAAATATATTCTTTTGCAAAACGGCACCGTCCCATGCTCTCTGCATTTCCAGACGCCAGTCTACTTCTGTGGCTTTACTGACATGGTTACATGGAATTTTTATTTTTTATTTTTTATTTTTTATTTATTGATTTATTTATTTTGGAGACAGAGTCTCTCTCTGTCGCCCAGGCTGGAGTGCAGTGGCACGATCTTGGCACACTGCAACCTTTGCCTCCTGGGTTCAAGCAATTCTCCTGTCTTAGCCTCCCAAGTAGCTGGGATTACAGGCATGTGCCCCCACGCCTGACTGATTGTTGTATTTTTAGTAGAGACAGGGTTTCACCATGTTGGCCAGTCTAGTCTTGAACGCCTGTGTGATCCACCTGCCTTGGCCTCCTGAAGTGTTGTGATTACAGACATGACCCACTGCACCTGGCCAATTACGTGTGATTTAAATCCCCTCCCTGACTGCCAGTGTCCAGATACAGCCTCAGCCCCTCTCAGTGCCAACTCCTCCAGGAAGTCCACCTTCATTTCTATGGAGCTGTAATCTCTCCACAGTCCATTCGTCTGCATCACAACTATCATTTCCTTTGCCTTACTAGTTACTAAATTCTATATCTCTATCACTTTCACCAGTCTCTGAGCTCTCTTGAATTCTTTTTTAGAATTTTAAGTTAGAATCTTGTCCTCTCTTTTTGTGTCTGGTCTGTATTGCATCTAGAAGGCATTCAGGCTGTTTTTGTTTTCATAATTGTGATTGTTGATGTAGCTATTCAATAAAATGAATGAATGAAGTTAATTCAGGATATATGAAAACATCACCCATAAAATAATAAAAGAGAAAGGTCTACAGATAGTTCAGCATGATATATAAAAATCTTGTAGAAAAACCATTATATACTGGCCATTAGGCAATACAAATTCAGAGAAGAGAAAAATTAGGACAAAGTCATTGCATAACACCGCCGTTTAAATGTGAAGAACTGCAATTTTCCCCCGATTATGTGAGATCAGTCCTCTGAGGATGTCATTAAGGTTTCTGGTATGTAATTGAAAGGAGCCCTGAGCCTAGAGATTCCAAGTCTTCAACTGCATGAAGACCTATTTCTCCTCATTTCTGGCCTGATTATCATCCTATCCTCTGCAGGCTGGCACGGAAGGCTCACTTCACTCTCGACTTCAAGACTTGTGTAAACTTTTAACTGTCTTTTCTCACTGTGCTCATTTCAGAGTTGGTTTGTTAATAAATATTTGCCATCTGTAGCAAATCTTAAAATGTACCAAAATCTTAAAATGTCTGCAATAAAAAGCAAGACAAGAAACTTGGCAGTTTCTAAGAAGAGACCTTTATTTTATACTTAAACACTGGCACGTGTGTGTATGCGCACGCGTGCATGCATGTACACACCCACACAGCACACACGCATATACACACCATACACACACAGTACACACACACTGCGCTCTGTCATAGAGACACACCCTGCACATTTGCACTCGCTTCACTACAATCCTTCTGTATTTATCTATCTTTTCTCTACTTTGGAAATACAACTATTGCACCAAGGTTTTTTTTAACCAAAATTCCCTCCAGTTTTGTCCAAGTTATCAAGGCTGTCGTGTCAACCCAAAGGGTCTTGGCAAGCAAGCTACAAAATAGAGAGCTTGAAACTTAGCCATTCCAGGACAGGGAGCTTGTACTTTGCAATCTATGGTACAGAATTATCGAATGCCTTTGGTTTTGTTGTTGCTGTTTTTGATATCATCTTGTTTTGTTACTATCTAAAAAGCAGACAAAATGGGCTGGGAATTCCCTAGTTTTCACAACTGTTTTCTTAGCTAGAAGGCTTTTAGACCAACATAGCACACCTGCATCTCTGACTTTATCTTCCACTGTGATGTCCTGTGGGCTGCTCCCATCTGGGAGTCTGCCATTAGATATGGCCAGGGCTCCAATTTTGTCATAATTACATCAGCAACAGCAAAATTGAGAAGACTGCATTTGCTCCACTGTGTGGCATAACCAGTGACCCCAAATCATGGTGGCCTCCCCAGCGTAAGGTCATGGTTGCCCATGTTCCATGTCATCTACAGGCTACAGACAACATCTTGAGGCAGTAGGCTGTCTGCTCCATGTGTCTTCTCATCCTGGGACCCAGGCCAAAGAGTAGTACCTATGGGGTCCATGCTGTTCTTAGGGAAGGGGCAGGAGTAATCAGAGCCAAGCCACAAAAGTGTGCCTGAAGATCTTGTTTGAATGTGGTCTACATCACATTCATCATATCCAGTTGGCCCATGAAAGTTACATGACCAAAACGGGTGCACCAAAGTCTCAGAAATCACCACTAAAGAACTTATCTATATAACCAAAAACCACCTGTTTCTCAAAAATGATTGAAATAAAGTAAAAACAGAGAAAGCTTAGGGAGAAGATGAATAAAACATTTTTACAGTGGTTAAAAAAAACAAAAGTTGACCGGGTGTGGTGGCTCATACCTGTAATCCCAGCACTTCGGGAGGCCGAGGAGGGAAGATCACCTGAGGTCAGGAGTTGGAGACCAACCTGGCCAACATGGTGAAAGCCCGTCTCTACTAAAAATACAAAAATTAGCCAGGCAGGGTGGCGAGTGCCTGTAGACCCAGCTACTAAGGAGGCTGAATTGGGAGAATCACTTGAACCCGGGAGGCAGAGGTTGCAGTGAGCTGAGATCACACCACTGCACTCCAGCCTGGGTGACAGACCAAGACTCTGTCTCAATTAAAAATAAATAAATAAATAAATAATGAAAAAATTACATTACCAAGCTGAAGGTCAGTAGGATAGGAAATAACCCAGGAAAGCAAGGTTGCAACAGGAAGGGGATGAATAATTGTGTTGAATTAATACCATCTCTCTATGTTTACAACTCCAATATCTTCAAGGGATGGGGGGGCAATTAGAAATTCTAGTGAAATTAGGTACCAAATGGTAGCTTCCACACATAGTAAGGAAGAAAATTTGGCCCGATGGGCGTATGGATAAATTCATATTCACCTATTTGTAAAAAAAAATCGAAGAGACTTACAGTCAAATCACAGATGTATAAGATTTAAACCATGTGACATAATTAAATGTACAATAAAATGCAGAGTTATTTATAAAGTAGATATATAAAGCTTCAGCCATGGAAACGACCCACGTAGCCGTCCAGGTAAAGGGAAATGGGATACCAAGCTTCCATTTGGTGGCAGTGAAATGTGTACAGACATATTAAGAGAGACGGCTTTTCCCAGCTCTGAGCTTCAAGTAGCATTCTTTATTTTTTCTTTGCATAAAGGGATTGATACTTTCAGTAGCAGATGAGGCATGCATGCCGCATGCCACATGTAACTACTCTGTAAGAGAAGGTTGAGTATGTACTGTTACTGCACAACTAGGTAATTAATAACCTGTGAATTTTAGTTATGTTTACTTCAGCATTTGCTAAGCTAATTGTTCAATCAAGAATTCATTGTTACAAAAGAGTTGTTTAAGTTTGACTCCTGGGCTTTTCTAGGGAAAGCTTTTAAAGTCTAAATACCTAGAAAATGTAAACATACTTTTGTTTAAAAATAGAGATTAATTATGATAATCAAAGTGGAAGCATTTAATGAAACAATGGGCTTTATGATTAGAAAGGTAAACAAGAACACATAATTAGTTAGTTGATTACTTTTCCATTTTAACCAAGGCAGTGTCTGGCTACTCATCCTTTTTTCCACTTACCTGGTCAACTGTTGCCTAGTGGACAAAGTTCTGGACCCAGGGGGCAAGTCCTGGGTCCCTGCTGTCCCTCTAGCACAGTTCATATGCTCCTAAGTATCTGGATTGACTGAGGTTTTGTTTTGAGTTGGGTTTATGTCTAACCTTTTTGATGTCTATTTTGCTGGTTAATTGTGAATTCATAGTATTCGTGTATGTCTGTGCAACGCAACAACACACACACACACGCACACACACACATTTACTTCTCCTAAAGACTTTTAAAGGACGAATGTTAGGAGATAAGTACTCATTTTCTATCTCAGTTATTCTTAACGTGTAGTCTAGGAACACCTACATCAGCAGCCTGGGAGGGACTGGTTGTCAACACCGATTGCACAAACCTTCTAAATCAGTGTCTTTTGGAGAGGTACAAGAATTTATTTATTTATTTATTTATTTATTTATTTATTTATTTATTTATTTATTTTTGAGACAGAGTCTCGCTCTGTCGCCCAGGCTGGAGTGCAGTGGCGCCATCTTGGCTGCCTCCTGCCTCCTGGGTTCACACCATTCTCCTGCCTCAGCCTCCCAAATAGCTGGGACTACAGGCGCCCGCCTACAGGCCTGGCTAATTTTTTCTATTTTTTAGTAGAGACGGGGTTTCACTGTGTTAGCCAGGATGGTCTCGATCTCCTGACCTTGTGATCCGTCCGCCTCGGCCTCCCAAAGCGCTGGGATTACAGGCGTGAGCCACCATGCCCGGCCAAGAATTTTATTTTTAACAAGCTCTCCAGTTAATTCTTAAGCACACAATGATCTAGGTCAGCATTGTCCAACAGAACTTTCTGTGATGATGGAAACACTTCATATAGGCATTGTCCAATATGGTAGATACATGTGGCTGCATGAACACTTGAAATATAGCCAGCACAACTCACTGAATCTTTATTTTAATTACTTTATATCAAAATGTATTTTTATTAAAATATTTTTAAACCATTTTATTGTGATATAATTGACATATAAAAAGTAGTACACGTATGCAAATTAATGGGTTTGAAGATAAGTATATACTCACAAAACTAACACCACAATCAATGCTATAAACCTATCACCTCCATTATGCATCAATTAAAAATAATAGTAAAAGCAAAAAAAAAGTATTTACCTGCTCCAAAAGTTTTCTCCACCCTCTTTTATTATTATTATTTTGTGATGAGAACACTTAACATAAGATCTACCCCCTTAGCAAATATTCAATTATACATACAATATTATTAACTATAGGCGCTATGTTGTAGCTACATGTGGCTAGTGGCTACCATATTGGATAGTGCAGAGCTAGATGATAATTCAGCAGCAGCTGCACACATACTAGTAGTAGTAACAATAGTGAAAACTTGTATGTGGCTTGACTCAGGCTTTTTAAACTTACTATGTGCCTGACACTATTCTAAGTACTTCCTAGATATAAACTCATTTAAATCTCACAAACTTTTAGGATGAGATTATATTTTTGAGACAGGGTCTCACTGTGTTGACCATTGTGTTGCCCAGACTCACTGCAGCCTCAACCTCCCAGGCTCAAGCGATCTTCCCACCTCAGCCTCCCAAGTAGCTGGGACTACAGGCATGTACCACCACTTCTGGTTTAAGGCATTTCTTAAAGATAGTAGATCAGCGGGGTCCGGTCAGGAAGACAGAAGCCAAGCTAGGCATTTCAAACAGAGCGGAATGCATATAGGATATTGATTGGTTACACTGGCATTGAAAGGCTGAAAGAGAAAAAGGAATACTGAGGTAACCAAGAACAATAATGTAGGAAGCAGCTTCCAATCCCTAGGGCTGGGGAGCTGAGGAAACAGAAGGAAGTTGAACACGGGAGGGACCTGGACCACCAAGGGGTGTTAATGGCAAATGCTCAGTGCATGGGGAAGCCAGTGTGGTTGGTGCCAGGAACTTCATGAGTTCCCAAGTACTGGGAGCACCAGAAGCTGGAGATTAGAGTTCTTGTCTTCCTTCACCTCTTGAGAGATGTAGACTTGAGCTGAAGATGGGAAACAAGCCCTGTTTCCTTCTCCTGACTTTGAGTCTCCTGCTTGTGCCTCCCATTGGCAGAATCTAATTTTATGGCACACAACACCCGCATAGCTCAATCTAATCAGAAGCTAATCACAAATCTAATCAGAATATATAATCAGGCACAAGGGTCTGGAAAATGTGTTTGGGGACTTCTTGCCCCAGTATCACAGTTCAAGGTGTAGAAAGATGGGCTTGGAGCTGAGGAGAAGAGACAGATCATTTGCACGAAATTTTTTGATAAGCACTTTGTTTAAAGTACCATATGTCTAAATGTATTAATGATATCATCACTTTCTGGGCTAAATAGCATATGTCAGGCAGTTCTTAGGGAGATGACACGGATGTAAGTGACCAAATCTTGATTAATTGTCAATTACTGCAGTCACCCCAGCTAGGTTCTATGCATAGTTATGCATGCATATGGGGACTTCCTCCCTACTTTGCTAATTGGTCTCTTTCCTCATTTGCTATGAGGCGCTCCCATACAGTTGGCTTGAAGCATTAGAGGCTACACTACGGGATCTGCTTCTTGCCCTTTCTCTGAGTTCACTCCCATCTGCAGACCTCCAAATCCTTCTACTCTCATGTGGGGAGGAACAAAGGAATTAAAAAAGTAGATGCTAGAGGAGTTATCTCTTGCTGCTCCTGTTTACAATTTCTGAGCTTCTCCCAGTAAAAGCCCCATTGCCTTCCTAGGACCACCATTTCTCCTCATTTTGGTGTGGATTATACAAAGTTCTTCATTTTTGGAGATGGACTGGGGAGAGTGTGTGCCCCACCTCCACCTACAAACCCTGCATGAGGTCGGAGAGTAATAAATGCTCATGTTTCTCTTTGACTAAACACTCAGACGAAGAAATTTAGAAATATATTCCTTGATAAAACTGTGAATTATCTAAGAGAATTGATCTTCACCACATGGCTTAAAAGTCCTCCTATGGAGGAGAAGCTGAGGACTTGAGGCAGGAACCAACACAAGTTAGTAATATGGTGACTAGCTTGTGCATTTGTTAAACTATAAGGGAACAAAAATATGTTCATTTTCCCTGCCAGAATCCATAAAACAAACATGATGTATAATAAATTAGGAAAGGAATCAGAGAAGACTATGAGACGATGTATTCTTGCGTCTTGCAGTTGATAACAACCAAAACATTTCCTAAATTTCTGGTTTCTGTAGCAAATCATTTCAGAGCTAAAATCTTTCCTTGAGATTTCAGGAAGTAATTCTCTTTCCCTTGCTTTGCGGTATCTTTCCACAGACTCTCATCCTCAGGAGAGATGCTGAGCAACATAGTTGATTATCTTAGGATTGAGTTGCTGGTGAGAGCCTGTTTTCCACTTTAACAGCTGGGGGGCAGAACAATATGCACAGATCACAAGTATGCTCCTGGAAGCTTCCTTCATGGAATAAGGCGGCATTATCTCTGTACCCCATTCCCAAAGGTCTCTAAGGTGCTATAGGTTCGCTTTGCATGCTTGTTTTGGGTTTCTTTGCATGTGCTGCTGAATACCTAGAGGTTTGGCCTAGATCTGGTTGCTCACGGAAAGCCAATCACTGAAACAATAAGTATTGCCAGGGAAGACAGCTGTAACACAGGTGATGTCAGCTGGGAGATGGAAGGCTGCTCCCAAATCCATCTCCCTAACCAACTAAAGTCAGGGGTTTACATAGCGAAGAATTAGAGAGGGGTACAGGAAGAGGAGCTGGTCAACAGTCAGCAGGTGGTCAGATGAGGGGTCTGGCGTCTCTTTAAATCATGTGTGGCAAAACAGGAATTCGGAGTAAGGAATTGATTAACAGGCAGTTGTCCAGATGCGGTAATCTGGTAAGTTTCAATTCCCTGATACCGTCTGGGAGGCCTGATGGTTGGTTTTCTGAGAAAGAAACTCAGATAAAACAAATGTAAGGTGTTCGTCTGTTCTCATGCTACTAATAAAGACATACTCAAGACTGGGTAATTTATAAAGGAAAGAGGCTTAATTGACCCGCAGTTCAGCATGGCTGGGGAGGCCTCGGGAAACTTACAATCATGGCAGAAGGAGAAGCAAATGTGTCCTTCTTTACATGGGGGTAGCATGGAGAAGTGTAAAGCAAAGTGAGAGAAAAGCCCCTTATAAAACCATCAGATTGGCCGGGCACAGTGTGTCACACCTGTAATCCCAGCACTTTGGGAGGCCGAGGCGGGCAGATCACGAGGTCAGGAGATCGAGACCATCCTGGCCAACAAGGTGAAACCCCGTCTCTACTAAAAATACAAAAAATTAGCTGGGCATGGTGGCGGGCGCCTGTAGTCCCAGCTACTCGGGAGGCTGAGGCAGGAGAATGGTGTGAACCCAGGAGGCAGAATTTGCAGTGAGCCAAGATCGTGCCACTGCACTCCAGCCTGGGCAACAGAGCGAGACTCCATCTCAAAAAAAAAAAAAAAAAAAAATCAGATCTCATGAGAACTCATTCACTATCACAAGAACAGCATGGAGGTAACTGCTCCCATAATTTAATTACCTCCCACTGGGTCCCTCCCACGACACGTGGGGATATGACAACTACAGTTCAAGATGAGATTTGAGTGGGGACACAGCCAGACCACATCAGGAAGTTTCTTAAGCTTCAGTTCTATGCAAAAATCGGGCCAATTTTACATGCATCTTAACGTATTGACTCTCACAATCTCAGGCATGTTGTAAGTGCTACCATCTCCCTTTCTTGCTCACTTCGGAGAACTACACTTCTGTGATACGGTGTACTAGGTTCCCTTCTATCATATTCCCAGCTGGTTGTTTCTGGGAGTTTCAGGGTCTTAAATTCTGTACAAAGAGAGGAGAATAGTACATACAACCCTCGTCCCCCAAAGTAGTAGGAGCCAACATGCCTAGTTTTGTATTTTCTTTTGTGCCTGAGCCTTTGGACCAATGGGAAGATGTGAGGAAGGGCCACGTGGCTTCCTTGTCATCCTTCAAGAGGACAAAAATGTTGTGTTTTAAGAGGGAGGCCACAGTTGTGTTTTTCCATCCATTCCCATTGACCGTGGTTACTATTAAATAGCTATTTTTTTGGCAGAGTCTAGCAATAGGTTGCCTGAATCCAAGCCTTGTGATGATGAGAAATTTTATTTTCTTCTGCATTTTCATCCGTCTTAGCACCTGATGAGAAGGTGGCACTGGGGCTGCTAGCCAGCTGCATCTGCCTTCTGGATCTGGCACATGCAGCCCTTTGTTTGCTGTCTCTTTGTTCCATGATGTGACCCAGGTTCATGCTCCCTGTCGATGAGGACACCCAGATTAAATATGTACAGAAAAAAAGAGGGCAGTGGAATAAAATCGAGTACATTTCCTATAATGTCTATGTATTCTCACCTGCAAAGTAAATGTACATAAAATTCATGTTTGAGGACCATTAAGTTCTGCTTATCAACACAAAGATTGTCCAAGCAATAAGTCAACTCACAATGTGATGCTTCCCTCTAACATATGGCCTGATAATGACTCTACTTTCTTTGTCTCTGGAGTTTGCATCAAACATCTGTGTTAGGAAGAGTGGCTAACATGAAATCCTTGGTCATGATTTCTTTGTACCTGTTTATTAAGAAGACAGATGCCATTTCTGGGCCAAGTGTCAAGATCCAACAGAGTCACTTGGCAATTTGACTATTGGTTGGTAAACATTAAGCATTACTGCACCTGAGGCTGAGTTCCCCAAGGCCATTTAATTTGTAGAAATAAATGCATTTAATTTCCAACAGTTAGAATTTTTGACTCTGTGTACTGTAACACTGGAGCGGTGTCTATATAACACCGCAGCCAGGCCATTATCAGAGCTTGTTTAGTAATAAAAATCAATGAATTCAGCCTAGCAACTCATTTTATGACTCAACTGACTATTTGAGTCTGTTTTGGCATTTAGCTTTCAAAGATTAAAGACCAAATATCAGTGACTGTTCATAGCAAAAAGACTGTTTATCTACTTCGGTGACTGCTCTTGTCTCTAAGCTCCTTTTCCCAGAGATGATTTGGCAGGCTCGCATTTACCCAGGCTCTGATGATGCCCCTGCCTTTGGGAGGCTCCTAGATCTGGGTCTCACCTTTTCTCCAGGCACAGCCAAGGCAGCCTGGCTCAGAGACCCAGACCCTAGACACAGCCATGGCCTGGGCATTGTTCAGGGCTCTCAGAAAGCAGCAAGGAAGACAGGTCTTCAGCTTTCAGGAGCTCTGTATTAGTCCATTTTCATGTGGCTGATAAAGACATATCCAAGACTGGGAAGGAAAAGAGGCTTAATTGGACTTACTGTTCCATATTGGTTGGGGAGGCCTCAGAATCATGGCGGGAGGTGAAAGGCACTTCTTACATGGCGATGGCAAGAGAAAATGAGGAAGATGCAAAAGCAGAAAGCCCTGATAAAACCATCAGATCTCATGAGACTTATTCACTACCATGAGAACAGTATGGGGGAAGCTGCCCCCATGATTCCAATGATCTCCAACTGGGTCCCTCCCACAACACGTGGGAATTATGGGAGTGCAATTCAAGATGAGATTTGAGTGGGGACACAGAGCTAAACTATATCAAGCTCCTTGTAGAATGGGAACGACAGCAATAAAGATAAGTTCCAAGTGGCTTGATGTTTCCTCTTAAAAGGTTAAGTGATGGCAAATGCCCGGCAAGATCTGAACTTGGAAGATCAAGATTCCTCACGTTCTGATGCCACATAGTTAACCCTATCTCCTGGAAACCCTTCCCCAGCCCCTGCACAGGGACCTGTCCCCTTGAGTCACTCTGTATGCCCTGAACATACCATGCGCATTCAAACCTCCGTTCCTGCCTCTGTGAACCCATCATCCTTCTACTGCCTGAGATGTCATGTTCATCCCATTGCATATTTGTCTGCCTGGTGATGGCCTAGTTATCCTTCAAGGCTCATCCCAAGTGCCTCCACTTCTTCAGCTTTCTCCTAAATTGATCTCTCGGCTTCAGGAGCATTGTTTCCATCCATCGATTTTGTTTCATTTTGCATTGTATATCATAGTCATTTGTTTATGCTATAGAGCCAACCATGAAATGTTTAATGAGGAGAAGTGTGGCTTAAATCTCTTTGTGTCCTCCATGCCTGGTATAATATGGTAGGGTGAATGGTGGCCCCTGCAAGGATGTGTTCACATCCTGATTCCCAAGCCTGTGACTGTGAACTTGTTTGGAAAGAGGAGGGCTTCGCAGATCTGATTGTTTGGAAGTGGGTGGCGGACGGTTAGGGGGTCTTTGCAGATCTGAAGGTCTTGAGATAATGAGCATCTGAGATTGTTTATGTGGGCCCTAAGTCAGACGGCAAGTCTCCTTATAAGATAGAAGAGAGGCCAGGCACTGTGACATGCCTGTAATCCCAGCACTTTGGGAGGCCGAGGCAGGCAGATCACTTGATGTCAGGAGTTCAAGACCAGCCTGACCAACATGGCGAAACCCTGTCTGTGCTAAAAATACAAAAATTAGCCAGGCGTTGGTGGCACGTGCCTGTAGTCCCAGCTGCTCAGGAGGCTGAGGCAGGAGAATCACTTGAACCCAGGAGGCAGAGGCTGCAATGAGCTGAGATCAAGGCACTGCAATCCAGCCTGAGGAACAGAGTGAGACACTGTCTCAAAAAAACGAAAACAAAAACAAAAAGTTGAAGAGAAAAAGACACAGAGACAGAGGAGAAGGCCATGAGAGGATGGAGGCTGGGTTTGGGATTATGTGATCACAGATCAAGGAATTCCTGTGGCCACCAGAGACTACAAGAGCCAAGAGCAGATTATTCCCTGGAGCCCATGGAGGAAGGACAGCCTGCCTACGCCTTGATTTTGGACTTTCAGCCTACAGAGAACTCTAAGAGGATGCATTTCAGATATAAGCCATCCAGTTTGTGCTAAGTGGTAAAGGCAGCCCTTCGGAAACTAATATATATAACAACTGGCACAAAGAAAGAGCTCAGCTGTTAACTGAACGAACATTGATAATTTTGTACTTAGAACACTTCGAGTGGTTAAAGATATTTAAGATGAAAGAGAAAATTCTAAATGTGTCTTCTGCTCCAATTATGTTTTTATGAGTCCACTTGAAACCCTGGAAGGCAGAGCTTGCCACGGCTATTTCAAGCACCCCTCTCCTCCACGAAAGAGGAAATAACCTCTTATTCCATCAGCCCATAAACCAGCGGCACGTGGACGCAACATCACCCCCTGCACTTCTTGTCTTCAGCAAGAATGAGGGCACGGAGAACTCCACTTCAAGCTTTTCAGTCAACCCGACGGGACGCGACAGATTACAGAGCAAAGTGCACCAAAGATACCATCAGTTAACCTAATAAAATTGATTTAAAAGCTTTTAAACTTGAGAGTGAGAGTTCAGTGCCTGCGAAAGATCTTTCAGTCCCTTGAAGTGATGAAATAAAATGATCAATCGCCCTTATCAACCTCCCTTTTTTTGGTAATGTGGTGGCAGGAACAGCTTTTCCACTGTCAAATTAACCCTCTTTTAAAAGTGGGTTTCTGCAGCTTCTGCTCCACTCTCTCTGAGCTCAGGAGCTGAGCCCTTGGAACTCTTATGTCCTCTGTTGCTGGTCTCATCTTCTATTGAAGGGAGGAAGGGAAGGAGGAAGGAGGGAAGGACGGACAGTTGGACGGAGGGAGAGAGAAAGGAAGGAGGGAGGGATGGTGGGAGAGAGGGAGGGAGGGAAAGAGGGACAGAGGGAGGGAGAGGGAGACTCAGGATACTCAATGTTTTTGGGGGGTTTTTGTTTGTTTTTGAGGAGTCTCACTCTGTCGCCCAGGCTGGAGTGCAGTGGCGCCATTTCAACTCACCACAACCTCCACCTCCCAGGTTCAATTGATTCTCCTGCCTCCCGAGTAGCTGGGATTCCAGGCGTGAGCCACCGTGCTCAACTAATTTTTGTATTTTTTGGCAGAGACAAAGTTTCACCATGTTGGCCACGCTAGTCTCAAACTCCTGACCTCAAGTGATCTGCACCTCTTGGCCTCCCAAAGTGCTGGCATTACAGGCATGAGCCACACCGTGCCCAGCCTCAGGATACTCATTGGTTTTTGATCCTTCATGCTCTCTCTGGGCGCTTGGCATGGGGAGCTTTTCTTGGAGGTTGCGGTTATTAAAATGCCTTTTGAATGATAAAAATAGAAATGTGTTTATTGTTAAAAAAATAAAATAAAGGAACCTATTGAGAATTAATTATATAAGCTCAAAACCCCTTATCTCACTCTCTTCCTTTGAACAGCTTGGTGTAGAGCCTTCCAGCCCCTGTTGCTTATGCCTTTACAAAGATGTGTGTGCGTGCACGTGTACAGGTACATGCACTCATGAATATACATGGTGCCTTCGACATCAATCCAACACACATATTTTTCCAGCAAATATTTTTATAGCACCTCCGATGTGTCAAACTTTGAGTATGTCATTTAAATTATTCTGTAACTTGTTTTTTTCACTAAATGCATCAGAGACACATATGGACACATATCTATTTCAGGAGTTTAGTCCCACCTTTTTTTTTTTTTTTTTTTTTTTTTGAGGCACGGTCTGGCTTTGTTGCCTGGGCGCATGATCACAGCTCAGCAGCCTCTAACTCCTGGGCTCAAGCGGTCTTCCTGCCCCAGCCTTCCAAGTAGCTGGGACTACAGTCTGGAGCTACTATGGTAGCACAAGTAGGTACTCCAGACTTCCAAGTAGCTGGAACTTTCTGCCCCAACCTTCCAAGTAGCTGGCACTTCCAAGTAGCCACCACTCCTGGCTAATTTTTAAGTTTTTCTTTGTAGAGACAAGATCTTGCTGTGTTGCCGAGGCTGGTCCTAAACTCCTGGGCTCAATCAGTCTTCCTGCCTCAACCTCCCAAAGTGCTGTGATTACAGTTGTGAGCCACTGTGCCTGGCCTTTTTTTTTTTTTTTTTTTTTTTTTTTTTTTTTTTGATGGAGTCTCTCTATGTCCTCCAGGCTGGAGTGCAGTGGTGGGATCTTGGCTCACTGCAACCTCTGCCTCTCTGCCTCCTGGGTTCAAGTGACTCTCCCATCTCAGCCTCCTGAGTAGCTGGGATTACAGGTGCCAGCCACTATGCCCGGCTAATTTTTGTATTTTTAGGAGAGACTGGATTTCACTATGTTGGCCAGGCTGGTCTCGAACTCCTGACCTCAAGTGATCCACCCACCTTCGCCTCCCAAAGTGCTGGGATTACAGGTGTGAGCCACTGTGTCTGGTCCATGCCTGGCCTTTTTAACAGTTAAATGTCATTTCGTTCATCTAGTAAACAACTATGTAGTAAGCACCTACTGTGTGTCCCCGTGGTGTGTAGGTGCTGGGCTTACAGCAGTGACTCAGCAGAACAAAGGCCTCCATCTCCCTTTGTAGAGTATTTTAATCAGGACCTACTGATGGACACTAGGGTTTTGTGTTGTTTTTTTTTCCAACAAATGAAGCAACTAATAGCTTTAAATGTATATTTTATTACATAGGTATATTTATGTAATAAATGGGCCACCTCCCTAGGAGTAGAAGTGTTCTATTTAATCCTAGAGCATGACAGTGTTATATGTATGTAATTCACAAGCCAGAGCAGGAGATTCAAACTGCCCCTGATGACAGCATTCACCAGTGGGCCATTTTCTTAGTTAACACAGGATCAGTTAACTCTCAACAGCTGCTTTAGGTCTGCTTCTCCCTGCCTTAGATTAACATCTGTGCTTGCCTGCCCTGGATTCTTTAAGACACATCGAAGAGTTATGCTAAAGAAACGATGGCCAGCCGGGCGCGGTGGCTCATGCCTGGAATCCCAGCACTTTGGGAGGTCGAGGTGGGCAGATCACTTGAGGCCAGGAGTTTGAGACCAGCCTGGCCAATATGGTGAAACCTCGTCTCTACTAAAAAAAAAATACAAAAATTAGCTGGGCGTGGTGGTGTATACCTGTAATCCCAACTACTCGGTAGGCTAAGGCAGGAGAATCACTTGAACCCTGGAGGCAGAGGTTGCAGTGAGCAGAGATCGTGCCACTGCACTCCAGCTGGGCAACAAAGCGAGACACTGTCTCAAAAAAAAAAAAAAATGCTGCGTATGATGGGTGGCCTGGCCTTATGTGTGCTGGGCCTGGCTGAACTACACTTCCCGAAGCAGGTGGATCACCTGAGGTCAGGGGTTCAAGATCAGACTGGCCAACATGGTGAAATCCCATCTCTACTAAAAATACAAAAATTAGCCAGACATAGCAGCAGGCACCTGTAATCCCAGCTATTCGGGTGGCTAAGGCAGGAGAATCGCTTGAACCCAGGAGGCGGAGGTTGCAGTGAGCCGAGATCTCGCCACTGTATTCCGGCCTGGGTGACACAGCAAGACTCTGTCTCAAAAAAATAAACAAGAAGAGAAAAAAAAGAAAAAGAAACAGTGATCACTGGTTTTCAGTGTGGAGAGAGAATTCCTCTGCCCCCGGCTTCACCTCATTTCCTTTCAGAGACCCCCTTCCACCTGTGTCATGCCACTAAGCCACCCTTTCCCTGATTCCTAACAATGTAAGGAGATTGGAACTGAGGCTGGGATGCCTTGCTGTTAATCTTCCAGAGAACCCGATGCAATCAAGTTGCACGTCTAAAATGAAAAAGGAAAGGACAACCTCATTGTAAATATTATTAAATCACCATTCAGTTACTTGCACATCGTGTCTTTCTGAATTACTGCTGCTCTCCTAGGAATACACACACAGGGAGGCCCATTTCAGAGACGACGTCTTATTTAAGCAGAACAGTTGCTGAAGAAAGAGTATGGGAATCAGGCCCGTTCATTCATTCATATAGAGCACTTGCTAAGTGAAAAAACCTTGTGTTAAATGCAGGCGATGATACAAAATGGGGAATAAAACAGGGATACGTTTTTACAGCAGGGGAACCGGATCGTGCAGGTGAATAACCGCAATAGAAAGTCAAATGGAATAAATGCCTGAGATGTGGGGAACAGGCTTGCTTGGAGTTCAGAGAAGCAGCTGCAAACCTCCTTTTCTGATTTGCAAATTAAATACATGTAACACTGTCATGCTCTATAATTAAACAGAACACTTCTAGGAAGGTGGCCCATAAATATACTTGTGTAATAAAACATACATTTAAAGTATTAACTGTTGCATTTATTGGAATTTAAAAAAAAAACCTAGAAAATCCACTTGCTTTGCTGCTGATTTTTCTGCAACTCTAGGAGAAGTCACTCTTCACTAAAAGATAATGATAATCGCTGGGCACAGTAACCCCAGCACTTTGGGAGGCCGAGGCGGGCAGATCACGAGGTCAGGAGATCAAGACCTTCCTGGCTAACATGGTGAAACCCTGTCTCTACTAAAAATACAAAAAATTAGCCAGGTGTGGTGGCACGTGCCTGTAGTCCCAGCTACTCTGGAGGCTGAGACAGGAGAATCGCTTGAACCGGGGAGGTGGGGGTTGCAGTGAGCCGAGATGGCATCACTGTACTCCAGCCTGAGCGACAGAGTGAGACTCCCTGTCAAAAAAAAAAAAAAAAGATAACGATAATCTGGAAGCAGTGATGGAAATTGTCAGATGTGGTTGGAGTGGGATACAGGGATTTGCATTCTACTTTCCTTGTCCCTTTGAGAATTAAAATATACAGCAGATATTTTGCAAGCAGATTTACCCCGACTCCTTCAGCCGAGGTTAATCAATCCACAACCTCATCAGATTTAAGATCCCACCTGGCAGATGTGTTGGGGGTCCCGATAACTTTTAAATCTGAGCTGTAAGACTGTAGAAATCAAACCTGTTTGGTGTGGGAGGGCTTCTCAGGAATAGGGAGCTTGAGTAACTTTAGTGTTTAGTTTGACCTTTGTTAAAAAAAAAAAAAAAAGCCCACACACCAAAAGAATTTTATTTTTTCTTGTCTTTGATCAGAGAATTTCAGTAACCCATGTTTGAGTTATGGTTTCATTTCATGGCTGTGAATATGTTTCTCATCTTGTGCCCTGCCTGTGAAATTGACCCTGACATAGTTCCCATCCAAGTTATTTTTCCCTAAAATATGTAGGAAATGAATAATGCATTGTTGATTATTCTGTTACCAAACAAAAGGGTCTTGCTTCCCAATGTGCTAGAAGCCAATATTATGACACTAGGTTTTTGAGAAAAGGACAGCTTTTTATTGCTAGTCGACTAACCAGGAGACAGGAGTCCAGCTCAAATCTGTCTCTCTGTGCTGGCTTTAAGGCAGGAATTTTATCAGAAAACGTTTAGCATCTGGATTCCGAGATTTGCAGGTGATTGGTGGAAGGAAAAGAGAGATCTGGAAAGTCCTCGGACACATACAGTTATCTCTTCATGCCTCCTCATGGGTCTCGTGCAAATTCAGGGGGAGTTAGTATGAAACATGCCTGGAAATCCAGGCTGTGATATCCACAAGCTCATTCTGTGCAAAATCCTGTTGGCCATATTGAGTCTAACTGATTTCAGCCAGTTTTGTTATCTTACAAGCAGAGGGAGTTGCAGCGTTTCAGCAGGTTTTTTTTTTTTTTCTTATCTGCTGTCCTGCAAACTCAAGAATTTCTGAGAGTTACTGGCTTCTTTAACTTTTTCTTTCTTCCTTTCTTTCTTTTCTTTCTTTTTTTTTTGAGATGGAGTCTTGTTCTGTTGCCCAGGCTAGAGTGCAGTGGCATGATCTAGGCTCACTGCAGCCTCTGCCTCACAGATTCAAGAGATTCTTCTGCCTCAGCCTCTTGAGTAGCTGGGATTACAGGCGCATGCCACTGCACCCAGCTAATTTTTGTATTTTTGGTAGAGACGGAGTTTCACCATGTTGGCCAGGCTGGTCTCGAACTCCTGACCTCAGATGTTCCACCCGCCTCAGCCCCCCAAAGGGCCAGGATTACAGATGTCAGCCACCTCACCCAGCCTTTTAACTCTTTGAGGCTTGATTTCTTTTTTCTTTTTTTTTTTTTTTTTTTTTTTGAGATGGAGTCTCGCTCTGTTGCCCAGGCTCTGGAGTGCAGTGATGCAATCTCAGCTCACTGCAAGCTCCGCCTCCTGGGTTCATGCCATTCTCCTGCCTCAGCCTCCCGAGTAGCTGGGACTACAGGTGCCCACCACCACGCCCGGCTATTTTTTTTTTTTTTTTTTGTATTTTTAGTAGAGACGGGGTTTCACTGTGTTAGCCAGGATGGTCTCAATCTCCTGACCTCGTGATCCACCTGCCTCAGCCTCCCAAAGTGCTGGGATTACAGGCGTGAGCCACCACACCCGGCCAAGGCATGATTTCACGCCTACCCTAAAGGATAAAGTCTGCAATAATAGGGGTTAGTTCTGAGAACTGGCTGCAGCTAGCAATCTATTCTTTTGGAACCCAGTCTTTTGCCTTTCATCCTCTGCAAGTGCAGACTCAATCAACCTAAGCAGATAGAGGAGGCTCTCCAAAGCCCAGGATAGAAAATAGCTTTCTTGCCTGGGGGGAGTAGTTGACTTCACACTTCAAAAAATTTCTAGAAGTTTTTAGCATCGCAGTTGGCATCTCTCTTTCATCAAGGTGAATATCCATCAAGAAGGGATGCAGTAGAGAGGAAACTCTTGGATTCTGAAGATTCCATCTCATTTTCAGCTTCATCATGGATGAGCTGTATCATTTTGTGCAAGTTTCTTACATCTTTCTGAGCTTTAGTTTTTTTTTTTTTCATCTGTAAGATAAGTAATTTAATACCTGCACCCCCATCACATCGGGATTTTTCTGGGGATCAAATGCGTTAGATAAATTAAACTTGAAAGCTTTCTTTACAAATTATTTGAATGTAGGGCATTTAGTAATTCTCACTACTGTTGGCAACAGGGAGAAATTGGCAAGTTTCTAGTGGCTGGCTGGCTAGGGTTTGCATATCAGAATCCAACTTTCATATTTTATATCGTTTTCATATTTTCCATCTCTTTAATGCACTAAAGGGTAATCTCATTGAACTTATCTCTCGTCCCCTCTGTTTTTCTCCTCGTATGTATAACCTATTTGATTGCTTGCTGTGTTGTAAGCTCTAAAGACTCTTCATTTCTAGAAGTTTCACTTGGCTATTTTTCACATCTCTCTGTTTATTTTTCACAAGGTTTTGTTCTTATGGTTTTTGACTCCTATTTTTAGGTTTTTACTCGTTTTGTTGTTGTTTCGGTTTTTTGGTTTGCTTGTTTGTTTGTTTTTGACAAAGTCTTGCTCTGTCACCCAGGCTGGAGTGCAATGGCATGATCTTGGCTCACTGCAACCTCTGCCTCTGGATTCAAGTGATTCTCATGCTTCAGCCTCCTGAGTAGCTGGGATTACAGGCACGTGCCACCACGCCTGGCTAATTTTTATATTTTTAGTAGAGATGGGGTTTCACCATATTGGCTAGGCTAGTCTCAAACTCCTGGCTTCTAGCGATCCACCTGCTTTGGCCTCCCAAAGTGCTGGGATTATAGGCATGAGCCACCACAGCCAGCCTGATTTTTACTCATTTTGAACATTCGTATTTTATGGTGTCTGTCTAATGGTTCTATTATGTCAAGTTCTTGAGAGTTCTAATCTTACTGTATTTGCTGAGTCTTACTTACAGTGGATTGTTTCCTCATGTGTTTATAATATCTATTAAGAGCTCATCTTTGATGGAGCTTCAGCTATGAAATTCTGGGTTGTATGTGGATTTCTCCGGTAAGTTTTCTCATTTGCTTTTGCTCATCACTCCTAGGTGTCATCTTCTGAGGCTACTGTGCATGTACATTTCTAGGCTTGCTGTTTCCTGACTATGTACCTAATGTAAATTGAAATCTGGCCAGGCACAGAGGCTGATGCCTGTAATCCCAGTACTTTGGGAGGCCAAGGCAGGAGGATTGCTTGAGCCCAGGAGTTTAAGACCAGCGTGGGTAACATAGCAAGACCCTGTCTCAACAACAACAACAACAACAGAAATCTCAAACCCTCAGGGACAGGTCATTATGAATTCTTGAGGGACACTTTTTTTTTTTTTTTTTGAGATAGCATCTCACCCTGTCACCTAGGCTGAAGTGCAATGGCACAATCATGGCTCACTGCAGCCTCAGCCTCCCTGGCTGAAGCAATGCTCCCATCTCAGCCTCCTGAGTAGCTGGGACTACAGGTGTGCACCACCACTCCTGGCTAATTTTTATAATTTTTAGTAGAGATGGGGTTTTGTCATATTGCCCAGGCTGGTCTCAAACTCCTGGGTTCAAGTGATCCTTCCACCTTGGCCTCCCAAAATGCTGAGATTATAGGCCCAAGCCACTGCGCCCAGCTGACAACTTTCTTTTATGCCCAGCGCTCAAGAAGAGACAGACAGGTTTCCTTGTGATTTATGATTAGAGTAGATTTTCTGAATGCAAGCAGCCTGTGTGATCACCATCTGAACGTCAAAGGGATTCAGGTTTGCATTTTCATAGCTGTGTTAGAACAAGGTACTCAACCTTTCTGAACTTCAGTGTTTCCAACTCTCAAAAGCAGATACTCTTACTCACCTAAAAGCATTGCTGTGAGAATGAAATGGGATCCTACATATATATGAAGTTCATGGCCTTGGACCTGCGGTAAAGGGAATGGTCCATAAATGGTAGCTGTTCTTGGTCTTCCCATTTCAGAGATGAGAAATCTCAGACCCTGGAAGTCATGGTACCACTGGGCAAGGGCACCATGGTTAGGCCATTAGCCTCCTCTCAGAAACTCTTTTATGGGTCCACTTACCCACTTTCCTGCCTTGAAACAATAGAAGAACTAAGGGTTTTATCTTTATCTTGGTTTTTTATTTCTTAAATTCTGTTTCTTTGGTTTTCTTTTTTCTTTTTTTTCTTGAGACAGAGTCTCACTCTGTCGCCCAGGCTGGAGTGCAGTGGTGTGATCCTGGCTCACTGCAACCTCTGCCTCCTGGTTTCAAGTGATTCTCGTGCCTCAGCCTCCTGAGTAGCTGGAATTACAGGCATGCAACACCACACCCAGTCTTATTATTATTATTATTATTATTTTTGAGAAGGAGTTTCATTGTGTCACCCAGGCTGGAGTGCAGTGGCGCGATCTTGGCTCACTGCAACCTCTCCCTCCCGAGTTCAAGCAGTTCTCCTGCCTCAGCCTCCCGAGTACCTGGGATTACAGGCCCCTGTCACCACACCTGGCTAATTTTTGTATTTTAATTGAGACGGGGTTTCACCAGGCTGATCTCAAACTCCTGACCTCAGTGATCTGCCTGCCTTGGCCTCCCAAAGTGCTGAGATTATAGGTGTGAGCCACTGCGCCCGGCCCAGCTAATTTTTAGTAGAAATAGGGTTTCACCATGTTGGCCAGGCGGGTCTGGAACTCCCTGAGCTCAGGTGATCTGCCTGCCTTTCCCTCTCAAAGTGCTAGGATTACAGGTGTGAGGCACCGCACCCAGCCTTAAATTCTGTTTCAAACTTAAGCCCGGCCTCTGGTTTCAGCCTGCAGCAGGAGTGAAACCCGCACTGAGAGAGGAGAGACTGTCACTATTTTCATTGATAATGAAAGCAGTTTTCTAATGATAGAGGAAGCACAATAAAAGCTATCTCATAAATGGCTTTTATTACCCATTGTCTAGTCTTTCCTAAACAATAGGTTATTAGCCATATGTAATAGGGATTGAAGCTAATTGTTTTCCTTATTTTTCAGATAAAGAAATGAGTTGTACACAGTGATTTTTTTAAGGACACTTATAGCACTAATATTGTGTGAATCGATTTAGTTGAGAGCCATGTGAGAGAGTTAAAAGTTCATAGAGGAGTTGGGTGCGGTGGCTCTTGCCTGTAATCCTAGCACTCTGGGAGGGCAAGGCGGGTGGATTGCTTGAAGTCAGGAGTTCAAAACCAGCCTGACCAACATGGTGAAACCCTGTCTTTACCAAAAATAAAAAATTTTTTTTTTTAAAAATTAGCTGGTGTAGTGGCGTGCACCTGTAATCCCAGCTACTTGGGAGGCTGAGGCAGGAAAATCACTTGAATCAGGAAGGTAGAGGTTGCAATGAGCCAAAATCGCACCATTCCACTCCAGCCTGGGCAACAGAGCAGGAGTCTGTCTCAAAAAAAAAAAAAAAAGTTAATAGAAACTGGGTGCTTTGTTCATCTCTTTGTTTTCTTGAGTGGTTGAGATGCATTCCTGTCACACTGTGCCCCCAAATGACAAGGACAGCAATCTTTTTTTATGCTTTCTTGCCCATGGGTTACAGGGGTTTGGCCTTGTGGCCATGGGCCACACCATCTTTTCTTTTGTTGGGAGGAGGGAGGAAACTGGCTGGCCTTAGAGTTCAACATTGACAATCTGGTAGAAGGTAATTGAATCATGGTGGTAGGTTTCTCCCATGCTGTTCTCTTGATAGTGAATAAGTCTCATGAGATCTGATGGTCTTATAAAGGGCAGTTCCCCTGCATACACTCTCTTGCCTGCCACCATGTAAGACATGTCTTTGCTCCTCCTTCACCTTCTGCCACGATCGTGAGGCCTCCCCAGCCATGTGGAACTGTGAGTCCATTAAACCTCTTTGTCTTTATAAATTATTCAGTCTCAGGTATTTCTTCATAG
This sequence comes from Homo sapiens, assembly GCF_000001405.40. Classification (NCBI taxonomy): domain Eukaryota; kingdom Metazoa; phylum Chordata; class Mammalia; order Primates; family Hominidae; genus Homo; species Homo sapiens. The sequence goes on from NC_000007.14 coordinate 71,548,742, forward strand.
GAGTGTGAAAATGGACTAATACAGTGTCCTGTCTCTTCTTCCTCAGAGCGGACACCTCCAGAAAGGAATGCTTTCATTAAGGAAAAAGGCAGCCAAAATCCTGTTTCCATAGAGTCTTGTTTAATTCTTTGTGTTACATCTCCATGTCATTATCAATGAATCAGCCTCCAGTGAAATAACTGACTGCACTTGTGGTTTACGTCACTGAGCCAGGAAGCCAGGGAGTGGGGTGTGTGGGAGAAACAGCTTTGCTTCTGAGCCTCTGGGGGTTATGGATAGGAATGCCCCTTGCCAGCTACTGGACCTGGTACTGTGGTGGCCTCTGTGTATATCCCTCAGTGTGCTGTGATCTTCAGGAGGGAAGGGATGATAGAGTCCACGTTTCAGCTGGCCTTTCTATTACTCGAGCAGAGTCGCCAGTCTTTCTGGATATATGTTCCTTTGTTGACTTGTTTCTGGAATGGAATTCCATAGGCTTTTAGACCTATATGGCTTGAAGAGGTGATAAAAGAAGGCATCTACAAGACCATTAGAAAAGATCTTGGCTGGGCACGGTGGCTCATTCCTGTATTCCTAGCACTTTGGGAGGCCTAAGGTGGGAAGCTTGCTTGAGCCTAGGAGTTTGAGACCAGCTTAGGCTACATAGTAAGACTCTGTCTCTACAAAAAGTACATGAGTTAGCCTGGCATGGTGGTGCATGCCTGTAGTCCCAGCTACTTAGGAGGCTGAGGCCGGAGGATTGAGGATTGCTTGAGCCTAAGGAGTTTGATGCTGCAGTGAGCTACGATCATGCCATTGCATTCCAGCCTGGGCAACAGAGCGAGACTCTTTCTCATAAATAGATAAATAGGTAGATGAATAAATATATTACAATATACATTAAGACTTCATGTAAGTTTCATTATACCGAAAGAGTAATTGTTTTTTTCTCCTTGAGTTGTGTTAGAAAAAGTTCTTTTCTGTTATCACAGCTTAGTATATGCCAGGCCCAGGAGGGAATGGGGTCATACCAAGCCCCTGGAAGAATTTTGGAGGAAAAAGAATCTTGTTCTGTTTCATGGGTCTTCTGGGAATGCAGAAGAGGAGGATCCGAGGGAAAGGAGGTTCTGAGAGAAAGTAGATTCTCTCCGTAAAAGCATCCAGAGAAAGCGTGTGGCTTTCTCAGCTATATTCTGACCCTGCTCAAGTAATAACCATGTTTCAACCTAAAACCGTCTCCTGCTTGTCTTTCAATGCACAGAGCTCAACATACTTTAAAGACAGAATAATTAGAATGTACTATGTACAAAATAACTACTAGCTCAGATGAGTCCTGCCCCAATTTAAAATTGAGAACAGTGAGTGCTAGTGTTATGTTTTTAAATGAAACTAAGCAAAACCACTTCTTTTCTGATTATAAAAGTCAACAGGTTCATTGTAAAGGCATGGGAAAAAATTTAAAGAAGAAAATAAAAGTATCCCACAACCTTACAACCTAGAAATAATGATAGGTAACTGGTTTAGCATATTACCTTTTATTGACCTGTATATAAATAAATATTGGGTCATACATAGCTATGATTGTGTTTTGACTTTATAACTAGCATTATTACATGAGCTTTTTATTATATCATTCAGTTGTTTTTTGTTTTTTTGTGTGTGTTTTTTTTGTTCTTTTGAGATGGAGTCTCGCTCTGTCCCCCAGGCTGGAGTGCAGTGGCGTGATTTTGGATCACTGCAACCTCTGCCTCCCGGGTTCAAGCAATTCTCCTGCCTCAGCCTCTTGAGTAGCTGGGACTACAGGCCTGTGCCACTATGCCCAGCTAATTTTTTTGTATTTAATAGAGACAGGATTTTGCCATATTGGCCAGGCTAGTCTTGAACACCTGAACTTAAGTGATCCACCCACCTCGGCCTCCCAAAGTGCTGGTGGGATTACAGACGTGAGCCACCATGCCCAGCCTTCATTCAGTATTCTTTATATGATGTTTTAATAGCTGCATTCATTTTATCATGGACTGTGCCAAAATATACTTAATTATATCCCAATTGATATAAATTTAGAAGATTTTAATTTTTTCATTATGATCGATAATATTTTGATTTAAAGTTTTGTACAAAAACTTTTTTTAAATCTCTGATTTTTTTTATTTCCTCTTCTGGCTTTTTACAAGATTTTGCCTTTGTTTTTAAATTTCCCATTATGATGTATCTAAGGATAGATTTCTTTTTATTTGTTCTGCTTGAGATTTGTTGAGCTTTGAATATATGTGTTCATTTCCTTCCTCAATTATGGGACATTCTTATCTATTATATCTTCTAATATTTCTTCTGCCCTGTTTACTGTCCTCTGGGATTTCACAAACTGGTGTCAGATCTTATCATTGTATTATTTATGTTGCCTACCCTCTTTTATTTATTCTTCATCTTTTTCTCCCTCTGTGCTTCATTCTTCATAGTTTCTTCTGTCTTAGCCTCTAGTTCATTAATGCTCTCTTCAGCTGTGTCTAATCTGCTGATAAATGATCCACTGAGTTCTTAATTTTTGAACTTTTTGATTTTAGATTTTTCTCTTTTTCCTTTTTCAAATATGTTGTGCTACTTTTTGTGATTTCCAGTTTCCTGCCAAAAATTTTAAGCTTGCTTTTTAATTTTCTTAAGCACAGTAAACATAGATGTTTTCCAATAAGTCTGATAGTTCCAGTATCTGGAAGTCCTGTGCCTCTCTTTTGTTGTCTGTTATTTTCATGCAAGTCTAACTTTTGGCCTCTTGATTCCTAATGCTTTTGATTGTCTTTGATTAGGTGTTAGAGATGTTAGCTACTGTGTTTGAAAAAGTTATGTATAGCCTGGGCAACATAGTGAAATACTGTCTCTTAAAAAAAATACAAAAAGAAATTAGCCAGGTGCATGGCACAGACCTGTAGTCCTAGCTACTTGGAAGGCTAATGCACTGGAGCCTGGGAGGTTGACGGTACATTGAGCTATGATCACACCACTGCACTCCAGCCTAGGGGACAGAGTGAGACCCTGTCTCAAAAAAAAAAAAAAAAGAGAGAGAGAGAGAGCGGGAAAGCAAGAGTTATTTGTCAAGTTAATTTGTAACCGAGGACGGTGTTACCTGCCTCTAGTGAGAATTTTTGTTTACTTCTGCCAAGAGCACAGGAGTGCTCACAGCCTCTGATTCCCTTAATGGAAATGCAAGGTGTGAGATTTTCTGGGCTTCCCAGAGGAAATGAAGTGAGCTTGCAGTTTGGGAGAGAGGCCAGGTTGACTTTCAGGTTGCTCTTTTTATTTATTTATTTATTTATTTATTTATTTATTTATTTATTTATTTATTTTGAGTCAGGGTGTTGGTTTGTCACCCAGGCTGGAGTACAGTGGTGTGATCTTGGGCCACTGCAACCTCCACCTCCTGGGTTCAAGCAATTCTCATGCCTCAGCCTCTTGCATAGCTGGGACTACAGGAGCATGCCACCACACTTGTCTAATTTTTGTATTTTTAGTAGAGACGGGGTTTGGCCATGTTGGCCAGGCTGGTCTTGAACTCCTGGCCTCAAACAATCCACCCACCTTGGCCTCCCACAGTGCTAGGATTACAGGCGTGAGCTGCTGTGCCTGGCATATAGCACTTGTTATATGCTAGGAAGGCACTTTACAAATTCTGATACTTTTAGTTCTCCTAAGAACCTTATACAGTAGGTACCGTGCCTGGCTGTGACTCTTTTTTTTTTTTTTGAGATGGAGTCTCACTCTGTTGCCCAGGCTGGAGTGCAGTGGTGTAATCTCGGCTCATTACAGTCTCTGCCTCCCAGGGTCAAGTAATTCTCCTGTCTCAGCCCCCCTCGTAGCTAGGACTACAGGCCCGTGCCACCACACCCGGTTAATTTCTTGTATGTTTAGTAGAGACAGGGTTTCACCATGTTGTCCAGGCTGGTCTCAAACTCCTGACCTTAGGTGATCCGTCCGCCTCGGCCTCCCAAAGTGCTGGGATTACAGGAGTGAGCCACTGTGCCCGGCCCACCAGGTTACTCTTAAGGGCAGACTTTTTGTATTTTAGCCAAAAATGAAGGGTGGTTTACCAGGTTGCCCATTATTAGTGGGCACTGAAACCCAACTCTCGGCTTTCTGGCCTTTTGAGGTGGCTAGAAGTGCAACCCAGCCTCTCAGTCCCGCTTTATGGACTGGAACACACCTCAAGGTAGAAGGAAACCCAGTTGCTGGGCATCTGTCTCCCTTTTCTAGTCTCGGCCAGAGTTCAACCTAATAATTTTCATTTTGTTCATCTACAGTGGTTTTATTAAGATCAAAAAATTTTATCCAGGCTGGTGTGGTGGCTCATGCCTGTAATCCTAGCACTTTGGGAGGCCAAGGTGGGCGGATTGCCTGAGCTCAGAAGTCTGAGACCACCCTGGGCAACATAGCAAGACTTTCTCTCTTAAAAAAAAATGCAAAAATTATCTGAGTGTAGTGGTATGTGCCTGTAGTCCCGGCTACTTTGGGGGCTGAGGTGGGAGGATTGCTTGAGCCCAGGAGGTTGAGACTACAGTAGGCTATGTTCGCACCACCTCCCTCCAGCCTGGGGGACAGAGCAAGACCTTGTCTCTTTAAAAAAAAAAAAATTTTCCAGCTTTTTTAGTTTTTTTAGGCTATAGAGTTGGTCCAAATTACATCATCTGACAGTCTCAGAGGCAGAAGTCATTATTATCCTTTATGATAAATTCCTAAGAGTAGAATTTCTAGGTCTAAGACATGTTTATTTTTAAGACTTACGAGACAGACTGCCAAATTACTTTCCAGAAAAGTTGTTTTTCATATTGAATCCTTGTTCTTTTTCTTCCCTTCTCCTAAGTATCTGTTGGTGTCTCAAAGTTCTGTTCATTCTTCTACAGTAATTTAAAACCTGTAACACAATTTAAATTTTAGTTGCAAGTCAGATGTAAGAAAGGGTGACTTTATTTTTCCAAATAAGAATTCAACTTGCTCTCCAGCCCTCGTGTTCACTGATGATGGAAAAGAAAACTAATCTTTTTGTTTCAAGGTAACTCAGTTTCTTCCCATTGAAAACTCCATCTCTTTCAGGACAATTGCTCCATTAAATCAAGATTTTGACAGGCTGTTATTTGTTAAGGGTCGCTCTTCCCCCTTGAAAGTTCTCCCTCTCCCAGCTTTCCTCTTAAATAGTGCCTGGAAGCAAGGGGAGCTGGTGCTGCCTTGGGGCAACGAGAGAGGTGTCTGGGCTGCGCCTGTCTTCTGGGACCTTTCTGGCTTCTGTTGACACCTCCCAATCTTGAGTTTTGTCCCTTCTGTATTCATAGCCGATGCCCTTGGCCCTGCTTCTGAACTTCAGGCAAGATATCCACCCAGTGGGTACCCTCCTGTCCCCTGACTCCCTTTGTGAACCAACCTGTCTAGTTCTTTGCTTCCTGATATGGTTTGGTTCTGTCCCCACCCAAATCTCATCTTGAATTGTACCTCCTGTGTGTCGTGGGAGGGACCCAGTGGGAGGTAGTTGAATCCTGGGGACGGGTTTTTCCCATGCTGTTCTCATGATAGTGGATAAATCTCGTGAGATCTGATGGGTTTATGAAGGGCAGTTTCCCTGCACACTCTCTGTTGCCTGCCACCATGTAAGACGTGACTTTGTTCCTCCTTTGCCTTTCGCCATGATGGTGAGGCCTCCCAAGCCATGTGGACTGTGAGTCCATTAAACCTCTTTCCTTTATAACTTACCCAGTCTTGGGGTATATCTGTATTAGCAGTGTGAGAACTGACTAATACACCTCCCCTTCGCCTGGGGTACTCAGGAACTTCAGGATTTCCTACAGGCCAGGAGCTGGCTGTGGGCATTTAGAGCATTATTTTAGGTCCTCTCTCTGCCTAAACATCACTCCACCATTCCTGCCCCACTGCCCATAGCACGCTGCAAGACAATTGCCTCCCGCCAGAGTGCTAGGCAGGAAGCAAAACATCCATCTCTTTGCCTTCCCATCCTCAAACCCATTTGCAGATTTCTGTACCCACTCCCTGAATTCCAACGTGAGCAGTAGGGTGAGGCTGAAACTCCCCCAGGAGAGACCTTCTCTTATGTCTGTCTCTTCTGTCTCCAGACTTATTCCCCAGCCCAGGGAGAATTAGCTTCTGTGTGTGTCTGTTTTGCATTGCTCTAAAAGAATATCTGAGGCTGGATAATTTATAAAGAAAAGAGGGTTATTTGGCTTACGGTTCTGCAGGTTGTACAAGAAGCATGGTGCCAACATCTGCTTGGCTTCTGGTGAAGGCTTCAGACATCTTCAGTCATAGTGGAAGGGGAAGGGGGAGCCAGCATTACGTGGTGAGAGAGGGAGCAAGAGAGACAAGGGAGGTCCTAGAGTCTTCGTTAACAACCAGATCTTGCTGAACTCATTACCACAGGGAAGGCACCAAACCATTCATGAGGGGTCTGCCCTCATGACCCAAACAGGTCCCATCAGGCCCCACCCACAACTCTGGTGATCACATTTCATCATGAGATTTGGAAGGGACTGACATCCAAATTATATCAGTCTTTTGGGGCACTGGAACTTTCCCATATGTCAGTACTTCTCAACCCTGATTGTGCTTTAGAATCAAATATGGATGTCGACCAATCAAACCAGTGTCTGGGAGTGTGCCTGAACAGAGGTCATTTTTCAAGATTCCCCAGGTGATCCTAAAGTGAGCCAGCAGTGAGCCCAGCAGCTTTGTCTTACTGAACTCATTACCATGGGGAGAACGCCAAACCATTCATGAGGGGTCTGCCCTCATGACCCAAACAGGTCCCATCAGGCCCCACCTATAACACTGGTGATCACATTTCAACATGAGATTTGGAAGGGAGAAACATCCAAATTATATCAGCCTTTTTTGGCATTGGAACTATCCCATATGTCAGTGATTCTCAACCCTGGTTGTGCTTTAGAATCAAATATGGATGTAGACCCATCATCAAACCAGTGTCTGGGAGTGCACCTCAACACAGGCAAGTTTTCAAGATTCCCTCGTTGATCCTAAGGTGAGCCAGCAGTGAGCCCCACGGCTTTGTCACAACCGCCATCCTCTGGCTTCACCGGTCTGCTGTCCTTAATATCTAAAGGGAGGCTTTTGGAATTTAGCAAATGCTTTCTGTCTCTGATGCACGGCTCGTGCGCTTGAAATCCGGGCTTAGGGACTATTGCTTCAGCAGTTAACGTCAGGAATCTATTTTATAGTCACAACAGAAAATTAACATCTCCTTTGCTTTTCTTTCTATCTCAGCTCTGACAGTCTTCCCCTAGATCAAGGCTAATGACTGCCTCTGGATGAGATGGCAAGTCCAGCATAGAAAAAGCCCATTCATAAGTTTCAAAATAAATTATTATACTCTTTTATTTGACTACTTTCTTACAACTATTTTGCTGCTACTGTAGCCCTTAAATACGCAAGGCCATCAGAAAGCTGTCTTCTTACCTGAATCTCATTTGGTTCCGAGAACAATTGCTGTCACCTGACTGTCCTTGGGTAAACATCATAGGCCAATGCTGAGAAGTGTTTTAAAAATCAGATTTGTGGAGCTTATTGTATTTGCTGAAGTGGTGTTAAGGAGACTTGGTTAAGGAGACCAAGTCACTCAGTAGAGAAATTTCTCTTGGGTCTTAGTGATCAAGTAACTATCTTTCTCTTATTAAAAATCTTTTAGACACTGCAGATCCAGCCAACGGTTCTGTCTACAGTGGGGATGAAAGAGCTTGGAGCTGAGTTTGTGGCCCACTGTTATTAAATATGTAATATGTCAGAGCCTGCATTTTGTCTGCTAAACTCACCCTCGGCATCATCTTTTTTATTTTTTTATTTTTTGAGACAGAGTCTTACTTCATCACCCAGGGTAGAGTGCAGTGGCGCTCTGCTCTCGGCTCACTGCAGCCTCTGCCTCCTGGGCTCAAGTGATTCTCCTACCTCAGCCTCCCGAGTATCTGGGACTACAAGCTCGAGCCACCACACCCAGCTATTTTGTTTTGTTTTGTTTTGTTTAGAGACAGGGTTTCACCATGTTGGCCAGGCTGGTCTTGAACTCCTGATCTCAGGTGATCCACCCACCTTGGCCTCCCAAAGTGCTGGGATTACAGGCATAAGCCACTGCGCCTGGCCCCCTTGACATAATCTTATTTTGCTCTTTGTCCTCTAATTCCCAATTAATTATTTTTATTTTTAACCTTTTTAAAGTGACCGGTTCTTTCTCTGTGGCCCAGGCTGTAGACTCCTGGGCTCAAGCAATCCTCCCTCCTCAGCCTCCAGAGTAGCTGGGATTACAGGTGCACACCACCAAACCCAGCTAATTTTTTTTTTTTTTTTTTGGGGAGAGATAGGGTCTCTCTATGTTGCCTCACTGGTCTCAAATTCCTGGCCTGAAGCAGTCCTTCTACCTCAGCCTCCCAAAGCTCTAGGATTACAGGCGTGAACCACCACATCTGGTATTAATTACTTTCTTTTCATTTTGTTTTATCCCATAGTGCCTGCATTGATATAGGATGTCCTAAAACATTCTCAGAAAACTTCTCCACCATGCAAAAATCTCAATACTCTTTCTTTCTTTTTGGAACCCTGTCAGTGTTGCTAGCCTGATGCCATTCTCGAATGTACATCCTAAAGCTTTTATCAAAGTTGTTCTTGCATCAGCCCTGGAAGTTGAAGAGGGATTATTGCCCTCCTTTTACAGATGAAGAGGAGGCTGATCCATCTTTCAAGACTTTCTCTTCACATGAGTCCCCATTCATTCTTTCAAAGTTACCTTCCTAGCTGGGTGCAGTGGCTCATGCCTGTGATCTAGCAATTTGAGAGGCTGAGGTAGGTGGATCACCTGAGGTCAGGAGTTCGAGACCAGCCTGGCCAACATGATGAAACCCTGTCTCTAATAAAAAATAAAATTAGCCAGGCCCGGTGGCGTGTGCCTGTAATCCCAGATACTCGGGAGGCTGAGGCAGGAGAATCGCTTGAACCCGGGAAATGAAAGTTGCAGTGAACCGAGATCGCGCCACTGCACTCCAGCCTGGGTGACAGAATGAAACTCTTAAATACCCGGGCGCAGTGGCTCACATCTGTAATCCCAGCACTTTGGGAGGCCAAAGCAGGCGGATCACTTGAGGTCAGGAGATCGAGACCATCCTGGCTAACATGGTGAAACCCCATCTCTACTAAAAATAACAAAAATTAGCCGAGCATCGTGGTGGGTGCCTGTAATGTCAGCCACTCAGGAGGCTGAGGCAGGAGAATGGTTTGAACCCAGGAGGCAGAGATTGCAGTGAGCTGAGATCACGCCACTGCACTCCAGCCTGGGCCACAGAGCGAGACTCTGTCTCAAAAACAAAACAAAACAAAAACACAATCACCTTTCTGCCAGTCTCTCCCAGTCCAGAGACTGTACTCTCCTCCACGGCTTCATCTTCTAGCACAGAGGTTGGTGAAATTTTTCTCTGATTGGCTGGATAGTAAATCCAGGCAAAATCAAGGATATTATGTGGGTACTTATAAACAAAGTGCAAAACCTGATTTCTACAAATATTTTATTGACAAAATCCAAAATGTAACATTAATGAGTCTAGGTTTTTTTTTTGGTAATCTGGGTCTACTAATGAGAACATTTGAATTTTCGTGTGTACAGGTGACATGTTGCTTTGTTTAGGTTCAAAGTTAGTGTTCCCATCATCATCATCAAATCAGTTATAAGTGTTCATCTGTTAAAAAAAATCCTTAATTCTCTGGCCAGACAAAAACAGGCAGTGTAGTTTGCTGATGATGCCTGTTCTAGACCTTTCTCTTTTTCTTTTCCCCAAATGTTCACTCAACCATGTCTCATCTCACAAGATAGCTAACCAGACACTTTAAAATATATATACACAGTATATATAAAGTGTCGATGGCTGACAACAGCTTAATGTGTCACCACTTCTTAAGAAGCATAGTGCATTTACAAAAACACTCTTCCAAGGCTTATTTGCAAATCAGTTTCTCAAAGCTTCAAGGAAATATGATTACCAAAAAGTAAAAGTATTATCCCGAGAAAATTGCTTATAGGGAATATCTTACTAGGGAGTTTCGATGTGGATCTTTGTTTTAATAAAACAAGCCCAGACAGAAATCAGTCAGCCAAGGAAATGAGTTTTGAGACTGGCAACTTCAGTCACCACTGGCGTTTTTTTCTGCATCTGTGAAAATTCACACCCCACAGAGATGAGGCTTCCTTTATCCTACAAAAGGAAATGCTCTTAATTCCTTGACAGTTCCCTTTCCAATCTGAAGGAAGTTGTTGTTTCAGCATGAATTATCTTTTCAGCAACAAAGGTGAAAGTGCTACTTCCACTTAAAGGCAAAGCACTGGCCTTTGGGTCCTATTTTCTTGTGAGATTATTTGTGAGCTGGATGCAGTGTTTGATTGTTTTAAAAGGCAGCCGACTTGTCCTTTTGGTATTTATATGTATAGCAGAGGCAATTGGAACTCTGGGCATTAAATTACCGTAATGTGCCAGTTGAGAATTCTATTCAAGCCAGCCAACTCCTTCCTCAAAATTATATTTTTAGTGTTTAGCAGCTGCAAGTTCCCAGAAATCTTCAAAGTGGGATCACTTATTTCACCCAGTGCAAGAGCTCTTAGCTGCTGCCAGTGTGAGATGATCTGGTCTGGGAGGCAGTTGGGTACCTGGGAGGGGCGAGAGATCAGAGGCCCCCTGGGTTGCCCTTAGTTCTGCACTTATTTGCATATGCTTCCCCTTGGTCAGGTTACTGAACCTCTGAGCCTCAGTTGGAAAATGGGGCTAATAATATCTACCAAATGGAGCTGCTTTGAGGATTCAAAATAATTATGAATCAACCAGGCGCAGTGGCTCACAGCTTTAATCCCACCATTCTGAGAGGCCATGGTGTAAGGATCGCTTGAGGCCAGGAGTCGGAGACCAGCCTGGGCAACAGAGTGGGACCTTGTTTCTACCAAAAGGAAACAATTCGCAGGGCATGGTGGTGTGTGCCTATAGTCCCAGCTATTTGAGAAGCTGAAGTGGGAGGATTGCTTGAGCCGGGAGATCGAGGCTGCAGTGAGCCGAGATTGCACTACTGCACTCCAGCTTGGAGTGCAGGTTCTTTTTTCTGTCTTATGTATTAAAAAGAAACACATTTTCAACATTAAAAACAAAAAAAAAAAAATCAGCCAGGCGCGGTAGCTCACGCCTGTAAATCCCAGCACTTTGAGAGGCTGCAGCGGGCAAATCGCGAGGTCAGGAGTTCGAGACCAGCCTAGCCAAGATGGTGAAACCTCATCTCTACAAAAATACAAAAAATTAGCTGGGTGTAGTGGTAGGTGCCTGTAATCCCAGCTACTCGGGAGGCTGAGGCAGGAGAATCGCTTGAATCCGGGAGGCGGAGGTTGCAGTGAGCCAAGATCATGCCACTGCGGTCCAGCCCAGGGGACAGAGTGAGACTCCATCTCAAAAAAAAAAAAAAAAAAAAAAAGAAAGAATCACAAATTGTCCTAAGGTAGCAGCAGATGCATTGAGATGCCCAGTAAAGGGTGCTGTTGGTCTCAGTGATGTGCTCCTATCTCATTCTCCTCCTCCTTCCCTGCCTGGTCTTTTGGCCACCGTGGCTTACCGTTATCCCCGCAAAACAGGATCCATTTGCTTGGGGAGTAACAAGCAACTCCCCATGAGAACACAGGCTTTGATCAATAGGGAATTGATCACTTGTCACAAGGAAGGAGAGCATGGGAGTATCCTCCAAAGCAGTGTCTCCCGTGGGAAAGTGACAGGAGGGTTTTATGGAATGATGGAGAGGGGAGAGGGTGTGTCATCACATGCAGAGGAGGGGTCCTAGTGGCGCAGGCACAGGGAGCCATCATGCCTTCGTGCCAGCACCCAGGTTGCATGTGATGGTAACGGAGCTGTAGCTCTCTTTAGCACCGTCATGAGAAAGTTCACTTGAGTTCATCTATAAATCGCTGGGGGAGGTCTGTCAGGAGGCGGTGTTAACCAACTAGGTGACCATATAGGGTTTAGGAAGAAACAGGCTTCAGGGCAGGAGCCTGTAAAACAGGCTGATTGCTCAAATTGAGCACATTCCTATAATCCCTGGAGACCCTGCCTGTTTGCTTACAATACTGGTGCCTGTGCCAGTGGGTATAGATTGGATGTGTGATACAACCAAAGAAGGGCAACATCTGCATTGGACATTTATTCTACTGTATTAGGAGATGGTGTAAAAGAATTCACCGTTGCTGATGTAACAAAATGCACTGAAATGAGTGAATTTGTTTTTGTTTTTGTTTTTTGAGACAGAGTCTCGCTCTGTCGGCCAGGCTGGAGTGCAGTGGCATGATCTTGGCTCACTGCAACCTCCACCTCCCGGGTTCAAGCGATTCGCCTGACTCAGCCTCCCGAGTAGCTGGGACCACAGGCACGCACCACCATGCCTGGCTAATTTTTGTATTTTTAGCAGACACAGGGTTTTGCCATGTTGCCCGAGCTGGTCTTGAACTCTGACCTCAGGTGATCCGCCCACCTCGGCCTCCCAAAGTGCTGGGATTACAGGCATGAGCCACTGCACCCAGCCTGAAATGAGTGAATTTGCATTAACCAACCTACTGATTGCCAAAGAAGTTGGCGGTACTACGAAAACACTCAGTACTGATTATACCTTGAGGGTTGGATTTGCAGACATTCATACCAGGACAACTCCAGGGGTGAGGATGAGTGTTTTGCACGTGGGACCTTGGAATGAGAAAGTGCTTAGCAAACAGCTGAAGCAGAACTAAGACCAAAGAAAACGGCAGCCTGTTTGAGTCTGAGGTCAGAGAAAAGCAGCAAGTCCCAGCAGGCCAGTGGGAATCAGGAAATAGAAAATAGAGTCAGCCCCTGATCCCTGGGTCAGGAACCATCATCATGATAGAATTTGGAGATATGGCTGCCAGAGAACAGAGACCAACGGGTGGCTGGGGTCTAAGAGAATGTCAAGAGATGACAGGTGTCAGGGAAAAGCAAGGGTAAGACATGACACCACCAGGACTTGTGCCCAACAGGTGACTGAGACAGCGAGCCACATGGTGACAAGCAGGCATCCAAGCGGGAGAATGTCACCAAACAGGGGAATGAGGGGTGGGTGGAAGACACTGGTCCAAAGGGGCTGCCTTCTGGTACATTCTGGAGATAGACACTCCCCTGATTTACAGGCTATGGATCAGCAGATTTTGTTTTGTTTTTTGTCTTTTTTTTTTTGAGATGGGGTCTCGCTCTGTCACCCAGGCTGGAGTGCAGTGGTGCGATCATAGCACACTACAGTGTCCAACTCCCAGGCTCAAGTGATTCTCCAGCCTCAGCCTCCCAAGTAACTGGGAATACAGGTGCGCACCACCATGCCTGGTTATTTTTTTAAAAAATTATTTTTGGTAGAAATACATAGTCTCACTATGCTGCCCGGTCTGTTCTCAAACTCCTGGACTCAAGCAATCCTCTAGCCTTGGCCTCCCAAGTGCAAGGATTACAGGTGTGCACCACTGCATCTGGTTCACAGTCTCTGGTTTCTAGCTCCTTCTTTTCTCTCCACCACTGGAGCCTGCTCTTCCCATACCTACAGCCTCACTCATTGATGTACAACACAGGGACACAAGCCTTCAACCAGAAATCATTATTATTACATTGTAATATATAATGAAATAGTTCTACAACTCACCATCATGTAGAATCAGTGGGAGCCCTGAGCTTGTTCCTGCAACTAGAGGGTCCCATCTGGGGGTGATGGGAGACGGTGACAGATCATCAGGCATTAGATTCTCATAAGCAGCTCTCAGCCTAGATCCCTTGAATGCACAGTTCACAACAGGGTGTGCACACCTATGAGAATCTAATGCCGCTGCTGCTCTGACAGGAGGCAGAGCTCAGGCGGTAATGCGAGTGATGGGAAACCTCATCTGTCAGTACAGATGAAGCTTTACTCACTTGCCTGCCACTCACCTCCTGATGGGCAACTTGGTTCCTAACAGGCCATCAACTGGTGCTGGTCCATGGCCTGGGGGTTGAGGACCCCTGGTATAGAGTAGCCAGGCGAAAGGATCTATAGGGTTGATGGCTGGAAAGGAATTAAGAGAGGCAGAGATGCCAAGGAAGAACTTGTACTTAATTCAGAAGGGAATAGTGAGCCACTGAAGGCTTTAGAGGAGGGGAAGCATCTAGAATGAAGATGAGTCCTTTTTCACCTATGAAAAGAAAACACAATGAGCTCAAGAAAGCTGTATATGTCTTGGTGCAAATATCGGGCTGCCACCCTCTTCTCACTGTCTATTCCTTTTCTGTCATTCAGTTGGAACTGTTGTGTGTGTTGCATATATTTCTGTAACAGCACCAATAAGTGATTATTTTTAATTTCTGTTCTTCTCTTCTGTAATGGAGCTATTAGGCTTTGGCAGATCCCTTAATATGATTATCATTTTTGAATGATTTTGAATTGAAGTGTTTGCACTCATGGTCGTAATCGCAGTTGACTTTGAAGGATGAGGCTGGAGACTCACGTTCTCTGATCTCTTCAGCCCGCAAGTGGTATCAACTGCAGCTTCCACAGCTGGGTAGGTGGTGGGGACACCTTGGAAGGGAAGCAGCAGCCGTGCTTTGCTCCTGATTGTCAGGATGAAGTGGCTGGCCTGCCACTCACGAGGCAGGTGCCAGATGGGATGGGTGGTAGCTTCCTGTTGGAGGACTGCCCCTCCCCAGTCAGAGGACAAGGACAGCTCCTCGTTTATCAGTCCAGGCAGGTAGCTCCAGAATACAAAGCAGGTGCCCACTGAGCTCGCCAGCAACGCTGACTGGCCTGTCCATGGGCAGATATGTCTTTTTTTTTTCTTTTTAAATTTGTTTTGAGACAGGGTCTCACTCTGTCACCCAGGCTGGAGTACAGTGGTGCAATTGCAGCCTCAACCTCCCAGGTTCAAATGATCCTCCCAACTTAGGCTCCCAAGTAGCTGGGACTATAGGCACATGCCGCCACACCTGACTAATTTTTTATTTTTCATAGAGACAGGGTCTCGCTATGTTGCCCAGGCTGGCCTCAAACTCCTTAGCTCAAGCAGTCCTCCCACCTTGACCTCTTTAAAGTGCTGGGATTACAGGTGTGAGCCACCATACTTGGCTAATTTTTTAATTTTGTGTAGTGATAGAGATTTTTGTACTTTTTGCTTTGTTGCCTGAGCTGGTCTCAAACTCCTGAGCTAAAGCGATCCTCCTGTCTCGGCCTTCCAAAGTATGAGGATTACAGGCATGAGCCACCCTGCCAGGGTGATATGTCCTTTCATTATTTAATGTCCTCCACAATGATCCAGTTAGACATTAGCCACGTGGCAGGGGTCTTGCCAGCTCCCAGCACTATAGGGAAGACTTGGTGTTTGCAGAACAGAGGCTTTCTGCTTCTGCTTCCAGGGAGGGTCACCTGCTGGGGCCAGTTCCAGCCTCTCCTTTCCAGCCTCTGTCAGGCTCTGTAAGCAGATTTTGATCGTGACGGGCAATTTTCTTTCTTTTTTTTTCTTTTCTTTTCTTTTTTTTTTTTTTTTTTTTTTTTGAGATGGAGTCTCACTCTGTCACCCAGGCTGGAGTGCAGTGTGGCATGATCTCTGCTCACTACAACCTCCTCCTCCCAGGTTCAAGTGATTTTCCTGCCTCAGCCTCCCAAGTAGCTGGGATTACAGGTGCCTACTACCACGCCCGGCTCATTTTTGTATTTTCAGTAGAGATGGGGTTTCACATGTTGGCCAGGCTGGCCTCAAATTCCTGACCTGAAGTGATCTGCCCACCTCAGCCTCCCAAAGTGCTGGGATTACAGGTGTGAGCCACTGCACCCAGCCAGTTAGGACAATTTTCCTGTGACACCAACAGCGACCATCGTCACACATTCATTCCACATCCCCGCTGCACTGGGCTTACCTCCTGCCCATTCATCTGTGGGTTCTGATGAGGCCCGCCTGGGACACAGGTGGAGGTCTGGTTTCCCACAGCCTCCTGGGCACCTCTGGGCTGCTGACCTGCCCTGGCCTGGTTTGAAGGAAGACATACCAAATGGAGACCTCACCACTTTGTTGTGAGAAATCCCAGGACTCAGAGAACCCTGTCATGTGTGCTGAGCAGAGCTGTTTCCAGCACAGAGGGGACTCCGGGCAAGTCATGCTGCGAAGCTTTCTCTCATTACCACACACAGCCACAGACACCATCCAGATAAAACCCAGTTACATTAAAGTATCAGGCTGGGCCGGGCACGGTGGCTCATGCCTGTAATCCCAGCACTTTCAGAGGCTGAAGCAGGTGAATAACTTGAGATCAGGAGTTCGAGACCAGCCTGGCCAACATGGTGCAACCCTGTCTCTACTAAACATACAAAAATTAGCCGGGCATGGTGCTGGGTGCCTGTAATCCCAGCTACTTGGGATGCTGAGGCAGGAGAATCGCTTGAACCCAGGAGGCGGAGACTGCAGTGAGCTGAGATGGCACCGCTGCACCCTAGCCTAAGCAACAGGGTGAGACTCCATCTCAAGAAAAAAAAAATCAGGCTCCTGACGGGGAAAGATGTTGCCCAAAGGGTAACTGAGAGGGATCTGAAGAAGAGGGAGCCTGTCTACTCCCCTCCTCAGTGAAGGTGATGTGATGAGCTTCTGATCCCTCTGTCTGCTCCCCTCTTTCCTCTCTCCTTTCCTCTCCCCTTCTCTACTGTCCTCTCCTTCCTCTCTCTAGCACTTCATCCTGCTCTCCCTTCTCCATCTTTCATCCCTCCCTCCCACCCCTAGTTAGAGCACACTCCCCTGATACCCAGTTGGTCCCTGAGGCATCATGGTGCTCTTCCCTACCAGGAGTCCTCCCCAGATCTGTTCTGCACATTCATTCACTCAACAGTATTTGGTGAGTGCTCTAGCTGCTGGAAATACCATGAGAAATGACAGGCATAACTTCTCTGCTCTCAGGGAGATACCTGAACATCTGGTGGGGTAGAAGGCTCCACAGCCACAGCATGGTCCCACAGATACAAACACAAATCTCTGAGTCCCATCTCTGGACCCAGTCCATAGTTCTGGACCAGACCCAAGAAGCTGCATTTTTTTTTCTCTTCTCTTTTCTTTTTTTTTTTTTTTTGAAACGGAGTCTCGCTCTTTCCCCCAGGTTGGAGTGCAGTGGTGTGATCTCGGCTCACTGCAACCTCTGCCTCCTGGGTTCAAGCGATTCTCTTGCCTCAGCCTCCCGAGTAGCTAGGATTACAGGTGCGTGCTACTAGGCCTGGCTAATTTTGTGGGTTTTGTTTGTTTGTTTGTTTGTTTGTTTGTTTGTAGTAGAGACAGGGATTTTCCCATGTTGGCCAGGCTGGTCTTGAACTCCTGACCTCAAGTGATCTGCCCACCTTGGCCTCCCAAAGTGCCGGGATTACACGCATGAGCCACACCACACCTGGCCAGAAGCTGCATTTTCTAAGGAGTTATTGGGTTGATGCTGATGCAGTCAGCCCCTAGACTGACCTCTGGGAAACAACTTTTCTGCACACAGGGCAATGCCCAAAGCCACCGCTTTGGGAGAGTTTGTGGCCTGGGCGCTTTCTGTGATTTTAACTACCCTGTTTGCCTCTGAGAGGTTAGAAAGCAGAGTCTTAGAGCAGGGTCTTCACTACACACTCTTGTCAATGTTGGGTGTTTTCAGACTCCAAGCATAGGCTTTTGGGGAGATTTTTTGTAACTTATCAGAATTGCTTGATGTGCTCAGAAACACCCTCTAGAAAATGGAGCTAACGCCGAGGACATCTCCCAGTCCCCTGCTTCTGTGCTGATGCCAGCATACCCAGGGACCTGTGGCACTAGCATATCTCCATAACTCGGGCAGACTCTGATTCCGGCTCTTCCAGAAGGAATCTTCCCTGTAGCCTTCCTCTTCTAGCTGCGAGATAAAGCTTTTTTTTTTTTTTTTTTCCTGCTCTGGATCATAAGTAGGAGGGGTTAGCGTAGGTCATCATCACCGTTTGGTTGCAAAGAACGGAAACTTATCTAACACTGTTTATGTGGAGAAGGACCGATTGCAAAGACACAAAGGACCCTCCTGTAACTTAGGGGCGGAGAGCAGAGCCAGGGCTCTCAGCAGATGGAAAGCCAGGATTCCTGGGTGGCCAGTCACCCCCACGTCCATGTAGTCTCCATTGTACATCTGCCTCCTCCTTCTGCTCAATCATCCGTGTGCATGGAGCCCCTCAGGAACTGCTCACGGTGGCGGCCTGAGCCCTGAACGCGTGTGAGCCTATTGAGTTCTAGCTCCCAGAGTTGTCTTCATTTCCAAAGCCACCCCTTCAGGAGAAACCTAATTCCAAGCTTCAGAGGAAACATAATTTGTCCTGGCTTGGGATCAGTGCTCATTTTCTGGTTTGGTTAACTGAGGCCAGGGAATGGGCTCATTTGATGCTTTTCCAGACTAAAGGTCAGGCTGCTTCTCTAAAAGGCGCCAAGAGCTGGGAGGAAATGATGCACATTAGAAGCCATGCTTTCCCCTGGCATAGTCCAGGGTGAACCTGCTACACCAGCAGGAGCAAGGTCCCGTTTGCATAAGTGTGATTGGCATGCGATTTCTGTAAACACACAGAAGGGCACCTCCCAGTAAGAAGGTGAAGGCGCATTACTTATTGAGCTCCTGCTCTGTGCACTGGGCCCATTGCAGGTTTTCTCTTGTTTAATCCACACAACAATACCCTGTAGAGATTTTTTTGTTTGTTTGTTTGTTTGAGACGGAGTCTCGCTCTGTCACCCAGGCTGGAGTGCAGTGGTGCGATCTTGGCTCACTGCAGCCTCCGCCTCTCAGGTTCAAGCGATTCTCCTGCCTTAGCCTCCTCAATAGCTGGGGTTACAGGTGCACACCACCACGCCCAGCTAATTTTTGTATCTTTAGTAGAGACGGGGTGTCACCATGTTGGTCAGGCTGGTCTCAAACTCCTGACCTTGTGATCCGCCCACTTCAGCCTCCCAAAGTGCTGGGGTTACAGGTGTGAGCCACCGCACCCAGCCCCTTGTAGAGATTTAACAGGAATCTAGAGTGCTCCATTGACTTATGCAATTATAGTCTTCGGTGGCAGCACCAGCGTTTAACTACACATTTCATGCTTGTGCCACCACTGAAGGTGAATGAAGAGGCTCATCCACTGCTGCCTCACCACATGGGTACCAAGTGGCTTTCCATGGAATCAGAAACCTGGATGTGAAGGTCGAAGTCAAGTTAGAAGTCATAACCAGCCGATGAGGGTCCGAGACTACAGTCCACCCTTTGGCTCCAAAGAATTCCACCTAATAGCTTCCTGGTGGCCCCAGTGGAGTTTCAATGGACCTCCTGCGTGAGGTGTCTCTTTTGCCCAGGGAAGCACCTTAACGGTGTTTCTGGCCTTTGGCAGTGGGGGCATTTGCCAGTTCCTCCATGAAGCCTTTTCTAAAGCGTGCAGTAAAGCAAAAGGGCTAAAATCAAGGGCTTTGAAGGCAGGCAGATGCTGAGTTCTATTCTGTGACTCAGGGCAGGTCACCTAATCTCCGTGTGCCTCAGTCGTTCAGTGGAGATGGTTCTGCCTCCTTCAGTGGATTGTGGCAGTGCATACACGAGATGTGCGTGGAAAGTGCTTTGCATCTTGTGCTTGAGACAGGAAATTGCTAAATAAATGGTTGCAATAACAATACTAATTTTTGTATTATTCTTATATTCACTCTTAGTTGCTCGGATGACAGAGGCATGTCTGCTATTTTCCCATCTGCTACAGCACCAGCAAAATGCCTTAAACATCTTTATCTCCATGTGTACCCAATGTTTAGCTCCAAATTACAAGTGAGAACATGCGGTCTTTGGTTTTCTGTTCCTGAGTTAATTTGCTTAGGATAGTGGTCTCCAGCTGCATCCGGGATCTAGAGTACATCCAGCCATAGCAAAGGGCATGATTTGGTAGATGCTGAGCAAATATTTACTCAATGAATTTATTATGTAAGGGTGACTATAAAGTCTGGAAACAGAGGCAAAAAGATATAATAAATTATCTATTGATACTATACTACAATGCACAATGTAATACAATACAATACTTAATATTTATCAGTGTGATTTTTCTAATTTACAATGCATGGTCCCATGCATCATACAACATTGCAATGAACGTGGTAGAATAATGCAGCATTCCTGTCAACCACTGCACATATATGCATGTGTGGTATTGTCTCACATGATTTATCAATTGATTGATTGATTGATTGATTTTTGAGATGGAGCCTCACTCTGTTGCCCAGGCTGGAGTGCAGTGGTGCGATCTCAGCTCACTGTAACCTCTACCTCCCAGGTTCAAGTGATTCTCCTGCCTCAGCCTCCCGAGTAGCTGAGACTAAAGGCACGCACTACAATGCCTGGCTAATTTTTTTATCTTTAGTAGAGACGGGGTTTCACCATGTTGGCCAGGATGGTCTCGATCTCCTGACCTTGTGATCCCCCTGCCTCGGCCTCCCAAAGTTCTGGGATTACAGGCGTGAGTCATCGTGCCCGGCTCTAACATGATTTTTTAAGAATTTTGGATACAAGAGGTACACGTGCAGATTTGTTACATGGGTATATTGAGTGATGCTGAAGTTTGGGCATCTGTTGATCCCATCACCTAAATTGTGAACAGAGTACCCAATAGGTAGTTTTTCAACTCTCCCCTCTCCCTCCCTACCTGCTTTTGGAGTTCCGAAGTGACTATTGTTACCATCTTTATGCCTGTGTGTACCCAATGTTTAACTCTCACTTACAAGTGAGAGCGAATGGTATTTGATTTTCTGTTCCTGCATTAATTTGTTTGTTAGCTCGGCCAGAAGATGCATTGCATTTTCAAAGGAGCTGTTGGGTTGATGCTGATGCAGTTGGTCCCTGGACTGAACTCTGGGGAACAACTTTTCCACACTAGTCTTGAATGGCTGTGTCCATGCTGCAGCAAAGGGCATGATATCGTTCCTTTTTATGGCTGCATAGTATTCCATGGTGTATATGCACCACATTTTTTTTTAATCCAGTCTACAATTGATGAGCACATGGGTTGATTTCATGATTTTGCTATTGTGAATATTGCTGCAATGAACGTAGGAATACAGGTGTCTTTTTGGTAGAACTATTTATTTTCCTTTGGGTAGATACCCATTAATGGGATTGTTTGGTTGAATGGTAGTTCTATTTTTAGTTCTTTGAGAAATTTCCAAACTGCTTTCCACAGGGTCTAAACTATTTTACACTGCCACCAATGGTGTGTAAGTGTTTTCTTTTCTCCACACCTTGCCAACATCTGGTGGGTTTTGTTTTTTTGGTTGTTTTTTTTTTTTAACTTTTTAATAATAATTGTTCTGACAGGTGGCCTCACATGGTTCTTGTCTCTAATTTTCAATAGGTCAACTTGTGCCTTTAGCCTTCCCCAGAAGAAACAACCAAGGGGATGAATTTATACAAAAATAAAATAATCCTTTGTCCCGACTTCATGGTTACTCTACACGTGCTCTCTTTGTCTCTCCTGCTGAGACCTCCTCTCTGCGGGCTGAGGTCATGCCCTTGCCATTTATGATGGATACCTTTAGGCACTAGGATGTGTTTCCTCCCTGAGTCTTCTCCCTTCTCTAAAGACCCCACCCTGGTCCACTTTCTTCCAGCATAACGTGGAAATTGGAGCCCTTGCTTGCAATCTTCCTCTCTCCAGTTTCCCATTGCACTCCTAACTTGCTCATTCTCTTTTTCCTGGGGTGGGGAGTGGTGCATCTTGCTTCTCACCTCCAAGCTTCTTTGAGACTGCACAAGGACCCCCCATCCCATCACTCAGCTGTCAACAGAGTGCAGCAGGGACCGCTTCCTATGTGTGCAGACGCCATGGGATACGGGAGACCAGCCCTTACCCCATCTATGAGGGAGTCACATTATCCCTAGATGCTTTTGAAGCTAAAAGACAGCCTCACAGGCTGGGCATGGTGTTTCATGCCTGTAATCCCAGCACTTTGGGACGCTGAGGTGGGCAGATCACCTGAGGTCAGGAGTTCGAGACCAGCCTGACCAACATGGAGAAACCCCGGCTCTACTAAAAATACAAAATTAGCTGTGCATGGTGGCGCATCCTGTAATCCCAGCTACTCAGGGGGTTGAGGCAGGAGAATTGCTTGAACCTGGGAGGTGGAGGTTGCGGTGAGCCAAGATTGTATCATTGCACTCCAGCCTGGGCAAGAAGAGCAAAACTCCGACTCAAAACAAAAACAAAAACAAAAAACAGCCTTACAGAGTAACAGAGAGAGGAGGTGTGGGAATTGAGGGAAGTGACTTGATTTGCTAGGCTGGAACCAGTACATGCTAGGCTGGAACCCAGTACATGCTAGGCTGGAACCCAGTACATGCTAGGCTGGAACCCAGTACATGCTAGGCTGGAACCCAGTACATGCTAGGCTGGAACCAGTACATGCTAGACCGGAACCAGTACATACTAGGACGGTGCCTATGGAAGGGCTTCTGGCACTGACACCTCAATGAGCTTCCCTTCTTTCTCCCTCCCTCAGGACCCCAGCCATGATAGGCTGCTCGTTCGTGGTCAACAGGAAGTTCTTCGGTGAAATTGGTCTTCTGGATCCTGGCATGGATGTATACGGAGGAGAAAATATTGAACTGGGAATCAAGGTTTGTGACATGGTGTCCCTTCCTCTTGGTGTGCCCATGTTTGTGAGCAGAGCGTCTTGGTCATCCGTGGGGTGTATTTAAAGCTCCTTACAGCTGATGAATGACAGATTCATTTACTCCACCTTGTTCCTGGGGGATGCATGAGCTGCACTGTCACCCCTCCTTATGTAGGGAAACCTGGGCTTTCCCCTGTCTAAAAGTTGGCTGATAGGTTTCATGCCATTGCTACCCACTCTGGGCATTAGCTGGAGAGGGTGGTTCCCACTCCCATTCAGTTTTGGTCTCTCCTTAAATTTTTCTTAAATGATCTCCTTAAATTAATATTTTCAGGCCAGGCACAGTGGCTTATGCCTGTAATCCCAACACTTTGGGAGGCCACGGTGGTGCGATCACTTAAGACCAGGCATTCAAGACAAGCCTGGGCAACAGAGCAAGACCCTGTCTCTACAAAAAATAAAAAATTAGCCAAGCGTGATGGTGCATGTCTGTGTCCCAGCTCCTCTGGAGACTGAGGTAGGAGGATGGCTTGAGCCCAGGAGTTCGAGGCTGCAGTGAGCTATGATGGCATCACTGCACTCTAGCCTGGGCAACAGAGCAAGAGAGACCCTGTCTCTCTCACAAAGGCATTTGTGGTTTAGTTTTTACATCCGCAGATTTATTTTTAACAGTTTTATTGAGATGTTATTGACATATACAGATTTTGGTGGCTCACACCTGTAATCCCAGTGACTTGGGAAGCCGAGTCAGGAGGATCACATGAGCCCAGGAATTCAAAACCAGGCTGGGCAAAGTAGGAAGACGCTGTCTCTATGAAAAATAAAAAAAAAAAAAGCTCATATATATAATCCCAGGGACTTCGGAAACCAAATCAGGGGGGTCACTTGAGCCCAGGAGTTCAAAACCAGCCTGGGTGACATAACAAAACCACCATCTCCACAAAAGATAAAAAATTAGCCAGGTGTGATTGTGTGAACCTGTAGTCCCAGCTACTCAGGAGGCTGAAGCAAGAAGATCGCTTGAGCCCAGGAGTTCAAGGCTTCAGTGAGCCATGATTATGCCATTACACTCCAGCCCAGGCAACAGAGCAAGACCCTGTCTCATTAAAAAAAAAAAAAAAAAAAAAAAAAACTACATGTTTAAGGTGTACAGGTGATGTTTGGATATACATATACATTGTGAAATGAGCACCACAATCAAACTGAGTGACACATCCATTACCTCCATCTAATTACCACTGTGTGTGGAGGCTGGTGAGAAGATTTAATTTAAGATCTATCCTCTTAGCAAATTAAAAGTCTACAATACCATATCATTAACTGTGGCCACCATGCTGTACATTAGATCTCCAGAAATGATTCATTTTGCTTTGCAGTGACGTGGCAGGAAAAGTCTGAGTGTGAGGCTCTGCAGGCTTGGTGGTGATGGTGGTAACTGCTTAGCAGGCAAGACTGTGTGGCTGTCCCCAATCCCTAAAGCAAGGAGGGGACTCCTGGGTCCTTCCCCAGCAGCACAGTCCTGTCCACCAACACCCCTGTACGACCAGATTGTGGGATCATGTAGATTCTCCCTTCACTCCCTATTTTTTGTTTTTTTATTTATTTATTTTATTTTATTTTATTTTATTTGAGATGAAGTCTTGCTTTGTTGCCCAGGCTGGGTGCAGTGGTGTGATCTTGGCTCACCGCAACCTCCATCTCCCAGGTTCAAACGATTCTCCGGCCTCAGCTTCTCAAGTAGCTGGGATTACAGGCACGTGCCACTGCACCTGGCTAATTTTTTATATTTTTAGTAGAGATGGGATTTCACCATGTTGACCACACTGGTCTTGAACTCCTGACCTTAGCTGATCTTCCCGCCTCGGCCTCCCAAAGTGCTGGGATTACAGACATGAGCTCCCATGCCTGGCCTTTAATTAATTAATTAATTTATTTATTTATTTATTTTTTGAGAAGTAGTCTTGCTCTGTCGCCCAGGCTGGAGTGCAGTGGCGCGATCTCGGCTCACTGCAAGCTCCACCTCCTGGGTTCACGCCATTCTCCCACCTCAGCCTCCCAAGTAGCTGGGACTACAGGCGCCTGCCACCTTGCCCGGCTAATTTTGTTTTTGTCTTTTTAGTAGAAATGGGATTTCACTGTGGTAGCCAGGATGGTCTCAATCTCCTGACCTTGTGATCTGCCCACCTCAGCCTCCCAAAGTGCTGGGATTACAGGCGTGAGCCACCACACCTGGCCTATTTTATTTTTTATTTTTTTCTTTTAACTTTCATTTTAGGTTCAGGGGTTCATGTGCAGGTTTGTTATATAGGTGAATTGTGTATTACCTGTATTGATAATTGACACCTCAATGAGCACAGATTGGTGCACAGATTATTACCCAGGTAGTAAGCATAGTACCTGATAGGTAGTTTTGATCCTCACCCTCCTCCCACCCTCTGCCCTCAAGTAGGCCCCAGTGTCTGTGGTTCCCTTCTTTGTGATGATATGTGCTCAATGTTCAGTTCCCACTTATACATGAAAACATGCAGTATTTGGTTGGATGTTCCTGCATTAATTCGATTAGGATAATGGCCTCCAGCTCCATCCGTGATCTCCTTCTTCTTACAGCTGTGCAGTATTCCATTGCGTACATGTACAACACTCTCTTTACCTGTTCTGCCATTGATGGGTATTTAAGTTGATTCCATGTCTTTGCTATTGTGAATAGTGCTGCAATGAACATACGTGTGCATGTGTCTTTATGGTAGAATGATTTGTATTCTTTTGGGTCTATACCCAGTAGTAAATGAGATACTGGGTCAAATGGTAATTCTATTTTAAGTTCTTTCAGCCGTTGTGGAAGGCAGTTTGGGGATTCCTCACTCCTTGTTGATGGGCTGGAATGAATGGTCCCTGCAGAGCCCAGTCTGCCCCCAGGCAATTTCTCCCTGGCTTTGTCTCCATGACAATTCAGCTCCCCCACTGCTCAGGGTAGGTCTTTATTAAAGTGTCACTTGCATCAGGGTCATAGATGTCACTCCAGAGTGCAATTACCTGCCTCTTACAGTACTTCAAGGCATCTCCAGCTTCTGGAGATGGGGGAATAATTTTGCCTCTTAACTTTCCATAGACCACATCATCCTGCAGGCTGCAAGGTGATCTTGACATAAGCCTTGGTTTTCTGCCAGTTCTTAAAGTGGGATTGAGTGCTGCTGGTTGCAGAAAGGCAAAGGTCTGGGTTTGGAGTCTACACAGAATTCTCTGGTTCTCATGTTTCCAGTCAGAAGCATTCACCTCACCTGGGAACTTGTTAGAAGTGAAAATTCTTGGGCCCCATCCCAGACCTACTGAATCAGAAACTCTGGAGTGGCAGGGAGTCCAGCTCCCTGTGTTTACCAAGCCCTCCTACCCCACCAGGTAACTTAGTTATGGGCCCTTGTTGGAGAGCTACTGGTCTACCCCTAGGTTTAGCCGACTTCCTGGCAAATGCATGTCCTTTAGCAGAAAGGAGCCCAGGTGAGAATCCACCTCTTTCTAGTCCCTTCTCCAGGTGCCCTTCCATGGCCACACTGGCCCAAAGTGAGTCCTTTCTTCTCACTCCAGCCTACACAGCCAGAGTCCTGTAGGCACCAACATCTACTACCTTTTTAACTTCATGTACGGGTGTCTCGACCAGGTGACTACAGGGTTCCTGATGACAGAGCTCCGTTTTTCAAATGAAATAATATACACAAGGCACTTCTGAGACAATACTACTTCTCCTTTCATTTTGTGCTATTTTGTACTACTTAGGGCTTGAATGAATTGCATAATAAATGCATTCTTAAGAAATCCATCCCCACCGCCTGAATAAAGAAGCAGGGCTTTATGTAAATATATATACATGCATATATATAATTTTCATGTAGTGTACACACATACATTTACATATACAAGCTTACCTGTAAGTAATGACCCAAAACCCTATGCTTTCATTCAATGGAAAATTTTTAACATGAGAACACTATTTTCTTGATTTTTTTTTTTTTTTGAGACAGAGTCTCGCTCTGTCGCTGAGGCTGGAATGCAGTGACGCGATCTTGGCTCACTGCAGGCTCCGCCCTCGAGTTCACGCCATTCTCCTGCCTCAGCCTCCCGAGTAGCTGGGACTACAGGTGCCTGCCACCTCACCCGGCTAAGTTTTTGTACTTTTAGTAGAGACAGGGTTTCACCGTGTTAGCCAGGATGGTCTCGATCTCCTGACCTCGTGATCCGCCCGCCTCGGCCTCCCAAAATGCTGGGATGACAGGAGTGAGCCACCGTGCCCGGCCATTTTTTTTTTAAACCAAGAAATGGCTCAATCTGTGATCTTTCTAACTAGTCTTTGAAATTTTGTGTTACTTTTTAATTCCATCCTCAGTAAGTAAAGATCTGTCAGAAGAACACAAGAATAGAAAGTCTTACTGTGAACAAAAATAGCAGTTGACTCTAGGGCTCTTGCCTGCATGAAAGGCAACTTGCCTGTGACTAAAACAATCAATACAGAAAAGAAGTTTTTAAAAAAGCCAGAATTGAGAAAATAAATGAGATGGAAATTGAAAGGTTTCATCTTGTTCTGAGTAATAGTAATCAGAAACTATTAACAAAGGGTATTATAGTAGCATGTCTAAATGTTAAGAGAAAAAAAAATTCTCCAAGGACAGAAGAAAAGATAGGTTACTTTAAAATGATGTAAAGTCATTCTCTAATATATCAGTCCATTTACGAAGAAAAGGCATTCTCTTCTTCTGTTCTCTTATATAAAAACATGGCACCCAAGACTGCTGCGTCCTGCTGGGGAGTCCTTTCTAAAGGAAGACAAGGGAGACACACTTTCAGATCCCCAAATGACCAAAGACTGTCTTGACTTTATCACGAATCCCAAGGACTGAATAAAAGGCAGAATTCTTGTGTGGATGCATTGAATTGTGAAAACACTTGTGAGAATGATTTATTTATTTTGGGTGTATATCCAGTAATGGGATTGCTGAATTGAATGGTAGTTCTGTTTTAAGTTTTTTGAGAAATCTCTGAACTGCTTTCCACAGTGGCTGAAGCAATTTACATTCCCACCAGCAGTGTACAAGTGTTCCTGTTCTCTGCAGCCTTGCCAGCATCTGTTGTTTTTTAACTTTGTGTGTGTGTGTGTGTGTGTGTGTGTGTGTGTGTGTTTTGTTTGTTTGTTTGTTTTTTGAGACAGAGTCTTGCTCTGTTGCCCAGGCTGGAGTGCAATGGCACGATCTCAGCTCACTGCAACCTCCGCCTCCCAGGTTCAAGTGATTCTTCTGCCTTAGCCTCCAGAGTAGCTGGGACTACAGGCACACACCATACTTGGCTAAGTTTTGTATTTTTAGTAGAGACAGGGTTTCCCCATGTTGCCCAGGATGGTCTCAAACTTCTGACCTCAAGTGATCTGCCCGCTTCGGTCTCCCAAAGTACTAGGACTACAGGCACGAGCCACGCTCCTGGCCTTGAATTTTTAATAATAGCCATTCTACCAAAAAGACATCTGCATTCATATGTTCATCACAGTGCTATTCGCAATGGCAAAGACATAGAATCAACCAGGTGCCTGTCAACAGTGGATGGGATAAAGAAAATGTGGTACGTAGACACCACAGAATACCATGCAACCCTAAAAAAGATTGAAATCATGTCCGTTGCAGCAACATGGATACAGTGAAAGGCCATTATCCTAAGTGAATTAACACAAGAACAGAAAACCGAATACCACATGTTCTCACTTATACGTGGGAACTAAACATTGGGTACCCATGGACATAAAGATGGGAATGACAGACACCAGGGACTACTAGAGTGGGGAGACAGACAGCAGCCAAGGGTTGAAAAACTACCTATTGGGTACTATGTTCACTACCTGGGTGATGGCATCGGTTGTTCCTCCAAAGCTCAGCATCACACACAACACCCATGTGAGAAACTTGCCTATGTATCCCCTGAAACTAAAACAAAAGTTGAAGTTTAAAAAATTAATACAAGAAATGAGCTCTCCATTCCCAGACACACACAAACACACGCACACACACGCAAAATTTTGACACCAGTAAGCCATCATGGAGGAAAGGATATAAGAGGGTTTGAGGATGCTCAAGTGAGATAACCTTCTTGCCGATTCCAGCCCAGCCCTCAGGGCCTTTCCATGGTTCAGCCCCTGCAGGGGTCTTCTTGTTGGGTTCCCTGTTGCTCCATAACAGTCACCAGGAAGCGATTCAGACTCTGAGTCCGTGTTGGCTTAGATGAGTCATGATGAGTGATGGGCAAAGAACAAGCGTATTTTAATTTGCACTCAGGGTAAACATAACATTCTTAAAAAGCAGAGTTTAACCCAGATGCCTTAATTGCTGGTTGCATAGCTCAAGATGTCTCTGAGCCATTCCATTTCTCTGAGGAGTTGGAGTGCCACTTTCAGGACTCAGGTGGAGACATGGTTAGAACTCCTGCCATCTTGTCTAGCTCTGTCCATTCAAGCTGAAGGCACTGAAGACCTGGGGGGTGGTTCGCAGACTCAGGGTTTCATAGTGTCTGAGCCAACTGAGATCACATCAGCAGTGGGTTTTGAAGGCTTGCTCCTTCGGAGGGGTTGTTTACATTTATTTATTTATTTATTTATTTATTTATTTATTTATTTATTTATTTTGAGATGGAGTTTCACTCTTGTTGCCCAGGCTGGAGTGCAGTGGCGCAGTCTCGGCTCACTGCAACCTCTGCCTCCTGGGTTCCAGCGATTCTCCTGCCTCAGCCTCCCAGCTAGCTGGGATTACAGGCACCCACCACCACGCCTGGCTAATTTTTTGCGTTTAATAGAGATGGGGTTTCACCATGTTGGTCAGGCTGGTCTGGAACTCCTGACCTCAGGTGATCCACCCACCTCGGCCTCCCAAAGTGCTGGGATTACAGGCATGAGCCATCACACCCGGCCTACAATTTTTATATATATAGACAAATTCTCACTGTCATCTAAGCTGGAGTGCAGTTACAAAAATTATAGCTCACTGCAGCCTCCAACTCCTAGAATCAGGTGATCCTCCTGTCTCAGCCTCCCAAGTAGGTGGGACTGCAGGTGCACACCACTACAACCAGCTAATTGTTGTTTTTTGGTTCTTTTGTAGAGATGGGGGTCTCACTATGTTGCCCAGGCTGATGTCAAACTCCTGACCTCAAGGGACTGTTCCATCTCAGCCTCTCAACATGCTGGGACCACAGCCGTGAGCCACTGTGCCTGGCCTTATATAGAAATTATGAGCCATCTGGAATAGCCAAAGCCCCAGGAACCTGAATGAAAACAGCATTTCCCACTCCCACAGGTCTCTTTGCCCTGTCTCTTGTTCTTAGTTTTGCTTCCCTCTTGTCTACAGCTAGCTCTTGCAAGGCCTTCTGCCTGCCCTCCTGATCCCCGCCCTAGCCACTTCTCTATGGTTTTAGGGACCCATCCATCCATGTTAACCAAGAGAGATTTCCCCCTGCCTTCTCTGAGACCTCTGGCATCAGGAACCCTGATGTCCCAAAGCCTTCTGTGGCCTGTGTTGTCCATTTGGAACTCTCGAGCTCAAATTTGCTACATCCATTGAATAATGTAATTTGCATCATGGTCCATCCCAGAGAGGACCAGATGATCAGTCCGTTTTCATTTTCATACTTTTTAGATTGCATGAGTCTTTGTTCTCTCACCTATTGGCACTGGTCAAGGTTGGATCCAAGGCCTGGTGTGAAGGAAGTCATCCTTGGCTATGTGAATACCTTTGTAGGGCAGAGCCCAAGTTTATCTGTGATACAGATCAAAGCAAAGTTCCTGGTCTTGTCCCAGTATAGAGTGAGCCTTGAGATTTCACAAACTGGTCTTTCATGGAGGGGAATGTATGACTGGTGGCCAACAGTTCAACTGAATACTTCTGATTAAATGGAAACTTGGTGAGTGCCTTCTGTAGCCCAGCAGGCATTTCCACTGGAGCTACCACAGTCAATACATGGGGTCTCTATCTCCATGAAATTTATAGTCAGACAGAAATACTGTTCATGAAATAAATAATTAGCACTGTGATGAGTGTGAAAAAACAAGATAGAGCAATGCTGTGGGAAAATATAGTAAGGAAATATAGCCTAGTCTAGGGAGTTGGGAGGAACCTTCTTACGGAAATGCTGTTTAAGAATTCTAAAGTGAGTTTAATATAGATAAGCAAAGAAGGAGGTGTGCAAGGAAGAATATTCTAGACAGAAAAACATCTGCAAAGATTTGGAATTCTGAGAGATAAATGTGTCCTGAGGACCTTGGGAGTTCAGGATGGTTAGAGCAGAGAAAGGGGGAAGAAAACCTCTTAGATGCAGCGACAACCATCAAGGTGGGGCCCAGATTATGAGGATTGATAAGCAGAAAGTTGGCTTTTTCTTAAGGATCACTGTAGACATTTTAGATAGGTAGGTTAGGTAGACAAATAGATAGGTAGGTAGGAAGAAAGAGAGAGAGAGGGAGAGACAGAGACATGATAGATACATAGATTAGAGAGAGAAAGATGCATGGATGATGGATGGATGGATGGATAGATAGAGGGATGATAGAGATAGATGATAGATTAATGATAGAGATAGTAGGTAATAGAGATATAGACGATAGAGATGATGGATGGATAGATAGAGATGATGGATAGAATGATAGATTAGATAGATGAAATATATAGGTATGGATAGATTGATAGATTATAGATTAGATTGATAATAGAGATAACAGATAGATGGATAGATGATATAGATAGATGAGATATAGGTTAGATAGAGATGATGGATTCGATAGATGATTGATGGATAGATAGAGATGATAGACTGATTATATAGACAGATAAATAGATGATAGTTTGATAGATTAGATAGATGATAGATAAGATACATGGATGATAGATGTAGATGATAGATGGATACAAAGAAGATAGATATAGATGATAGATTAGACAGATGATATATAAATAGATGATAGATAAATTGATAGATGGATGATAGATAGATAGATAGATAGATAGATAGATAGATAGATAGATAGATGAGACATAGATAGTCTCAAGTACCCATTACTTACCACCCTTGAGGGGATTTAAAAGAAGTAAGAGGATTAGACTTTTCTTTTTACTAAAAAGATAATGATGACAGCCATGTGGAAAATAGATGATAAAGCTGCGTACACTCAGGAAAAGCTGGTGAGGAGGGGCTTGACCTATATGGTTGTGACAGTGGGAGAGGAATGGACAAATTCAGGAAGTGGAAGAGACAAGGCCTGGAGATTGAGTGTATGCAGGGGATGAAGAGAAGTGGGAGTCCAGGCTGAGCAGGTGGGAAATAGTGTTGCTGTTCTCTAAGGAGCACTGTTGGAGGAGGTTTGGGAGAAGGTGGAAAGATTATATGATAAATCTCATGTTTCTGAGACACCCCAGGCCAGCCCAG
The DNA here is from genome assembly GCF_000001405.40 of Homo sapiens. Classification (NCBI taxonomy): domain Eukaryota; kingdom Metazoa; phylum Chordata; class Mammalia; order Primates; family Hominidae; genus Homo; species Homo sapiens. The sequence continues at coordinate 71,580,843 of NC_000007.14, forward strand.
AGGCATTTGCATGTGTGGGGATTAAGCCAAGGAGGGAGCACTAAGCCTGAGATAGACTTGGATGTACCGGTGCCCTTTAGGAGGTGTGATAGACAGAGAGTGGTTGTATTAATCTGTTCTTACACTGCTATAAAGACATACCTGAGACTGGGTAATTTATAAACAAAAGACAGTTAATTGATTCACAGTTGTGCATGGCTGGGGAGGCCTCAGGAAACGTACAATCATGGTGGAAGGGGAAGGAGAATCAAGGCATGTTTTAGCTGGTGGCAGGAGAGAGACCAAGCAAGGGAGGAAGGGCTAAACACTTTTATGTTTTGTTTTGTTTTGATTGAGACATAGTCTCTCGCCCTGTCACCCAGGCTGGAGTACAGTGGCTCAATCTCAGCTCACTATAACCTCCATCTCCTGGGCTCAAGTGATTCTCATGCCTCAGCCTCCCAAGTAGCTGGGATTACAGATGTGCACTACCATGCTCGGCTAATTTTTGTATTTTTAGTAGAGATGAGGTTTCACCATGATGGCCAGGCTGGTCTTGAACTCCTGGCCTCATGTGATCCACCCGCCTTGGCCTCCCAAAGTGCTAGGATTACAGCTGTGAGCCACTGCGCCCGGCCACGTTTAAAGCATCAGATCTCGTGAGAACTCACTCACTATCATAAGAACAGCATGGGGGAAACCAACCCCCATGATCCAATCACCTCTTACCAGGTCCCTCCTTCAACGCGTGGGGATTACAATTTGGATTACAATTCACGATGGGATTTGGGTGGGGAGACAGAGGCAAATTATATCAGTGGTGGTCCACTGAATGAGAGGAGTGAATGAGAAGGGATTATTAAGGGTATCTCCCAGGCTTCCCAGCAACTGACTGCAATCCCCTAAATAGAGGACTCTGGTAGGGTAGGTTTGTCAGTGGGGACATGAGTAGTTCCATTTTAGAAATGCTGAGTTTGAGGAGTAGCAGTTCTCTCTAACCTGACAGTGAGATGTCAAGGGAACACAAGGCTGGGAAGGGACTCTGGCCAAGAGTGGGATTTGGCAGAGGGGTGCCAGGACAAGAGTTGGCTATTCTCCATTCCACCCTGGAGTCTGCAAGGCCACAGTGCTTAGGGTGTGGGCTGACTTAGAGGAGCGAGGACATAGGGATTCCTGCTATGGTTTGAGCGTGTGAGTTACAGCAGGTAGTGGCCATATGTGTTATACCTGGTGGGAATGTAAACTAGAACAATCACTATGAAAAACAGTATGGAGATTCCTTAAATAACTAAAAGTAGAACTACGATTTGATCCAGCAGTCCCACTACTGTTATCTACCCAGAGGAAAAGAAGTCATTTTACAAAAAAGATACTTGCACACACATGTTTGTAGCAGCACAATTCGTAATTGCAAAAATGTGGAACCAACCCAAATGCCCATCAATCAAAGAGTGGATGGAGAATCTGTGGTGGCCGGGTGCAGTGCCTCACACCTGTAATCGCAGCACTTTGGGAGGTCAAGACGGGCAGATCACGAGATCAGGAGATGGAGATCATCCTGGCCAACATGGTGAAACACTGTCTCTATTAAAAATACAAAAAAAAAAAAAAATAGCTGGGCATGGTGACATGCGCCTTAGACCCAGCTACTCGGGAGGCTGAGGAAGGGGAATCTCTTGAACCTGGGAGGCGGAGGTTGCAGTGAGCTGAGATCGTGCCACTGCACTCCAGCCTGGTGACAGAGCAAGACTCCGTCTCAAAAAAAGAAAAAAAAGAATCTGTGGTATATATATACAATGGAATACTACTCGGCCATAAAAAGGAATGAATTAATGGCATTTGCAGCAACATGAATGAGATTGGAGACTATTATTCTAAGTGAAGTAACTCAGGAATGGAAAACCAAAGATCGTGTGTTCTTGCTCATAAGTGGGAGCTAAGCTATGAGGATGCAAAGGAATAAGAGTAACACAATGGACTTCGGTGACTCAGGGGAAAGGGTGGGAAGGGGGTGAGGGAAAAAAGACTACAAATAGGGTGCAGGGTATAGTGCTTGGGTGATGGGTGCATCAAAATCTCACAAATCGCCACTAAAGAACTTACTCAGGTAACCAAACACCCCCGTTCCCCAATAACCTATGGAAATAAAAAATAAAACAAATTGGGAAAGTAGGATTTTAAAAAATTGAAGCCTATCATCTTTTTTTCCCCTCCCGAAATAATTTTGGGGAAAATTAGTTTTTCAAAATGTTTACAACTTTCACATCTCTGCTCCATACTCCAATTTCAGGCCAGTATGTGGGTTTCTGAATTTCTCAACTGGAGTGCAGTAGCAGGATCGCGACTCACTGCAACCTCCGCCTCCCAGGTTCAAGCGATTCTCCTGCCTCAGCCTCCTGAGTAGCTGGGACCACAGGGGCACACCACCACGCCCGGCTAATTTTTTGTATTTTTAGTAGAGATGGGATTTCACCGTGTTAGCCAGGATGGTCTCGATCTCCTGACCTCATGATCCGCCCACCTCGGCCTCCCGAAGTGCTAGGATTACAGGCCTGAGCCACCACATCTGGCCACCTGTTTGCCTCTATGTCACCTGCCAGGAAGAGATAGTCAGGCCCCCGTAGCCCCTCCCTAGAGCTGCAGATGATGAGCTGCTCACCTGTAAGTTTGTCTCTGCAGTGGCACCTTTTTCTTCCAGCTTTCACTGTTACACAACGTACTCAGCCTCAGTGCAGAACGAAGTTTTATTGGACATGGAAAAAGGGGAAAAATTAAACAGATTCCCTGGCATTAGATAGCAGGGCCATTTTGCTATCTTTATTAAAATGTATTGCCATCCTCTTAAAGAAGAGTAACAGGCTGATCTATGTAGAAAGCTATAACATGCACATGCATGAACACACATGCACACACACACACACACACACACACACACACACCACACACCAAACAGCCCTTCCTCAAGAGACCTTCCAAACGATGTCCAGGACCGTGAAGTCAGTTGTAGACTAAGGTCCTCCTGGCTGGGCGCGGTGGCTCACGCCTGTAATCCCAGCACTTTGGGAGGCTGAGGCAGGTGGATCACGAGGTCAGGAGATGGAGACTATCCTGGCTAACATGGTGAAACCCCGTCTCTACTGAAAAAAAAAAAATACAAAAAATTAGCCGGGCGTGGTGGCACGCGCCTATAATCCCAGCTGCTCGGGAGGCTGAGGCAGGAGAATCACTTGAACCTGGGAGGCAGAAGTTGCAGTGAGCCAAGGTTGCGCCACTGCACTCCAGCCTGGGAGACAGAGCCAGACTGGGTCTCAAAACAAACAAACAAAAAAGGGCCTCCTTCTTAGAGTTTCTTAAATTCTGTAATGCTAAATTTTATACAGTCTGGAAATTTTCCCCCGAGTGGATGAGAGGTTTAGATTATTTTGTCTCACTGTTTTTTTCCCTTCAAAACAAACTGGAAAATGAAGAATTCAGTCATTACATTTTATGCTAATTTCTTTTATTTTAATTCAACATTTTTGATGGAAAACTTGAAACATACACGAAGATAGCACAGCATAATGAATCCAAATGTACTGATCATTCAGCTTTAACAAATATTAACATTTTGCTGTTTTTTTCAGTTACTGCTCATTGACTTTTTAAAAACAAATCCCCAGACATCGTCTCATTCCATCTATAAATACTTTACAGTGCATTGCCAACATATAAAGACTCTTTAAAAACATAGTCTCGACATAAAATTACACTTAGGAAAATCCATTACCCAGTCCATGTTTTCTCAAAAATATTTCTCAAAACTCAGTTATATTTTCTCAAAAAAATTTGTTTGATAGTCAGCTTACTCAAATAAGAATCCCAGCAAGGTCTACACACTGCATTTGGCTGATGTGTCTCTAAAGTATCTTTCAATCTGCAACATTTCTTCTCACCTTTATTTATTTATTTATTTAATTTATTTATTTTGAGACAGAGTCTCGCGAAGTGCAGTGGCGCGATCTCCACTCACTGCAAGCTCTGCCTCTCGAGTTCACGCCATTCTCCTGCCTCAGCCTCCGGAGTAGCTGGGACTATAGGCGTCCGCCACCACGCCAAGCTAATTTTTTGTATTTTTAGTAGAGACGGGGTCTTCTCACCTTTATTAATTTCATGTCATTCATTTGTCAAAGAAACCAAGTCATTTGTCCTATACAATTTCACACAATCTGGATTTAGCAGATTGATGTTTCTTGATGTCTTTAACTTGTTCCTTTAATCTTCTTTTTATTTTTCTAAGCTGTAATTAGATCTACAAGGTTGATTACTTCTTCCTTTATTTTTTCCTTTCTTTCTTTTTGGCAAGAACACTTTAAGCTCTGCTATGAACTTCCTAGTGCTGACATTGGGAGATACATAATGTCTGGTTATCTCACTGTTTCTGATGTTAGGATTCAACAGCAGGTTCAGGTGTTGTCAGCCTGATTGATTCATTATAAAGCTCCCCATCAATCTTTCACTTAATTAATGGTTTTAGCAGCTACCAATGATCACTGCCTACACCCATTAATTCATTAGGGCCTACGGAATGGTGATTTTTAGACTCTACACTCATTCTGCATTTATAAGCTGTAATTCTTCCATTAAAAGTAACTTTTCCTACTCAACTATTTGTGTATTCTGAAATACAATTCAAACCAGGAAAGCAGGATAAATGCTTGATTTCTTCTTTTTATTTAAACATCTTCAGAATAATGAGTTGGTGTCATAGCACCCTCTTAAGATGACCAATGAGGTTTTCTTTTTTTTCCTCAATAATATGGACTCAAGGGTTTTTTTTTAAATAAATATTTTATATGTCTAAATCCATTGTCATTATTCATTTTTTGCCCACTGTATATTTACTTTTATTAAAGCATAATTTAATACAGTCCAATGTACAGATTGCCAGTCTTCAGTCTGATGAATTTCACAGTCTGATTAATATATACCCCTATAATCACCTCTGAAAACCTGACATTGGACATTTCTGTTGCCTGAGAAAGTCCCTTTTTCCTATCAGTTCTTTCCTCCTCCCCACCCCACACTTCCCGCCCCAGCAAGCATTTCCTGATTTCTTTTTTTTTTTTTTGAGAAGGAGTCTTGCTCTGTCACCCAGGCTGGAGTGCAGTGGCACGATCTTGGCTCATTGCAACCTCTGCCTCCCAGGTTCAAGCAATTCTGCTTCAGCCTACCAAGTAGCTGGGACTACAGGCGCCTGCCACCACACCTGGCTAATTTTTGTATTTTAGTGTAGACGAGGTGTCACCACGTTGGCCAGGCTAGTCGCGAACTCCTGACCTCAACTGATCCACCCTCCTCAGCCTCCCAAAGTGCTGGGATTACAGGCATGAGCCACCGCACCCAGCCCTGATTTTTATCACCATAGATTAGTTGTGTCTGTTCCAGAATATCACATAAATGGAATCACATCTTATAGTCTCTATTGTATCTGACTTCTTTCAACTAAAGGAATGTTTGTGAGATTCTCCATGTTGCAGTTGTGTGTATCTATCAGCAACACAGTCTTTGTCGTTTACTGAGAAGTATTCCTCTGTGTCAATATATGACAATTTGTTTATTCATTGTCCTACTGAGGAATAATTGGGTTGTTTCCAATTTGGGACTGGTATGAGCATTCATATAAAAGTCTTTTATGAACATTTGTTTAGATTTCGCTTGGGTAGATACCTAGGATTTGAATAGTTGGAATATCTAGAAGATGTGTGTTCAACTTTTAAAGAAACTGTCAATCAGGTATCCAAAATGTGCCATTTTCCACTGTTCCACCTCTTTTGCAGTATTTGGTATTGTCAGAATCTATTTTACCAAACCTAGTAGGGTTTTTTTTTTTTAATTGCATGGCACACTGAAAGGATTCTTTTATTTATTTATTTTTATTGACACATAATAGATGTACATATTTTGGGGGTACATGTGATAATTTAATATGTTCATATAATTTGTAAAGATCAAGTCAGTGTAATTGAGATATTTATAGTCATAAATATTTGACTTTTTTCTAAAAACATTCATTCTCTTCTAGCTGTTTTGAAATATATAAAAGGTAATGGTATACAATATTCACCCTACTGACCTATCAAACACTAGGTCTTATTTCTTCTATCCAACTGTATGTTTGTATCCATTAATCAAGCTCTCTTCCTCCTTTCTCCTCTCTACCTTTTTTGTTTTTTGTTTTTTCTTTTTTGAAACAAAGTCAATCTGTCACCCAGGCTGGAGTGCCATGGTGTGATCTCAGCTCACTGCAACCTCTGCCTCCTGGGTTCAAGCGATTCTCCTGCCTCAGCCTTCTGAGTAGCTGAGACTATAGGCGCACACCACCACACCAGGCTAATTTTTCTATTTTTAGTAGACATGGGGTTTCACCATGTTGGCCAGGCTGGTCTCGAACTTTTGGCCTCAAGTGATCCGCCTGCCTCAGCCTCCAAAAGTGCTGAAATAACAGGTGTGAGCCACCGCACCCAGCCACCTCTTTACCCTTTGAAGGGGGGTACTTCAGTATGGTTTTAATTTACTCTTCCTTGAAGGAGGATGAGCACCTTTTTTTGAGCTTATAGTTAATTTGTGTATCTCCTTTTGCCCATTTTTAAACATCATGTTTTTTCATTTTGTTGTTGATTTCCAGGGGTCTGTGGTATGTATTCTGGGTACTATTACTTTTTCAGTGATATGTACTATGTGAATATTTTTCTACTGTCTGTGGCTTGTCTGTTCATTTTCTTATGTATTTTCTTCTAGAAAGTTTATATGGTTCTATCTTTCACACTTAGGTCTATGATCATAAAGGCCCTGCTGAAAACATAAGAGAGTATCTTGCTGTGGGTAATACTTTTTTGTACTGAAAACATTAAAAAAACACTAATAAAGAAAAAATGATAAATTTGACTTAAAATGTAAATTTCAGCTCATCTAAACAAAGTATTAAAAAATGAATAGCCAAGCCACATGCCGGGAAAAATACTCATAATGCCTGTAACTGATGAAGGAATCTTATGCAGATTATGTGTAATAAATCCTAAAAGTCAAAATTAAAATATTGCAAAAAGGCTTAAGCAGCCACTTTGCAGAACATCCTTGCTTTCTGGCACAAGAAGAAGTTCCTGTCCTGTCTTGTTATTTACTGTCCTAGACCTGGAATTGGCCATTTCTCTAAGGAATCCCAATCCCTTCCAATGGGAAATGGTATTTAGAGACCGAAGTCTTGTCAGTGAGGGTGCTCATTGCCACTAGGTTGCCATTGTTTCTAAGCCTTTTCCATGAACAAAGCTAGACAACACTGATTTTTGTTTTTTTAGAAAGAGTAAGGTAAATCATTATTTCATACTAATGTCTTCTGTTCAAATTTGTAATTACCAGGTATTTACTTCTTATATTTTATATTTACTTTTCACTGAAAGTCTTGGTTCTTATTGACATCATTTCTTATTTGACTTATCCTACAATATATAAATAATAGTTTCAAAATAAGAATACTAACAAGTTGATTGGATGAGGTTTAATATTTCTTTATGGTTTGTTTTGTCCCTAGGATATATTCCATTATAGATGTACAACCAATGTCTTTAAAATTATTTGACATAATTTTCTCTGTGTGATTATACCACCTCCTTGATATAGACTATTAGAGCTATATGGCATTGAACAATTAAGTTCACTTTTGTTTTTTCTTTTCTACCGAGGCTACAAGTCAGTTAACTAAACTCAGTTGACCTAAAATTTTAGCATTCTTTAGGTATTGCTGTGTAGTCACAGCCACATGCACCAAACACTCTGCTTTTAGGTTGATTCTACCCAGCACTCTCTTGGGCCTTCAGTTCTACAATGTCGGACAACCCATACTCCCAGAGAAGCTGCCAATCTGGACTTCTGCTTAACATGGATTTGTTTTGTGTGGTAATTTGTGCCAGTCCACCATCACTGTGGCTGGTCTCATGAATCCAGCTGGAAGCTCGGTGATTACTATTATTGCTACAGCACTGGGGAAAAATCCAAGAACTTCCAGACATAAGAAAAAAAAAAATCCTCCACCCTCCCTCCCCCAAATTACCCTATTGATTGTCAAAGCTAAACTATATCTTTGCATACCAAAACTGAGCCAGAGAGGACACATAGCCCACATAAGGGTCAATACGGGGCCCTTAAAAAGCTAAACGTGGGAAGTGAGTGTCAAGAAACACCAGCACTGTTATTAGTGTGTGGAGGTAGCAGAGAACAGAATGGACTGCTCGGAGAAGGAAAGAGAAGCCACAATGAGGGGAAACCATAGACTGGTCTTCTTTGTAATTTTCATTGAGAAGCACTTTTTGCACCACAGTTAGTCTGTATTCAGAGTACTTAGCTTACTAAGGCAAGCTGGCAGGTACCAGTTTTGAGAATGAGTTCACACAAATGTTATTACGTTAAATGGGACAAAGGAGAACTTAAAAGTAATACCTAGCCAGGCACAGTGGCTCACACCTGTAATCTCAGTGCTTTGAGAGGCTAAGACAGGAGAATCACTTGAGCCCAGGAGTTCAAGACCAGCCTGGGCAAAATAGGGAGACCCGTCTCTACAAAAAATAATTACCCAGGCATGGTGGTGTGCCCTTGTAGTCACAGCTACTCATGAGGCTGAGGCAGGAGGATGGCCTGAGCCCATGAGTTTGAAGCTGCAGTGAGCTATAATCATAACACTACACTCCAGCTTGGGTGACAAACTGACACCTTGTCTCTGAAAAAAAAAAAAGAAAAAAGTAATACCTACTGTGGATTGCCACTAACAGTACTCCAGACACTGTAGTAAACGCTTTATAAACATTACATTATTCAGTGCTCGTGAGATTTCTGTGCGTTTTTCATTATTGAACCTATTTTACAGATGATAATACTGGGATTGACACAAGTCAACTTGTCCAAGGTCTTACAGCTAATAAATAGAACAGCCGGAACTCAACCCAAATCTACATAATTTGAGTTCTATGAGGCTTGCGACCTCTTGCTTGGAATTTATTCATCCATATAACTTTATTCTTCCACCATCTGGATAACTGTGACAATATTGCAGATACACGGTGACGCAGTCATATGGTAGGTGCTATGGATGATGCTTGTATATAATGCATATCATAAAACAATTCCATCTGCAATAGATTATGTTCATAATCTTTATGTAGACACACAGATAGGAACCATGCCCGTACATGTATTTCATGTACTACACTATCTCATATATAGAGAACTGTAGTTATGTAATAAACAAAAATGTGTTTGAAACAGCATGAAATTGGATTTCCTCATCCATAAATTGTATTATATTTATGTCGAAGTTATAGTTCAAGAAATAGAACTGCAATGTTGATATTTTTATAAATGATGTCTAATGTATTTCTATTAAGGGGAGATAGATTTGCTCTGCTGAAATGTATTATCATAATAGCCAAACCATTTACTCTACCACTGGAAAATAGTGTGGTATTCTGTTTGGAATTTCACTTGCCTGCTCCCAGCCTGCCAGATCTATTGTAAATTATTGTAGGCATCTGTGAGTTATTTTATAGGAAGCATCCATCTATTTTTATAACTCCAAAAAGCCTGTCACTCTCATTCATCTCCTTGGGAATAAAGCAATAATTTGATTCTCTATAAATGTGAACCTGAATTTACACCATCCTCTCCAGTTGGGACTTTAGTGATGTGGGTGATTTATGGCTCTGGGTTTCTGGGGCAAGGCCCTAGGAGATGACATCCTGATGTGCTTGTTGTCATTTTCTACTATTTCCACAGAAAAAGGGAGGGGACTCAACCTGCCCCTATTCTATTTAGGGCACAACTATTTGTTCCCTGTCCATGTAGCCATGTTGAATAGCACTTTCTTTTTGTTGTTGTTGTTTGTTTGTTTGTTTTTTGAGATGGAGTTTCACTCTTGTTGCCCAGGCTGGAGTGTAGTGGCTCGATCTCGGCTCACTGGAACCTCCGCCTCCTGAGTTCAAGCGATTCTCCAGCCTCAGCCTCCCAAGTAGCTGGAATTACAGGTGCCTGCCACCAAGCACAAGTGGGATTACAGGTGCCCGCCACCAAGCACAGCTAATTTTTTGTATTTTTAGTACAGACAGGGTTTCGCCATATTGGCCAGGCTGGTCTCGAACTCTTGACCTCAGGTGATCCACCCACCTAGGCCTCCCAAAGTACTGGGATTACAGGCATGAGCCACCGCGCCTGGCCATTTGTTTGGTTTTGAGACGGAGTCTCGCTCTGTCTCCCATGCTGGAATGCAGCGGCTTCATCTCGGCTCACTGCAACCTCCACCTCATGGGTTCAAGCGATTCTCCTGCCTCAGGCTTCTGAGTAGCTGGGATTACAGGCATGTGCTATCATGCCGACTAATTTTTGTATTTTGAGTAGAGACAGGGTTTCACCATGTTGGCCAGGCTGGTCTTGAACTCTTGACCTCAGGTGATCTGCCCACCTCAGCCTCCCAGAGTGCTGGGATTACAGGCGTGAGCCACCACCACGCCTGGCTCTAGGCCTGTTGAATATCAAATCACAAGGAACAGCTGTAAGGGTCCCGAATTGCTCCCTGCAGCCCTGGATCCAGCAGTTGGGTAGATGTCTGTGAAAGAGCCATAGGGACTGTGATGTGCTCAGCCTTCCAGGACCTCCACTGCAATTTCTTACATTTTCAGAGCTTCCACAGGAAATTAGTCGCATGTCTGGGAAACTCCTCAGGTATTTGCAACCAAGTTATCTATCTATGGTTTCCCATCTTTTGGCTCATTGGAAATGGGCTCATCTGAGAAATGTCACTGTTGATTGTTTGTTTGTTTGTTCGTTTGTTTGTTTTTGAGACAGAGTCTTGCTCTGTTACCCAGGCTGGAGTGCAGTGGCGTGATCTCGGCTCACTGCAGCCTCTGCCTCCCAGATTCCAGCGATTCTCCTGCCTCAGCCTCCTGGGTAGCTGGGATTACAGGCGCATGCCACCACGCCCAGCTAATTTTTGTATTTTTAGTAAAGACGGGGTTTCACCATGTTGCCCAGGCTGGTCTCGAAGTCCTGACCTCAGGTGATCCGCCTGCCTCGGCCTCTCAAAGTGCTGAGATTACAGGCATGAGCCACAGCACCCTGCCGAAATGTCATTGTTTTATTTCCTCTTCTCTTGCAAAGATGCCAAGGGCGCAGATGGAGCTGTCCGTCTGTCAGTTGCCTGTGGTGCTGTGGGACCAATGCTTTTTGTGCCTGGAACTGTGGATGCTTCCAGGGCCAGGGAACTGGGCAGTGGGAAGAGTCTGAATTATCACTTGAAGGAGGAGATGCCATGAGCAGGAAGGAATCAAGGCTGGAGTGTGTAAACCAAAGCACTGGAGAGCCAGGAAGACCAGAGGAAAAATGATGGACCAGGCCAAGCGATGCAGAGACTGGGTCCAGAGGAGCCACTTGAGACAGGTCGGGTCTTTCTGGCGCCCACACTGTCTTTCCTATGCATTTTGCAGCATGACGCTTAGGTGGGCTGGCTGCCAGCTGTAGTGGCAAGTGCCTGTAATCCCAGCTATGCGGGAGGCTGAGGCAGGAGAATCACTTGAACTTGGGAGGCAGAGGTTGCAGTGAGCTGAGATCGTGCCACTGCACTCCGGCCTGGGTGACAAGAGCGAAACTCCATTTCAAAAATAAAATAAAATAAAATAAAATAAAATAAAATAAAATAAAATAAAATAGCATAGCATAGCATACTAAAATAAAATAAAATAAAATAAAATAAAATAAAATAAAATAAATAAAGCATGCAGAGTGAGGCAACCCATTCCTCAGCTTCAGGACCCACAGAGGAACCTGGATTCATGCATAAAACGCCTCTGACATCTCTTTATGATTTTCTCAGTCTGGATGGTTTCTGCTGGGGGCTCCCCCTGATTGGAAACATTTGTCCTTGAACATCATTTTTGAAGTATTATATACCAGCCTAGCTCAGCAAGAAAAGTACTCATGCCAGTGACCATCATTATTGTGGAAGCTCTTACTTAAATCAGTTAGGGCTGAGCATAGTGGCACATTGCCTGTAATCCCAGTGCTTTGGGAGGGAGAGGTGGGAGAATTGCTTGAGCCCAGGAGTTCGAGACCAGCCTGGGCAACATAGTGAAACTCTTGTCTCTACAAAAGCTTTACAAAATTAGCTGGGTGTAGTGGTGCACACCTGTAGTCCCAGCAACTCAGGAGGCTGAAGTGGGAGGATTGCTTGAGCCTCAGGTGGTTGAGGCTGCAGGGAGCTATGATTGCACCCTTGCACTGCAGTCTAGGCAACAGACCAGGACCTTGTTGCAATAATAATAATAATAATAATAATAATAATAAATTTTTAAAAACAATTAGTTTTGGGACAAGAAGTCTAAATGGAAATTTCATGGATAGATTTACCAATATTTTTCTTCCTTTTTTTTTTTTTTTTTTTTTTTTGAGACAGGAGTCTCACTCTGTTGCCAGGCTGGAGTGCAGTGGCATGATCTCGGCTCATTACATCCTCCGCCTCCTGGGTTAAAGCTATTCTCCTGCCTCAGCCTCTCGAATAGCTGGGATTACAGGTGCGTGCCACGACACCCAGCTAATTTTTGTATTTTTGGTAGAGACAGGGTTTCACCATGTTGGCTAGGATGGTCGCTGTCTCTTGACCACGTGATCTGCCCATCTTGGCCTCCCAAAGTGCTGGGATTACAGGCGTGAGCCACCACGCCTGGCCCCTTGACAATTTTGACTCTCACCCTTGAAGCTACTGTCTGTAGATATGCAGAATGTCATGGATGGGAACTTCTTCAATGGAGACCCATATGCAACCAGTGTCTGCCTTACAGGAAACAAAGTGGTACCCGTTTCACTATTTTCTCATGAATTCCCTTCCCTTTTGAAAATCTAAAAGGAGAATGAGGAGAATGCATTGTGCGTTGGACAACTCCACAAATTTTAAAGCATTCAAGTTTAGAAATACAGCTTTGTGCTTTCTCCATGTGACAGAAATGGAAAGAACTAAAACTACATATTTTTCTAAGCTTGCTTTTAGACTTTTCTTTTTCTAAACTTTCTGGGGGCGCGTTCAGATTCCAGCTCTCCTACAAGAACAACCACGCAGGGAAATTACAAATGTCCATTCTCCAGATGTAAGAGGCCAAAGGAATGTGCAGATTTCAGTGAAAAGCTATCATTTTTTTTTAATGTTTTGGCTCTTGTTGACACACATCAAGTTCTCCTTTTTTTGCTCACCCAGAAAATCAGCCATCTCTTTGGGCTTAAATGGTGATGGGAAATTTGGGGCTCTTTTTGGAACGTTATCAAAGGAAAATTATGCGGGAGACACAGGGACCAGCTGGGGTGGATGGTCTGAGTCTGAGAACACCTGGGCAGGTTTGGGGTTTGCTCTATGTGACTGGAGGGAGCTCTAAAGGTACTCAAAGTACCTAAAGAACCAGGATTATTTATTTATTTTTTTAAGACAGAGTCTCGCTCTGTCACCCAGGCTGGAGTGCAGTGGCACAATCTCGGCTCACTGCAACCTCCGCCTCCCGGGTTCAAGTGATTCTCCTGCCTCAGCCTCCTGAGTAGCTGGGACCGCAGGTGTGCACCACCACACCTGGCTAATGTTTGTATTTTTAGTAGAGATGGGGTTTTGCCCTGTTGCCCAGGCTGGTCTGGAACTCCTGAGCTCAAGTGATCCGCCCACCTCAGTCTCCCGAAGTGTTCATATTATAGGGATTAGCCACTGTGCCCAGCCAGAACCAGGATATCATGAGAAACTCTAGCAAAGCTGTTAAGATAGGAAGAGATCTATGCTCAGGCAGAAGGGGAGGAGGCAGGCAGGAATTCTTGTGAACCAGACAAGTAACACATGAGATGAGCTTGAGGAGGTTGGTCGATATTCCAGTTCTAGCTATGTAGCAAATAGCCCAATAGTAAATGGTTTAAAATAACTGTAATCATTTTATTATCTCTCCTGTGCACCAGGAATTCAGATAGGAAATAGTGTATTATGGGTTGCATTGTGTCCTGCAAAAGGCATGTTGAAGTCCTTACCCCTGGTGCTTGTGGACATGACCTTATTGGGACATAGAGACTCTGCAGATGTAATCTAGGTAACATGAAGTCATTAGGGCTGGCCCTAATCCAGTGTGATTCATGTTGTGATAAAGAGAGGGGAAGACACAGATACACAAGGAGAACTCTATGTGATAACAGAGTCAGAAATTAGGATGATGTAGCTCCAAGCCAAGGAGCCCCAAAGACTGATGGCCACCACCAAAAGCTAGAAAGGAGATGAGGAAGAGGGTTGGATGCAGTGGCCCATGCCTGTGATGCTAGCACTTTAGGAAGCCGGGACCTGAGAATCGCTAGAGGTTAGGAAATCAAGACCAGCCTGGACGACAAGGCAAGACCCTGTCCATACAAAAAATAAAAATAATAACAGTTTAACTGGGCATGGTGTCACATGTCTGTAGTCATAGCTACTAAGGAGGTTGAGGTGGAAGGATCACTTGAAGCCAGGAATTTGAGGCTACAGTGACCTATGATGGTGTCACTGCATTCCAGTCTGGGTAAGACAGAGGGAGACTCTGTCTCAAAAAAAAAAAAAGATGCAAAGGAAAGTAAAAAAATCCAGGATGAATTGATAGTCATGATACCCTGGAAGATTTAAACAGCTGGGCTGGAACAGTGAGAGTTTCTTGGGCATTTCTTTCTGTGTATCTACAGTTCCTCTCCTGGTCTTCCCAGCATGATGGCTTTGAAGACGCCATCCTTCATATGTGTTGGCTCAAGACTCCTAAGATGCATAGAGAGAGAGACTGAGACACACACACACACACACACACACACACACACACACACACACACCATATTGCCTGTTATGATCTAACCAGAAGGTCAGGCAGCAACACTGCCATCACATTCCATTGGCCAAGACAACTACAGATATTCTCCCAGTTCCAATGACCCCATCTTTCAGTGGAGGATGGTCAACATGACACGCAGGAAGATTGTGGGGGATGAGATTTATACTAATGTAGTTGTCTTTGGAAAAGACAATTTGTTGCAGGAATCAATGGGAGATGAGGATCCCATAAAGGGCAAGAGAGTAGATGTTGGCAAACGTGAGATTAATCTGCTTTGTTTTTTATATTCTTTGCGGGTATTGAAAATGGGATTGATTTCTTGATTTGTTTTTTGTTGTTGTTGTTTCTTGTTTGAGATGGAGTCACACATTGTCACCCAAGCTGGAGTGCAGTGGCACAATCTCAGCTCACTGCAACCTCCGCCTCCTGGGTTCAAGCAATTCTCCTGCCTCAGCCTCCCAAGTAGCTGGGATTACAGGTGCCCACCACCACTCCCAGCTAATTTTTTGCATTTTTAGTAGAGACGGGGTTTCACCATGTTGGCCAGGCTGGTCTCAAACTCCTGACCTCGTGATTCGCCCACCTTGGCCTCCCAAAGTGCTGGGATTACAGGCGTGAGCCACTGCACCTGGCCTGCTGCTTTGTTTTTTAATTCAACAGCTCATGCATGTTGAAAGCCCAGTGGGAAAGATCCATTTGAGAGGGAAAGGTTGAATAAACAAGAGAGTTAAAGGATTATCGATAAACAGTGCAAAGTACCTGCAAAGACAGAGGATGGAATCTGAGTACAGGTGTAGGAACTGCCTTAGGAGAAGTCAGGGCTTCTCTAGTGAAATGGGAGGGAAGAAGGGGAGTGTGGAGATGTTTCTTCAGTTTGAGTTTGCAACCCTGAAGATGAGCAGGTTTGTGGGAGATGGCTCCTGCTTCCTCTGTGCAATGGAAGATGTGGTCATGTGCTGCAAGAAAAAGGCAGAAGCAAGGTCAGAGGTTTAGGAGAGTTGGCTAAACTGTGAAACACTCACTGTGACTATTGGAATTGCCTTAATCACAGGCACAGAGTCGGGGACCACTTGTGGGTGGTGATCAGGGCCCATCTTCCCTGCAATAAGGGACCCTAGCAACACTCAGGACATGAGTTTGGGCTGGAGGAGACCCACTCAGGGTTGAGGCTTTGCCATCTGTGTACAACAAAATGACAGAGGGGCCAGGCACAGTGGTTCACACCTCTAATTCCAGTGCTGTGGGAGGCCCATGCAGGAGAATCACTTGCAGCTAGGAGTTTGAGACCAGCCTGGGCAACATAGTGAGATCCCATCTCTACAAAAAAAGGGTTTCGTTTGTTTGTTTGTTTTGAGGTGGAGTCTTGCTCTGTTGCCCAGGCTGGAGTGCAGTGGTGCGATCTCAGCTCACTGCAAGCTCCACCTCCCGGGCTCACACCATTCCCCTGCCTCAGCCTCCCAAGTAGCTGGGACTACAGGCACCCGCCACCATGCCCGGCTAATTTTTTTTGTATTTTTGGTAGAAACAGGGTTTCACCATGTTAGCCAGGATGGTCTCGATCTCCTAACCTTGTGATCCACCTGCCTCAGCCTACCAAAGTGCCGGGATTACAGGCGTGAGCCACCGTGCCCGGCCTACAAAAAAGTTTTAAATGATTAGCTGAGTGCAGTGGTGCATGCCTGTAGTTCCAGCTACTTGGGAGGCTGAGGCAGGAGGATCACTTGAGCCCAGAAGTTGGAGGCTGCAGGGAGCTATGATTGTGCTACTGCACTCCAGCCTGGGTGATGGAGTGAATCCCCAACCTTAAAAGAGTAATAAATAAATAAATAAATAAGTAAATAATAAACAAACATTTCTGAATTTCACATGCAAGAAAGTGAGCTGAATGTGGTGTCAGAGAGGAAAGGCAGACAGGAAGGGCAGCTGGCCTAGAGGCGTTACAGTGATGGAGGGTTGTCAGCAGATGAGCCATGGTGATTTGTGCC